>NC_000003.12:51525151-51828181 GCF_000001405.40 Homo sapiens
ATAACTGCCCATTCCCCACTCCCTATGGCCTCTGGCAACCACCATTGTACTTTCTGTCTCTATAAAATTGACTATTCCAGGTACTTCATATAAGTCGAATATATAATATTTGTCCCTTTTATGTCTGGCATAATTAACTTAGCATAATGTCTTCAAGGTTCACCCATATTATAACATGTGTCAGATTTTCCTTTCCTTTACAGGCTGAATAATAGTCCATCAATTTATACACCACATTTTGTTTATTCGTTTATCTGTCTGTGGACACTTGGGTTGCTTCTACTTTTTAGCTATGGTGAATTATGCTGCCATGAACATGAATGTACAAATATCTGTTCAAGGCCTGCTTTTGTTTCTTTTGGATATATATCCAGAAGTGGAATTACAGTAATGCTATGTTTAATTTTTTGAGAAATGGCCATACCGTTTACAGAGTTGCTGTAGTTTTTACATCTCTACCAGCAAGACACAAAGTTTCCAGTTTCTCCACATTCTTACTAAGAATTGTTATTTTCTGTTTTTTAAAAAATAACATCCTATACTTAAAAACATCCATCCTAATAAATGTGAAGCAATATCTTACTGTAGTTTTTATTTTTATTCCCTATTTAGTGATGTTGGACATCCTTCCCCATGTTTATTGGCCATTATATAGCTCCTCTTTGGAGAAATGTCCAAATTCTTTGCCCACTTTTGAATCAGGTGTTTGTTGTTGTTGTTTAATTGTAGAAGTTCTTTCTGTCTTTATTTATTTATTTCTAGAGGTGGGGTCTCACTCTGTTGTCCAGGCTGAAGTGCAGTGGCACAATCATAGCTCACTGCAGCCTCCAACTCCTGGGCTGAAGTTATCTGATCTTCCAACCTCAGCCTCCCAAGTAGCTGGGACTACAGGTGTGCACCATCATACCCAGCTTTTTTTTTTTTTTTTTTAACTTTTTGAGAGCTGGGATCTCACTATGTTGCTGAGGGTATGTTATTCGTGGGCTCAAGCTATCCTCCTGCCTCAGCCTCCTGAGTAACTGGGATTACAGCTGTAAGCCACCATGCCTGGCTCCTGCAGAAGTTCTTTATATATTCCAGATACCAATCCCTTATCAGATATATAACTTGCAATATTTTCTCCCATTCCATAGGTTGCTTTTTCACTCTGTTAATAGTGTCCTTTGATGCACACAAATTTTTAATGATGAAGTCCAACTTATCTATTTTATTTTGTTGCTTGTATTTTTGTTGTCATTTCCAAGAAATCATTGCCAAATCAATATCCCGAAGCTTTCCCTTCTATATTTTCTTCCAAGAGTTTTACAGTTTTCACTCTTACGTTTAGGTTTTTATGCATTTTTACTTAATTTTTGTATATAGTGTAAGCTGGGGGTCCAACTGCATTCTTTTGTATGAGGATAGCCAATTTTCCCAGCAACACTGGTTGAAAAAACTGTCTTTTGACCATATATGGAAGGATTTACTTCTGGGATCTCTATTCCATTTCATTAGTCTATAAGGTGTTCTTTGTGCCAGTACCACACATTTTTAATTACTGTAGCTTTATAGTTAGTTTTGAAATCAGCAAGTGTGGGATCTCCAACATTGTTCTTCATTTTCAAGATTGTTTTGGGTATTTGGGGATCTCTGGAGAGTTCACATGAATTTTTGGATGGGTTTTTCTATTTCTGCAAAAAATGTTATTGGAATTTGATAGGGATTGCATTGAATCTGTTGATCACTTTTGGTAATATTGCCATCTTAATAACATCAAGTCTTTCAATCCATGAACACAGGATTTTTATTTGTGTCTTTATTTCAGCAGTTTTATAGTTTTCTGTATACAAGTCTTTTGTCTCCTTAGTTAAGTTTATTCCTAAGTATTTTTTTCTTTTTGCAATAGGGTCTTACTTCTTTTTTTTTTTTTTTTTTTTTTGAGATGGAGTCTTGCTCTGTCGCCCAGGCTGGAGTGCGATGGCGCAATCTTTGCTCACTGCAACTTCTGCCTCCCAGGTTCAAGCAATTCTCCTGCCTCAGCTCCTGAGTAGCTGGGATTATAGGCGTGTGCCACCATGCCCGGCTAATTTTTGTATTTAGTAGAGATGGGGTTTCACCATGTTGGTCAGGCTGGTCTCGAACTCCTGACCTCGTGATCTGCCCACCTCTGCCTCCCAAAGTGCTGGGACTACAGGCGTGAGCCACTGCACCCGGCCAATAGGGTTTTACTTCTTTGCCCAGGCTGGAGTGCACTGGCATGGCCATAGCTCACTCTGGGGCTCAAGCGATCCTCTCACCTCAGTCTCCCGAGAAGCTGACTAGCTAAGATTATAGACATTTGCCACTTGGCTACTTTTTAAATATTTTCATGGAGACAGGGTCTCGCTATGTTGCCCAGGCTGGTCTCAAACTCCTCACCTCAATCAATTCTCCTGCCTTGGCCTCCCAAAATCAGGCATGAGCCACCATGCCTAGCCTAGTTTGTTCTTTTTGATGCTATTGCAAATGGAATTATTTTCTTTCTTTTTCTCTCTCTTTTTTTTTTTTTTTTTTTTTTTGATATGGAGACTCACCCTGTCACCCAGGCTGGAGTACAATGGGTCAATCTCAGCTCACTGCAACCTCTGCCTCCCGGGTTCAAGTGATTCTCCTGCCTCAGCCTCCTGAGTAGCTAGGATTACAGGTGCCTGCCACCATGCTTGGCTAATTTTTGTATTTTTAGTAGAGACAGGGTTTCAACATGTTACCCAGGCCGGTCTCCAACTCCTGACCTCAAGTGATCTGCCTGCCTTGGCCTCCCAGTGTGCTGGGATTACAGGTGCAAGCCACTATGCCTGGCCTATTTTCTTAATTTCCTTTGAATTGTTCGTTGTTAGTGTACAAAAATTCAACTGAGTTTTTAAGTTGTTTTTTTTAATTATTTTTTAGAGACAGTGTCTCATTGTTGTGTCCAGGCTGAACATGAACTCCTGGTCTCAGGCAATCCTCCTGCCTCAGCCTCATGAGTTTGAGGGATTATGGACGTGTGCCACTGAACCTGGCTTCAACTGATTTTTGTGAGTTGATTTTGTTTTTGTTTTGAGACAGAGTTTCGCTCTTGTTGCCCAGGCTGGAGTGCAATGGGCAATCTCGGCTCACGGCAGCCACTGCCTCCTGGGTTCAAGCAATTCTGCTACCTCAGCCTCCCAAATAGCTGGGATTACAGGCGTCCGCCACCATGGCTGGCTAATTTTTTGTATTTTTAGTAGAGACGGGGTTTCACCTTGTTGGCCAGGCTGGTCTTAAACTCCTGACCTCAGGTGATCTACCCGCCTTGGCCTCCCAAAGTGCTGAGATTACAGACTTGAGCCACTGCACCCAGCCTGTGTGTTGATTTTGTATTCTGCAACCTTGCTGCCTTTATTAGTTCTGACACATATTTTTTTTTTTGGTAGACTCTGTAGGTTTTCTACATATAAAATCATGTCAGCTGGCTGGGTGTGGTGGCTCATGCCTGTAGTCCCAGCACTTTGGAAGGGTGAGGCAAGGCAAGAATATCACTTGAGGCTGGGAGTTCTGAGACCAGCCTGGGCACATAGTGAGACCCTTTCTCTACAAAAAAAACAAAACAAAAAAAAAAAAACCTGATATACCTATAGTCCCAGCTACTCTGGAGGCTGAGGCAAGAGGACTGCTTGAGTTTCCTGGAGTCCCAGGCTGCACTTAGCTATGATTGCATCACTGCACTCTAGCCTGGGCAACAAAGTGAGACTCTGTCTCTAATAAATAAAGAAATAAATAAAAAATCATTGGCCATCTGAAAATAGAGATAATTTTACTTTTTCCTTTCCAATTTGGATTTGTTATATTTCTTTTTCTTGCCTAATTGCTCTGGCTAGGATTTCCAGAACTATGTTAAAAAGAAGCAGCAAAAGTGGGCATCTAGGCTGGGCGTGGTGGCTCACGCCTGTAATCCCAGCACTTTGGGAGTCCGAGGTGGGCTGGATCACCTGAGGTCAGGAGTTCAAGACCATCCTGGCCAGGGAAGCCCTGTCTCTAATGAAAATACAAAAATTAGCTGGGCGTGGTGGCAGGCGCCTATAATCCCGGCTACTCAGGAGGCTGAGGCAGGAGAATCACTTGAACCCGGGAGGTGGAGGTTGCAGTGAGCTGAGATTGTGCCATTGCACTCCAGCCTGGGCAACAAGAGTGAGACTTCGTCTCCAAAAAAAAAAAAAAAAAAAAAGTGGGCATCCTTGTCTTGTTTCTGATCTTAGAGGAAACAGTTTCAAGTTTTATCCTTAAACATGATATTAGTTATGAATTTTTCATATACAATCTTTATTATGTTTCTTCTATTCCTAGTTTGTTGAGTGCTTTTCTCATGAAAAGGCCAATTTAGATGCCTTTTTTTTCTTGCCTAATTGCTCTGGCTAGAACTTGCAATACATTCTGGTCTTATGGAGAAAGGGTACAAAGGTTTCAGTATTTCACCATTGAGTATGATTTAGCTGTGGGTTTTATATAAATGCCCTTTTTAGATTAAATAACTTTCTTTCTTTCTTTTTTTTTTTTCTGAGAGGGAGTCTCGCTCTGTTGCCCAGGCCAGAGTGCAGTGGCACAATGTCAGCTCACTGCAACCTCCACCTCCCGGGTTCAAGCGATTCTCCTGCCTCAGCCTCATGAGTAGCTGGGATTACTGGCGTGCACCACCATGCCTAGCTAATTTTTTATATTTTTGGTAGAGATGGGGTTTCACCGTGTTGGCCAGGCTGGTCTTGAACTCCTGACATCAAGTGATCTGCCCACCTCGGCCTCCCAAAGTGCTGGGATTACAGGTGTAAGCCAGTGTGCCTGACCAACTTTCTTTCTTTACTAGTTTGCTGAGTATTTTTATCATGAAAGCTGACCCTGCCACCAAAACTTTGGCTCTAAAGTGACTTGAGAGTGGCTACTGACTGAGCTGTTGGGAATCACTAGGGATGGTACATCCTGGCCTTCCCAGACAAACCCTCAAGTCCAGCTAGGACTACCTCTCTCTTGTCTTTCCTACATCCATGCCTTTTGTCATGCTATTCTTCAATCCGAGTCCTCCTCACCCTTAAAAGGACTTCTTCAGCAAGTCTTCTTCCTTTCACTACACTCCCACCTTGTGCATTCGCGAAGTCAGTAGTCAGGTTTAATTGTGCCTAGGAAGCAAGTACCTTGCCAGTGATAAGGTAGCCATGAGTAAGCTTGGGTTCCACATACCCAAAAGAATCCATCAGGGGCAATCCATTGTAGGCTGGTGTTCGTAGGATTGTTCCATAGTGCACTTAGGCGGGAGTATGTGGCATAAGGGTTAGTGGTATTTGTACAGTTCCAGGCTCTTTTTGATGGAACACAATTGAGATAGCTTAAGTTAGAGGGAGACCAGGCTCTGTGCGGTAACCTTGGCCACCACTTGGCTGTGGAGGTGTTGACTGTTAGGGTTTGGTGACAAGTGCTTTCACCTATGGTGCAACGGGTTTTACTAGTCCACTTGTGGGATATGCACACCATCCCTCTTACTGGGTTGGTAAGTGTTCAGGACTGCGGGCATTCCTGAGGAGTGAAAGTGAGGCTGTAGTTTTGGGATATTAGTAAGTAAGGGGGAATGTCTATGACATACCACGGCCACTGTTCACTCATACGGGCTCCCCTGCATACCCAGCAATTGGACACATTCATGGTAAGTGCGATGCGTTCTCCTAGATCTACAAACAGGTTTTTTTCCTGGCTTGGGAAGGGATACATCTCCTGGTAGTTTTTTATAAAGGGGTGGAAATACTATGGGTGGTTTTGGGGGGTAGCTGTCGGCTTTAGCTTTTGCTTTGGCTATAATCTGTTCTCTCTTTATGTCCTCTAGCACTTGAGTGTTTACTCCGCGTTGTCCAGTTTTGGTGAAACAAAGCCACTGCTTCCCTTTGCGGCATATAGCCCCATTATGGCATAATGGCATATAGCCCCATTACGACTGCCAGATACTCCTAGATGCTTTACTTTATAATAACTTTTCCCTGATTCAACACATTCTTTGACTAAGACTCCATAACAGGATCTTTCTATATGGGTATGGTAAGTAAAGGACTGTTGGATTTTTCCTCCATAGTAGAAAGACTGATAACACTCATGGCAGCTTGGAGGGCTGCTGTGGACAGCAGGGCGTCTACTGACAGCATTAAGACTGTGATGAGGGATATTTCCGTATTAAGACTTTTGGTTGGGGCCAGGCACAGTGGCTCATACCTGTAATCTCACCACTTTGGGAGGCCGAGGTGGGTGGATCATGAGGTCAGGAGTTCCAGACCAGGCTGGCCTACATGGTGAAACTCCATCTCTACTAAAGATACAAAAAATTAGCCTGGAGTGGTGGCACACATCTGTAATCCCAGCTACTCGGGAGGCTGAGGAAGGAGAATTGCTTGAACCTGGGAGGCGGAGGTTGCAGTGAGCCGAGTTAGCATCACTGCATTCCAGCCTGGGCAACAGGGCGAGACTCCATCTCAAAAAAAAAAAAAAAAAAAGAAGACTTGTGGTTGGAAGTGAGGCACAGCAAGCGGTTGGGTAGATACAGGCCATTTCTGGAAGCAGGTAATTAGTCTTCTCCATGTTTACACTTTCTAGGGGGTTTTTGGTTTTAAGAAAGTTTTTTGGTTAATTTAAGCTTGGTAGGAGAAATTGTGCTTGACGACCACTTAGCTGCTAATGTTTTGGAGGAAGACGTAGCCTTGGGGATGAGCTTGACCCTGGTGCGATGGATCCAGTTGGGGAATCTTTGGACTCTCACTGCAGCTGGTGTGCTGAGTATCACAGTGTAGGGGCCTGTCCACTTTGGTCGTAGCTTTTTGTGAAGGTCAGGTTGGCAGATGAACACGTCTGTTCCTGCAAGACAGTTATGTTGAGAGGACAAGGAGGTGTCGACAGGGAGAGGCATTGCCTCATTTGCTGCTTCATGGATGAAAGACCGTGTCTGGATTACGGAGGGGAGGTAATTCCTGAGTGGCTCAGAGTCTGGTGAGGATGGAGGCCCTAAGACAAAAGTTCGGCCATACATGATTTCGAAAGGACTATAAAAAGAGGGTGCTTTTGGTGTTGCGGTCTCATGATGGCAAAAGGGAGATTTCTTGTCCACGACAGATGGGTTTCTAGAGCTAGCTTGGTGAGTTGGGCTTTAAGGACAGAGTTGACTTTTTCAACTTTGCCTTGGCCAGGCATGGTGGCTCACGCCTATAATCCCAGCACTTTGGGAGGCCGAGGCGGGCGGATCATGAGATTAAGAGATTGAGACCATCCTGGCCAACATGGTGAAACCCTGTCTCTACTAAAAAAATACAAAAATTAGCTGGGCATGGTGGCGGGTGCCTGTAGTCCCAGCTACTCAGGAGGCTGAGGCAGGAGAATCGGTTGAACCTGGGAGGCGGAGATTGCAGTGAGCCAAGATCACACCACTGCACTCCAGCCTAGGTGACAGAGCAAGACTCCATCTCCAAAAATAAAAATAAAATAAAATAAAACTTTGCCTGAAGATTGAGCCCTGTAGGGTGTGTGGAGAACTCACTTTATTCCTCAGGATGTGGAGAACCCACTTTATTCCTCAGGATGTGGAGACACCTTAGATAAGGTGATGAAGGAGGGCCTGTTTTTGGACTAGATGGATGTTGGGAGTCCAAAACGGGGAATTATAGGCATGATGAGCGTTTGTGTGATGATATTTGCACCCTCTGAAGTTGTTGGGAATGCTTCTACCCACCCAGAGAAAGTACAAAGACTAGAAGATAGCGGAGCCATTTATCGGGCAGCATGTGAGTGAAATCTACTTGCCAATCTTGCCCGGGTATCTGGCCCTGGGCTTGGTGGGTAGGAAAAGGCAGTGGCTGGAGGGAACCTGGGTGTGACACTGAGTGGCAGATAGAGCAGGACTGGGTAATCTCTCAGACATGGCTGGAAAGGTGAGCACAAGTGAGAATAGGGCGGAGAAGTTGTAAGAGAGGTTTGTAACCGACATGAAAAGAGTTGTGGAGACTTTGGAGGATAGGAATTGTTTGAGAGTGAGGAAGAACGAAGTGCCCTTCCTTGACATACCGTGGTCCTTGCTTTTGGAGGTTCTGGGCCTGGAAGTCCTCCTTTTCTTCTGAGGAGGAAAGAGGAGAGAACAAGGACAGGGACAGAAACTGGCCTTGCATGGGTTATAGGGCTACTTGTTTGGCTACCTGATCTGCTAAAGCATTTCCGGCCGATATAGAATTGTCTGGGATTTGGTGGCCCCTGCAATGAATGATGGCAACTTTCTGTGGGAGACTGGCAGCTTGAAGGAGCTTGCTGATGAGAGAGCCATTTATGACACGAGTGTTTTTTGCAGTTAGGAAACCTCGTTCTTTCCAGATAGACGAGTGTGAGTGTACTTCATGGAACGCATAACGAGAATCCAAATATATGTTAATTTGTTGTCTGGCTGCTAGAGTGAGAGCTTGAGTGACAGCAATGAGTTCAGCTTTTTGGGAGGTGGTGCCTAGGAGGAGCGGAAAACCCCTGCCCCAGGTTTCGGCACCAGATGAAAGTTCTTGTATCGGTTCAAACCCCGAGAGCACGCCAATGGACAACACGAGGCGGTGTGGAGCAACACACTGTTTTAATGAGCGCCTGGGTGCAGGCGGGCTGAGGCCTAAAATGGCATCAGCCCCAAGTGAGGATGGGGCAGGGGTTTTATAGTCTCCTGTAAACAGGAAGTGTCCCAGTCTGACGTAACTGCTACGTGGTACCTGGGTGGCCTTTTTCTCGATCTTCAGAGTTACGTGTCTTCCGGCCAGGGGAGGTGTCTTCCGGCCTGGGTAGGTGTCTTCCGGCCGGCTCTCTTCCTGCTTCTGCTATCTTGCTGACGCACACTGCTAGCGCAAGTGGCCTTTTGCCTTGGGACTGGGCCTGAGAAGGGAGGAGTTACTCATCCCTTCAAGCTTTCAGGCCCTGGGGAGAATCTTTCACAGGGCAGTTATCTGGGGCTTCTCACTACACCTACACACCATGTTGCCCCCAAGTTCTGGTCCCTCTGCCTAGAATTCTTCTTCCCTGAGACTTTACATGGTTCTCGTTAGCATTCTTGGCATTCAGGATTCAGCTCACAGGACACCTCATTGGGTTGGTCTTACCCAATGCCTTCCCTCTTCCAACAGCCTCTCTCCCATACTGGTCTCTGTTTCGTGTTTTCAGAACTTATTAGAATTTGCAATTATTTTGTACTGTCTTTCTCACCTGTTTAGAAGGTAAGCTACTTGAGGGCAGAGACCTGTTCCCTCCTGTTTAGTGCTGTGTTCCCCAGGGCATATCAGCATCTGAAATACAACTGGGGAACAATAAACATCTGTTCATTTGAATGAACATCCATATAGGATAGGTTTCTATTAGTCACATTCTACAGACCACACTCTTCTAGGCTCAACTCTGAACATACTTCCTCATTCATGTTGGGGATGGTTATAAGCATGGGCTCTGGACCTAGATGATCTGCACTCAAACCCCATCGCTCTTCTGACTTCTCAGCTTATTTTTCCACCTTTGAAGTGGAATGTTGATGTGAGGATTAAATGAGTTAATAACTGTAAAATGCTTATGGTCATGCCTGTCATGTCTTACTAGTATTCCCCAGCATTGGGTACAGTGCCTGGTACATCTTTTATTTATTTATTTATTTATTTATTTATTTTTGAGACGGAGTCTCGCACTGTCACCCAGGCTGGAGTGCAATGGCGTCATCTCGGCTCACTGCAAGTTCTGCCTCCTGGGTTCACGCCATTCTCCTGCCTCAGCCTCCTGAGTAGCTGGGACTACAGGCGCCCGCCACCACGCCTGGCTAATTCTTGTATTTTTAGTAGAGACGGGATTTCACCATGTTAGCCAGGATGGTCTTGATCTCCTGACCTCATGATCCGCCCGCCTTGGCCTCCCAAAGTGCTGGGATTACAGGCATGAGCCACCGTGCCTGGCCAGTGCCTGGTACATATTGGTACCCAGTAAATAGTTGCTGAATGGGGAATTTTATGGCGTAGCAATTATGCTAGGCCGTCATTAGATACTGGGGTCGATTTTTAAAAAATCTCCTAGGACATTATAATCTGGGTGATGAGTGGTATACAAGCAGAAAAGGTAAAAATATCCCAAGAATGGGATGACTGTTGAAGAAAGCAATACAACCCTTTGTCACCTTGGAATCTGGTTCAGAGTGATCATGGCTTTGGCATTCAGAAGTGAGGGGGGGCCATTAAGTGTGGCTGGTGGGTGCAGGATTGATCTAACTCTCACGGAATAAGCAGGAGGTGAAACAGATAAAATGAAGAGGGTGGCTTGAACCTGGGAGGTGGAGGATGCAGTGAGCCGAGATCACGACACTGCACTCCAGCCTGGGTGACAGAGCAAGACTCCATCTCAAAAAAAAAAAAAAAAAAAAAAATGAAGAGAGTGTTTTTCCATGTGTGTTTTCATGGTGATGAAGAAAACCTTGTTCTGGTTTCTGATTAACCAACAAGTCCCTGGTGAATTTTGCCTAATCCCAGAAGGGCAGTCCCAGATCTTTTAAACTCACTTAAAGGTATAGCCAACAATAGGCAGGTGTATGCATAAATCACTCTAGGGACTTCCCCTAATAGAACCAAATCTTTCTACAGGTGAATTTTGGGGTACCATGAATCTCAGAGGTTGTTGTGCGGGCATGACATCATCCAAGTAGTCAGGGAATTTCTAGAAGGGTGGGGAAACAGATGTTACAGAAGGACAATGCCATCCTGGGAGGAGGGAATGGAAGAGGCTTCCATCACCAGGGGAGCTAGCTCTGGCCTTTGTGGCTCCTACTTTAGTGACATGAGAAAGGTAAGTGTCTATGTTTTGGTGGTTGTGCCTTAAGTCTTTTAATTGGGGGCCAGGGGATGGGGGTGGGGGGATTAACAATAGGAGTGTGTGTGTGTGTGTGTGTGTGTGTGTGTGTGTGCGTTTAAATATATCTGGCCAACCTGACTGGTTTCTTTCTCCTCTCTTTGGTAGTCTCTGGGGCTTTCATGTGAACCTGTTTCAACTCCTGAGGCCAAATATGCTCTATGTGTCACCCGGAGAGTCCCAGCTAAGAGGCCAAATGAGTAAAATGCAAGACATGAAGCTGGGAGGGGTCGGAATGCTGATCTGACCTCAGGCTGCTGGAGAGAAGTTAACTAGCTTTTTAAAATTTTTATTTATTTTTTTAAGAGATAGTGTCTTGCTATATTGCCCAAGCTGAACTTGACTTCCTGGGCTCAAGTGAGCCTCCTGCCTCAGCCTTCTGAGAAGCTGGGACTACAGAAATGTGCCACTGCACTTGGCTGGAACCAGCTTTTGAGGCATTCTTTGCCTCTGAAGAACCTAGGATGAAGTTCCTCTTACCTGAGGAAGCGGAGAAGCTTCCAGAGGCTTTGACTGTGCTGCTTTCTAACCCATGAGCCTGCTGTTTCCAGAAGGAACACTCTATTAGTCTGTTCTCACACTGCTATAAATAAATGCCTGGCACTGGATAATTTATAAAGAAGAGGTTTAATTGGCTCATGGCTGTACAGAAAGCATGATGCTGGCATCTGCTGGGCTTCAGGGGAGGACTCAGAAAACTTACATTCATGGTGGAAGGCGAAGGGGGAGCGAGCACCTCACAAGGCTGGAGTAGGAGGAAAAGAGAAGTGGGGGGAGGTGCCATACACTTTTTTTTTTTAAGACAGCCTCACTGTTGCCCAGGCTGGAGTGCAGTGGCACAATCTCAGCTCACTGCAATCTCCACCTCCTGGGTTCAAGTGATTCTCCTGCCTCAGCCTCCCGAGTAGCTGGGATTGCAGACACACACCATCATGCCTGGCTAATTTTTGCATTTTTAGTAGAGACAGGGTTTTGCCATTTTGGCCAGGCTAGTCTCAAACTCCTAACCTCAGGTGATCCACTTGCCTCGGCCTCCCAAAGTGCTGGGATTATAGGTATGAGCCACCGCGCCTAGCCGACACCATACACTTTTAAACAACCAGATCTTGTGAGAACTCACAAGAAGAGAACCAAAGGGACAGTGCTAAGCCATTCATGAAGGATCTACCCCCATGATCCCATTACTTCCCACCAGACCCCACCTCCAACATTGGGGATTACAATTCAACATGAGATTTGGGTGGGGACACAGATCCATATTAGATAGCAAAGTGCCTTTTGACAGGCAGAACCCTTTCATTACCTCCAGAAAATAATATAAATGAAAAATCAGGCATATATGTGTCTCAGAAGCCAAGGGGGTATGTAAAAATGGGAAATTTGAGAACACCTGAAAATTAGGATTTTTTTTGGAACACCTTCTGCAGATCTAAATTCCCATCAAGAGTTAGCTCCAAAAATAACCGCATCTGGTATCTTAGAGGTGTGAAGGCCTAGAAGAAAAGGAAAGTGGGGACGAGAAAGGAATTGCTATCCTCTTGATTTTATGAGTAAAATACAAAGCCTTCAAAGAAAGATGCACTTTTGTAATTTAAAACATCACTTTGTCGGCCAGAGGTGGTGGCTCACGCCTGGTGGCCCAGCACTTTGGGAGGCAGAGGTGGGCAGGATCACCTGAGGTCAGGAGTTCGAGACCCGCCTGCCCAATATGGCGAAACCCTGTCTCTACTAAAAATGCAAAAAATTAGCGGGGCGTGGTGGCGGGCGCCTGTAATCCCAGCTACTCGGGAGGCTGAGGCGGGAGAATAGCTTGAACCCAGGAGGCGGAGGTTGCAGTGAGCCAAGATCCCGCCACTGCACTCCAGCCTGGGCGACAAGAGCGAAACTCCTTCTCAAAAAAAAAAAAATCATTTTGTCAACATTCACTTATTGGGAAGAGGAGAAGAGAACCTGAGGCTATAGTGGAGAGAGCCGTTACAGTCCCATCAGTAACTGGAGCCCACATGGCCACATGGCAGTAATTCCCAACTTGAGGAAGGAGAACCTGCACCCTTAACCTCCACCTGAGTGTCAGCAATCAAGAAAGCCCCCTTTTGCCTCTGCTTCTCTTCCAGGGAATTCTGAAGACAGCTTCACTTAACAGGAAACAGGATGGTAGGTGGGGACCGAGGGTGAAAAAAGAAGAGTTACATGATGCGCATAATTTCAAGGGCCCTTGAGGGCTGAGCACAACCTATGTTGGAGGCAACAGTAGCAGCAGCATTGGCAGGATCAGTAACGATCGTACCCCGGTGTAGAGCTCCCTATCTCTGAGCTAGGTATTCGCATCACCTCATTCAATCCTAACAAGCCGCCTAGATTATTCCCAATGAGAAATGAGGAGAAACTGAGGCTCAATTGAGATGCTAAATGGCTGGCGAGTGCAAAACCATTCCGTTGGACCCACCCCTAGAACCATTCTCAGGCAGCTTCTGGCTTGGGATTTCTGTGCGGCATTCATTCCAGAAACGGTCCCATCCAGGCAGGAATCGCCGTACACCCGGCGCAGGGGAACGGCCTTCAGTCGGCTCTCAGCGGAACTTTCCTCTCCGCGGCGCGTGTTCCCGTCCGTGCGGTCGGGCGCGCGGGCCGGGAGGGGGACGCTTTCTGGCGCGGACCGTGAGCGGAGGCTGGCGAGCGCCGCCGCCGGTGGAGACCGACGCTTGGCCAGAGCCAGCCCGCGGCGCCCGGGCCTGGCCGGCTGCTTCCCGCCTCAGCCGCCGCCCCCGCCTCCGCCGCCGCAGACTTTGCCTAGGCGGGCGAAGCTGAACGTGAGGTCCCTCGGCCCTGCGCGGTCCGGCGCGGCCCGGAGCCGCGGCGCAGGAGGTGAGACGCCGGTGCCGGTTCCTCGCTCCCGGCCGGGGCCGCCGGGTCCCGCAACAATGGGGACCGACTGGAGACGCGGCCTGGGCCCCTGCCATGCAGTGGCTCGGGGCAGCTAGATGGACCCAGCGGCCCGGGCCTTCGGGGCACGGGGTCCCCCACCCGGGAAACTCCAGTGGCCGGAGGCTTGGCGGGGGTCTTGGGCCTCGACCCGGGGCCTCAGTGGCTTGATATTTGAGGATTTCGTAGCCGGGGAAGGGAGTCGTAGGGACACGGAGACTTAACTGTTGCCCCTCTGCGCTTTTGGCTCTGGATGCTGGCGCCCCGGAGGATGACCAGAGCGCGGTGTGGGGTTGGGAAAGTATTTGGAATTTTAGGGGCTTCTGTGTGTCTAATCCCTAAGGCGCATCTGGATGCGTCTCCCCGACCCCCTCTCCTGAGGTCTGGGAATTTGGCAGACTGGGGTCGGGCTGGGGCAGAAGAGGCATTGAGAGTTTAGCTTCCCTGAGGTAACTGGTGATTAGTTCCTGGAAAGGCAGGAGCTCAGCTGGGCACAAGAGAGTTAAGCAGAGAGCTGGATCCTCCGGGGCCCTGATGCACCCTGACGAGGAGTGGTTTTCAGGCAAGGAACTTATCACAGGAGTGAGTAGTGGCACACGGTGAGTAGTGCTAGCTGTCTTGTCGTTAGGGTGAGGCCGGTGGGAGTTGTGGTTTGGGGAGTGTAGAGGAGGGTTGATAGGCTACTGAGATTGGAGAATCAGCTTTATGTGGGTCATGGTGGTGGCAGCCTGGGAGATGAACAAGGAAACTTTGCAGAGTGGGCTTCCTGATGGAGAGTGACCTCTTACTGCGTGGGAGTGGGTGACTCAGATCTGTTAGGATTCCTGTTGCTTGCTAGGGATTGTGGCTGACTATATTGGTGGCTGAACATTGAGGTGGATGCAACTGGAAGGGTTATGTGGGGCTGGATGAGTTTGTTCCCACGTAGAGGACAGTGTGGACCTTTCTTACTCCAAGTCAGAGTGGTGACTGTCATTGACAACATTTTAAGTAAGGAATTTCTTTGTGGTATTTGGATCCAAAGCTTTTCTCTGTTCATTTTTTTCTTTCCTCCGTTGTTTTTGAATTGTGACTCATACTTTCTTTTCAGCACTGTGGCTATTTGAAATGATAGACAAACTTAGACTTCATCATACATGTAAGTTCCAGGCGTTTTCAGTCCAATTCTTATAAATCTAAATTTAAAAGCTTCTTTTCACTAATTTGTGTACCATTGTTTAATGTGTGCAACACTAAAGAAGGATAAGAAAACTCTAACATTTATGTTGTTAAATGGTCTTTCCATCCTTAAATCCATGAAATTTCATCTTCTCTTACTGCCATGAAGTGAGTTCGTTGAATCTATTAAATCTTAGTGACTCTCATTTCAGCATCCTTGTTTACTCTCACAGGACATTGTCTTCACTAGAAGTATTATCCATCTTCAATGAATTTGGCCTGTACACTGTCTCCCTGTGACAATCTATATCATTGAAAGACAGTACGCAAACTCCAACTCTGAGGCCTGCAGCTGTGGGCCGGAGCTCTGTATGTATTATTCAGGCAAAAGTTGGTGTGTTGTCTGTAGGTGAGGTTTAAAGGGAACCCTACATGAACAAAAACAGTATCAGAATCATTGTACCTTCTGAGTTTAGAGTGGTAGGAAATATAGCCTAACTGGAGTCTAGTATAAACTTTCAAGTGCAATGTTAGGTAATTCTGTTTGTAGTTGTACTGATAGTTCTCATTATTGTAAACATTATCTTTTTCCTTAAGCTTTAAATAATTATTTTTCTTCAATGGTATTCTTTCTTTCTTGGCTGGGTGTGGTGGCTAACGCCTGTAATCCCAACACTTTGGGAGGTCGAGGCGGGCATATCACATGAGGTCAGGAGATTGAGCCTGCATGGCGAAACCCTGTCTCTACTAAAACTACAAAAATTAGCCGGTGGGGTGGCATGTGCCTGTAGTCCCAGCTACTCTGGAGGCAGAGGGACAAGAATCACTTGAATCTGGGAGGCAGAGGTTACAATGAGCCGAGATCGTGCCACTGCACTCCAGCCTCAGCGACAAAGCGAGACTCTGACTCAAAAAAAAAAAAAAAAAAAAAAAGTAGTATTCTTTCTCTTTCTCCATTCATTCTTTCATAAACGAACATTTATTGCATTTTGCCAGGCACTGCTTTGGGCACCTCAAAAATGCTGATGATATTTTTTAACATTTTGTTAGTGGTAGTTCCTGGTTTAGAGGTGGTTATAGGTCTATGAAGAAAGAAGTGATTCAGGTATATCAAGCTTTTAATCAGTAAAGACATTGAATAAAGTTTTTATAATGTATTAATTTTGACTGGTGACAGTTAATTATCTTAACATCTCCATGGAAAAAGTTTAGCTATCACTGTGAGTTCATGCTGGTATGGGATTATTTTTGCACTATTTTATACACCTGTTAATTTTAAGTACTCCTGTAGACAAACCACAGGTAAAACATTTTGTTTTGGTGTATGTCTCAACGAGCAGTGATTTACAAATACTATATGTGTTCAGATTCCCCAGGAAGCCATCACACTCCTTCCCACTGTGGTTTTGGGAGCATGAAGGCGTTGCTTATCCCCTATGTCTGGTTCACTGTATGTAGGCTGGGAGTGTCTGCTGATCACTTGGAGTGCTGTCCCTTGGAACAGGAGGAGTAAGATTGAGGTAAGGCTCAGTCTGTTTGAAAGTCATTTGCTTCTTAATTTTTACTGCATAAAATATAATGTAAATCTGAATGTTTTTTGCTTTGTTACTCTTCATTCTGATCTATTAAAATGAAATTCTGCCTTTTGCTGTCTATCTCTCTGTGTATATATCTTGGGCAAAAATAAATGAAGAAATGTAAAATCAAGGTATTTAAATAATAAATGAATTCTTCAAAATAGCTCTCATTTTCCATCTGGACTATTCACTTGATCAAAGAAAATAAAAACTTGTTTATTTGTTGCCTTAAAGGCAAGGTGATTGCTTAAATAAATGTTTTTGGCCACCTCTTAGTTAAATGGATCAACTTCAGAAACTCTTGGAAATAAGGCTTAGAGTTTTCTATTTCTTTAGAAAAAGTCTGAGAGAAGAAATGTCTGGTACAATGGGAAGAGCTTGGTTTTTGGAGTCTTCCCACTTTTTCTTGCTCAATTTTTGACCCTTGATAAGCTGTTAACCTCTCTGAGCTTTGGTTTGGTTTTGTTTTTCCATCTGTAAAATGGGCCTAATACAGCCTTCTTTGCAGATTGCATCGAGGACTGGAGATGAGGGCCTCAAGCTTTGAGGGTGGTCAGTGCTGGTTGTCAGTAGTAGTTAATGTGTATTATTATATAGGACCTCTAATCTCAGTAGTATTAATAGTAGGAATGTGGCTGGGTACTGTGGTGCTGTGCAGGATTCAAGTTTCCTTGTCTGGTGAGGAAGGCAGCTGTCTGCACCTGTTGGCACTCTGGACAGGTGAGGAAATTTTGAGGTTGTCTTTTTTTTTTTTTTGAGACGGAGTCTTGCTCTGTTGCCCAGTCTGGAGTGCAGTGGTGCGATCTCGGCTCACTGCAAGCTCCACCTCCCAGGTTCACGCCATTCTCCCGCCTCAGCCTCCCTGGGATTACAGGCCTCCCGAGTAGCTGGGACTACAGGCGCCTGCCACCACACCCGGCTAATTTTTTGTATTTTTAGTAGAGATGGGGTTTCATCGTGTTAGCCAGGATGGTCTCGATCTACTGACCTCGTGATCCGCCCGTCTTGGCCTCCCAAAGTGCTGGGGTTACAGGTGTGAGCCACCGCGCCTGGCCAAGGTTGTCTTTATTCAGTGCCGGTAGGCAGGAGTCCACACTATAAAGTCCAAGGTCATTCCTGGCAGTAGAAGGTTTTTTCCTGACAGTTTGTATGGGGAAGCCAGGAGGTAACTGTTTGGCATGTTCTTGTTTGGAAACAGCGGGCTCTCCCATTGATAGAACACTAAAGTATACCAGGCAGCATTGTGTTCTATATGGCCCCTGATCAGGACATTTCTCTGGCATTCTTCTGCTGGCACCAGAGACCTGGCTTTGGTGTTTTTGCCAGGAATTCTCCAGATGCAGGAGAGATTTGTCATTTTCTTTAATTGGGGCTACTTTGGTAAAATCTAGCACTCTGTTCAGGCATGTTTTTGATGAACAGACTTAGTTATAGAACTTTCAGTTTTATTTTTTCCCAATAAGACAGGAAAAAAAAAAAGTCCCACTAATATTCAAGAGAAAAATAAGTAGAGGCCAGAAGTGACTTGAAATAACTGGTCTCTAATTTCTTGCAGTCTTGCTGTAGTCAAATGCCCCCTCCATTCTGCTGGTCTTTAATTCCAGATAAGAGTAAGTAATGGCCAGGCGCGGTGGCTCACGCCTGTAATGCCAGCACTTTGGCAGGCCAAGGCGGGCGGATCACCTGAGGTTGGGAGTTCGAGACCAGCCTGACCAACATGGAGAAACCCTGTCTCTACTAAAAATACAAAATTAGCCAGGCATAGTGGCGCATGCCTGTAATCCCAGCTACTCGGGAGGCTGAGGTAGGAGAATTGCTTGAACCTAGGAGGCGGAGGTTGCGGTGAGCAGAGGTTGTGCTAGTGCACTCCAGCCTAGGCAACAAGAGCGAAACTCCATCTCAAAAAAAAAAAAAAAAAAAGAGTAAATAATACACCTCTGGTCTCTAACATCTAGACCCTGGCCTGTCTCTGCTTCAGCATCTCATAAGGACCTTTATGACCTGGCCCCTTCTTTATCTTCCTTTCTAGTTTTTCCTCTGCCACATTTACTCTGGCACGTGAGGCTCAGTTATAGTGAACTCCTTGAAGGTCCCAGCATTCTTAGCTATTCCTTCTGTGATATTTTGCTCTCTATTCTACAGCTTGGCCGACTCTAAGGCTTGAACCAGGAGTTCGGGCACCACCTTCTCTTAATAAAAGCCTTCCTTGATTGCCTCCAGGTTAAGCAGAATGCCTCTCTTCTGTATGACATTGGAGTCTGTGCAAGCTTTTATAATCATACTGTCCTGCTAAGTTTTGGTATTTTTAAAAAAAATTATTTATATATTTTTTCCTCAAATTCCTTTTTACCATGTTTTGGTGTTTTTTTTGTGTTTCCCATACCTAGTTTATTACCTACTTCAAGGCAGGAGCTTGTCTTGTTTATATCCCAGCACCTGACCATTTCTGGCACAGTGTAGCTACTTGGCAAATGTTTGTTGAGTGAACAAATGAATAACCTTTGCTTATGAAATAACAGGAAATCATTCACTGTGGAACTAGTGGTGTGATGAGAGTTCTGACTTCATGGCTGCCTCTGATCCTGGCTGAAGCAGTATCTCTGCTTTTGTTTTTCCAGGTTGCTAAAGGCAACACTTTGTTGTGAGAATGTGTTGCTTATTCATTTGTTCATAATTTTGAGGCTGGAGGGCTATTACTTGCTTTTTTGGGTCTTGCAAACATTTCATTTGGGAGTAAATGTGACAGTTCTTCATTGGTATTGTCTGATCTTCTGCAGGCCATTTACTGCTCTGAGTGCTTTGTCTTCATATGTAAAGAAGTGATTAGTTGGTTTGGGCCACAGGGTATCTAGACAACTAACTACTGATAAGCCACCACCTGCTGGGAATGGGTAATGACTTGATTGATTGATTGGAGATGGAGTCTTGCTCTGTCACCCAGGCTGGAGTGCAATGGCACGATCTTGGCTCACTGCCTCAACCTCAACCTCCTCGGTTCAAGCTATTCTCCTGCCTCAGCCTCACAAGTAACTGGGACTATAGGTGCGCCACCATGCCTGGCTAATTTTTGTATTTTTAGTACAAAATTTCTCCATGTTGGCCAGGCTGGTCTTGAACTTCTGACCTCAAGTGATCTGCCCATCTTGGCCTCCCAAAATGCTGGGATTATAGGCATGAACCACTGCGCCTGGCCTGGGAATGGGTAATGGATTTAACACTAGGATATTGTGAATTTTGCTGCCTGGTTGGCCTTTTGGAGACCCATCTGAGCTCAGTGTCACCATATACAGGAAATAACGATTATTTGAGCAAACTTTATTCAGGAGTTAGAATTCAGTGACTATAAAATTATCTGTATCCGTTTTCTGCTCAGTCTAATACTGTACTAATTCTGAAGTGTCTGGAGCTGTATGTTCTGAGTTATTTACCTAGAAGTTACAGAATTGTGCCAATTTATTTAGTTACCCTCCTGGATCTTTTTTGTTGTTGTTGTTTTGTTTTTGAGACGGAGTCTTGCTCTGTCGCCCAGGCTGGAGTGCAGTGGTGTGATCTCAGCTCACTGCAACCTCTGCCTCCCGGGTTCAAGTGATTCTCCTGCCTCAGCCTCCTGAGCAGCTGGGATTACAGGCGCGTGCCACCACGCCTGGCTAGTTTTTGTATTTTTAGTAGAGTCAGGGTTTTACCATGTTGGTCAGTCTGATCTTGAACTCGTGACCTTGTGATCCACCTGCCTCTGCTTCCCAAAGTGCTGGGATTACAGGCGTGAGCCATGATGCCTGGCCACCCTCCTGGATCTTGGTAGTAAAATAACTTGAGTATACTACCTAAATTACTTTGAATTAGTTTTTTTAAGATTTTTTTTAAATTTTTAATTTTTTTTTGTTTTGAGACAGAGTCTCTCTCTGTCACCCATGCTAGAGTAAGTACAGTGGCATGATCATAGCTCACTGTAGCCTTGACCTCTCAGGCTCGAGCAATCCTTTCACCTCAGCTTCTTGAGTAGCTGGGAGTACAGGCATGCATGACCTTGCCTGGCTAATTTTTATATTTTTTGTAGAGGCAGGGGTCCCACTATGTTGCGCAGGCTGGTCTCAAACTCTTGGGCTCAAGTGATCCTTCTGCGTTGGCCTCCCAATCAAATTAGTTTTTATGGGTGATTAGACTGCATAGAAATCCCTACTGAAGGCTGGGTGTTAGGAAGGTTATCAAAGCCTACATCAATTCTTTTTTTTTTTTTTTTTTTTTTTTGGAGATGGCGTCTCACTCTGTAGCCCAGGCTGGAGTGCAATGGCATGATCTCAGCTCACTGCAACCTCTGCCTCCTGGGTTCAAGTGATTCTCCTGCCTTAGCTTCCCAAGTAGCTGGGATTACAGGTATGTGCCACCGCACCTGGCTAATTTTTGTATTTTTAGTAGAGACAGGGTTTCGCCATGTTGGCCAGGCTGCTCTTGAACTCTTGACCTCAGGTGATCCCCCCTCCTCAGCCTCCCAAAGTGCTAGGATTACAGGTGTGAGCCACCACGCCTGGCCAAATGCAATTATTCTTTCATGCAAGTGACAAAATAGCAGACTGCAAAAAATAAAAGCATGAAAAGTAACTGTAGTTAGGTTAAAGATAAAAGTTGATATCAGATAAAAAGGAAAACTGAAGGCCAGGCACTGTGGCTCACGCCTGTAATCCCAGCACCTTAGGAGGCTGAGGCGGGCGGATCACCTGATGTCGGAAGTTTGAGACCAGCCTGATCAACATGGAGAAACCCCATCTCTACTAAAAGTACAAAATTAGCTGGGTGTGGTGGCACATGCCTGTAATCTCAGCTACTTAGGAGGCTGAGGCAGGAGAACCACTTGAACCTGGGAGGCGGAGGTTGTGGTGAGCCGAGATCGTGCCATTGCACTCCAGCCCAGGCAACAAGAGTGAAACTGCGTCTCAAAAACAAAAAACAAAAAACACTGAGGCACTTTAAATTTAGCAGTAGCTGTTAAAAATTGATGACATTTTGTGAGCAGTGTTGAGAAGTTAGGAGGAAGTTGTTGAGGCCAGGCGCGGTGGCTCACGCCTGTAATCCCAGCACTTTGGGAGGCTGAGGCAGGCAGATCACCTGAGGTCAGGAGTTTCAGACCAGCTTGGCTAACATGGCGAAACCCTATCTCTACTAAAAATACAAAAATTAGCTGGATGTGGTGGTGCACGCCTGTAGTCCCAGCTACTTGGAAGGCTGAGGCAGGAGAATCGCTTGAATCCGGGAGGCAAAGGTTGCAGTGAGCCGAGATCTCACCACTGCACTCCAACCTGGGCAACAGAGTGAAACTTGACTCTGTCTTTAAACAAAAAAAAGAAAGGAAGTTGTTGGTTGGCCAGGTGCAGTGGCTCATGCCTGTAATCACAGCACTTTGGGAGGCTGAGGTGGGAGGGTTGCTTGACCCCAGGAGTTTAAGACTAGCCTGGGGCGACATGGTGAGAGCTTGTCTCTACAAAAAAATTAAATAAAAATTAGCTGGGCAAGGTGACACACACCTAGAAGTTATGGACCACATCTGAGCTACCAGTCTCCCAGTTAGGAGATCGAGGCGGGACGATTGCCTGAACTCCAGAGATAGAGGCTGGAGTGAGCTGTAATTGTGCCACTATCCTCCAGCCTGGGCGACAGAGTAAGACTCTGCCTCAAAAAAAAAAAAGGAAGATGTTATAATATAGATTGAAAGCAATACAAACAGAAAATTTCAGCCAGTGGAGGCACATTGGAGGTACTAACATGTGCTTATGGTTTTATAGTACCATCAATAGTAGGCGGAAATGAAAAATGTTTGCTTTACTGTGATAAGCATACTTTGCGTATGTATGATGTTGTAGTTTATAAAACACTTTTTTTTTTTTTTTTTTTACATTTGAGACAGGGTCTGACTCTGTCACCCAGACTGGAGTGCAGTGGCATGATCTCAGCTCACTGCAGCTTCCACCTCCTGGGTTCAAGTCATCCTCCCTCCTCAGCCTCTTGAGTAGCTAGGACTAATGGCATGTGCCACTGTGCCCAGCTAATTTTTGTATTTTTTGGAGAGAGAGGGTTTTGCCATGTTACCCAGGCTAGTTTCGAACTCCTGAGCTCAAGCGATTCACCCGCCTTGGCCTCACCAAGTGCGGGGATTACAGACGTGCCCAGCCTATAAAATACTTTCTTTCTTTCTTTTTTTTTGTTTTTGAGATGGAGTTTTGCTCTTTTTGCCCAGGATGGAGTGCAGTGGTACGATCTCGGCTCCCTGCAACCTCTGCCTCCTGCGTTCAAGCGATTCTCCTGCCTCAGCCTTCCAAGTAACTGGGATTACAGGCACCTGCCACCACACTCGGTTAATTTTTTTGTATTTTTAGTAGAGATGGGGTTTCGCCATGTTGGGCAGGCTGGTCTTGAACTCCTGACCTCAGGTGATCTGCACATCTCGGCCTCCCAAAATGTTGGGATCACTGGTGTGAGCCACTGCGCCGGCCACTTTCTTTTTTTTGAGACAGAGTCTTGCTCTGTCGCCCAGGCTGGAGTGCAGTGGCACGATCTCAGCTCACTGCAACCTCTGCCTCCCAGGTTCAGGCGATTCTCTTGCCTCAGCCTCCTGAGTAGCTGGGATTACAGGCACCCGTCATCATGCCTGGCTAATTTTTGTATTTTTGTAGAGATGGGGTTTCACCATGTCGGCCAGGCTGGTTTTGAACTCCTGACCTCAGGTGATCCGCCTGCCTTCGCCTCCCAAAGTGCTGGGATTACAGGCATGAGCCACCACGCCCAGCCAACATTTTCATATATATATTTACTTCATCCTCCCAACAACCCTGTGAGGCAAATATCCCCATTGTACAGATGAGGAAGCAAACCCGAAAAGGTGAAGTGGCTTGCTTTCCAGTACACAGAGCTGATAATAAGAAAAGCTGGGAATTGCTGCCTGTTTTCTGATTCTAAGTTTAGAGCCCTTTTTATGTCCTCATAAGATATTGTTAGGGCTTCAGTTTGGGATGACAGTCACCCCTTATTTCAGGCTGCTGGCCAATAGAGGATACACACAAGGAAGATAGTCCTACACAGTGAGTAGAATCTCTGCTCTGTCATAGCAGCCCAGTAACTCTGCTTTTTTTTTTTTTTTTTTTTTTTGAGATAGAGTCCTGTTCTGTTGCCCAGGCTGGAGTGCAGTGGCGCCATCTCCGCTCACTGCAACCTCCGCTTCCCGGGTTCAAACGATTCTGCCTCAGCCTCTCAAGTAGCTGGGATTACAGGTGCAGGCCACCATGCCCGGCTAATTTTTTTGTATTTGTTTTTTGAGACACAGTCTTGCTCAGCTGCCCAGGCTGGAGTGCAATGGTGCGATCTTGGCTCACTGCAATCTCTGCCTCCTGAGTTCAAGCTATTCTCCCTGCCTCAGCCTCCTGAGTATCTGGGATTACAGGCGCCCACCACCACGCCCAGCAAATTTTTGTATTTGTAGTAGAGATGGGGTTTTGCCATTTGGCCAGGCTGGTCTCAAACTCCTGGACCTCAGGTGATCCATCTGCTTTGGACCCTGAAAGTGCTGGGATTACAGGCGTGAACCACCACTCCCGGCCTAGCAGCCCAGTAACTCTGGAAGAGCTGGCTGCTGGAGGAACCTAGAGAGCTCTACTCTCTTTACAGATTGCTTAGTGGTCAGGAGACAAATCCAGAGCCAGGTGGACATAGTTCGGCAATTGAGGCCCATGAAACAAGTAGGAGTCTTTCTCCTAATGTATATTGTATAGAAATCGGGAGAAAAAGGCTGGGCGCGGTGGCTTATACCTGTAATCCCACCACTTTGGCAGGCCGAGGCCAGGGCGGGGCGGTGGAGGGAAATCACCTGAGGTCAGGAGTTGGAGACCAGCCTGGCCAACGTGGTGAAACCTCATCTCTACTAAAAACACAAAAATTAGCCAGACGAGGTGGTACACACCTGCAATCCTAGCTACTCGGGATGCTGAGGCAGTAGAATCACTTGAACCTGGAAGGTGGAGGTTACAGTGAACTGAGATCACGCCACTGCACTCCAGCCTGGGTGACAGAGCGAGTCTCCATCTCAAAAAAAAAAAAAAAAAAGGGGGTGGGGAAGGAAAATGGATGTATTCTGGCTTGAGCTCTGCTGTCATTGTGCCTTCCAGTCCCACTGTCTCCACACCCTATCTCTTCATTTTTCTTTCCCTGTGTTTCACCTACCTCCCCTACTAGCTTGGCTCTGGTTGGTCATGGTCCACAATTCCAGTATTCCTTCCCCAGGTATTAGAACCCTTTGCTTCCCTGACTTTGTGCCCTGCCGGCTATGCTAGTTGCTGTCTCTGAATTCTCTTGCCTGGCTGCTTTTCACTGCCCCTAGGGTGCCCATTCCCAGTGTTTCTGGACAGTCAGG
Organism: Homo sapiens; assembly: GCF_000001405.40. NCBI lineage: Eukaryota > Metazoa > Chordata > Mammalia > Primates > Hominidae > Homo > Homo sapiens. The sequence continues at coordinate 51,550,103 of NC_000003.12, forward strand.
AAAATGAGCTGTCTTGGTTGCTGGTAGTTCCCACTGCCTCACTTGAGCTGATCGCTCTCTGCCCCTCAGGGTGCTCCTGTGCTGCCTCCTAAGGGTCCCATTTCCTATAGCAGCTGTTTACATGTTTCCCAAAGGTGCCTTTCCCCCAGGCTCTGGACCAGTGACCTCATTTTAGGGCTTGTGCTCTCAAATATTTTCCCCATTGTTTCTGTCACCATACTTTCGTCATCCAGTCTGTTGCTCTTAGAAAGTCCTTGACCTTTTTTCCCTGGTTACATAAACAATGTATGAGTACAGTAAAATTCAGGCATTTTTAAATAGGGAAAGGAAACCATAATTCCATATCTCATTATTAACTACCATTAAGAATTTAGGCCTGCTGGGTGTGGTGGTTTAATGCCTGTAATCCCAACACTTTGGGAGGCCAAGGTAGGTGGATTGCTTAAGTCCGGGATTTCGAGACCCGCCTGGGCAACATAGGGAGGCTCTATAGCTGAGTGTGGTGGTGCGCCCCTGTTTTCCCAGCTACTCAGGAGGCTGAGGTGGGAGGATTGCCTGACCCTGGGAGGTAGAGGATGCAGTGAGCTGCAATTGTGCCACTGCACTCGGGCCCAGGGCAACACAGTAAGATCCTGTCTCTAAAAATAAGTAAATAAAGTCCAGGCACGGTGGCTTACACATGTAATCCCAGCATTTTGGTTTGGGAGGCTGAGGTAGGCAGATCATTTTAGGCCAGGAATTCAAGAACTGCCGGGCCAACATGGTGAAACCCTGTGCTTACTAAAAATATAAAAATTAGCCGGTGTGGTGGTACATGCCTGTTAATCCCAGCTACTTGGGAGGCTGAGGCACAAGAATCCCCTGAACCCAGGAGGTGGAGATTGCAGTGAGCTGAGATGGCACCACTGTACTCCAGCCTAGGTGATAGTCATACTAACAAATTTGTGTACGTGTGTAAGAGAAAGTAATTCCTTTGTACAGAAATGGGGTTATAGTCTATCTACCTTTCTGTGACTTTTTTTTTTTCATTTAATCTTTTTTTGTTGTTGAGACAAGGTCTCAGTCTGTCACCTAGGCTGGAATGCAGTGGCATGATGATAGCTCTTTGTAGCCTTGACCTCCCAGGCTCAAGCAGTCCACCTGCCTCAGTCTCCTGAGTAGCTGGGGCCACAGGTGCATGCCACCATGCCCAGCTAATTTTTGTATTCTTTGTAGAGATGGGGTTTTTCTATGTTTCCCAGGCTGGTCTTGAACTCCTGGGCTCAAGTGATCTGCCTGTGTCGGCCTCCCAAAGTGCTGAGATTACAGGCATGAGCCATCATGCCTGGCCTAATTTAATTTTTTTTTTTTTTAGGTGGAGTCTCACTTTGTCATCCAGGCTATAGTGCAGTGGCGCGATCTCGGCTCACTGCAACCTCCGCCTCCTGGGTTCAAGTGATTCTCGTTCCTCAGCCTTCCAAGTAGCTGGGATTACAGACATGTGCCACACGCCTGGCTAATTTTTGTATTTTTGGTAGAGATGGGGTTTCACCATGTTGGCCAGGCTGGTCTCGAACTCCTGACATCAAATGACCCACCTGCCTCGGCCTCCCACAGTGCAAAGATTACAGGCGTGAGCCACTGCACCCGGCCTGTAGGATACATTTCTTTTTCTTTCTTTTTTTTTTTTGAGATGGAGTCTCGCTCTGTCGCCAGGCTGGAGTGCAGTGGTGTGATCTCGGCTCACTGCAACCTCCATCTCCTGGGTTCAGACGATTCTCCTGCCTCAGCCTCCAGAGTAGCTGGGACTGCAGGCATGTACCACCATGCCCGGCTAATTTTTGTATTTTTAGTACAGTGGGGTTTCACTATGTTGGCCAGGATGATCTCAATCTCTTGACCTCGTGATCTGCCCTCTTCAGCCTCCCAAAGTGCTGGGATTATAGGCGTGAGCCACCACGCCCAGCCTAGGATACATTTCTGTAAGTATAAGTATTTCTACAAAGGTTTTGACACAGAAATTCTACTTATAGAAATGTATGCATGTTTAAAATTTTGTTAGATTTTATCACTTTCAAAAGATTGTATCAATTTATATTTCTCCCCGACACTGAACTTTATCAATATTTTTATTTATTTATTTGTTTATTTACCTAGCTATCTAGCTATACTTGCTAGAATAGGAATCAATTTTTTTTTGAGACAGAGTCTTGCTCTGTCGCCCAGGCTAGAGTGCAGTGGCAAGATCTTGACTCACTGCAAGCTCCGCCTCCCGGGTTCATGCCATTCTCCTGCTTCAGCCTCCCGAGTAGGTGGGACTACAGGCACCCGCCACCACGCCCGGCTGAGTTTTTGTATTTTTAGTAGAGACGAGGTTTCACTTTCTTAGCCAGGATGTTCTCCATCTCCTGACCTCATGATCCACCTGCCTCGGCTTCCCAAAGTGTTGGGATTACAGGTGTGAGCCACTGCGCCTGGCCTTTTTTTTTTTTTTTTTTTTTTTTTTAAAGAGAGGGTCTGACTCTTGCTCAGGTTGGAGTGCAGTGGCACGATGATCATAGCTCACTGCAACCTCTGTCTCCTGGGCTCAAGTGATCCTCCCACCTCAGCCTCCTGAGGTAGCTGGGATTACAGGCGCTTACTACCATGTCCATTTTTTGTAGAGATGAAGTCTCACTATGTTGCCCAGGCTGATTTTGAACCTCTGGGCTCAAACAGTCCTCCCCACTTGGCCTCCCCAAGTGTTGGGATTACAGGTGTGAGCTACCATGCGTGGCTGGGAATCAACATTTTGAATCTTTGTCAATTTGAAGCCTAGGTAACTAATTTTTATTTACATTTATTTATTGAAGAGGATGAGCATCTTTTCATGTGTTTATTTCATGTATGTATTTATTTCTTGTCCTTTGTCAACTTTTTGGCTGATTTAATTAATTTATTTTGTTGATTTGTGAGAATTTTTTGACTATTAGGAATTTTTACTTTGTGTGTGTTTTTTTGTTTGTTTGTTTTTCTGAGAGGGAGTCTCACTCTGTTGCCAGGATGGAGGGCAGTGGCGCAATCTCGGCTCACTGCAACCTCCACCTCCCGAGTTCAAGTGATTCTCCTGCCTCAGCCTCCCAAGTAGCTGGGACTACAGGTGCCCACTACCACACCCAGCTAATTTTTGTATTTTTAGTAGAGATGGAGTTTCACCATGCTGGCCAGGATGGTCTCGATTTCTTGACCTCGTGATCCACCCGCCTCCGCCTCCCAAAGTGCTGGGATTACAGGCGTGAGCCACTGCACCCAGCTTAACTTTGGTTTTAATAATAATAATCATAGCAGCTCACATACTGTATACAGGCATGCTTTGGAGATCTTGCAGGTTGAGTTCTAGACCATTACAATAAAGCAAATATTGCAATAAAGCCTGTCACACACATTTTTTGGTTTCCCAGTACATATAAAAGTTATGTGTACAGGCTTGGCATAGTTGCTTATGTCCGTAATTCCAGTACTTTGGGAGGTGGAGATGGGAGGATGACTTGAGGCCAGAAGTTCAAGACTAGTCTGGGCAGCATAACGAGACCCTGTCTCTACAAAACGTTTTAAAAATTAGCCGAGTGTTGCAGTGTACACCTGTTTAGTCCTAGATACTCTGGAGGCTGAGGTGGAAGAATCACTTGCCAGCCCAGGAGTTCGAGTCAGCAGTATGCTATCATTGCACCACTGCGCTCTGGCCTGGGCGACAGAACAAGATCCTGTCTCAGAGGAAAGAAAAGTTATGTTTGCACCATACTATAGTCTATTAAGTTCCTAATAGCATTATGTCTAAAAAAGCAATGTATATACCTTAATTTTAAAATGCTTTATTGCCAAAAAATGTTAACAATCACCTGAGCCTTCAGGACTTGTAATCCTTTTGCTGGTTGTGGGTCTTGCCTAGACATTGATGGCTGCTGACTGATCAGGGTGGTGATTGCTGAAGATTGGAGTAGCTGTAGCAATTTCTCAAAATAAGACAACAGTGAAATTTGCTGCATCGATCAACTTTTCCTATCACAAAAGAGATCTCTGTAGGCTGGGCGTGATCAAGAGATCGAGAGCAGCCTGACCAACATGGTGAAACTCCGTCTCTACTAAAAATACAAAAATTAGCCGGGTGTGGTGGTGCACGCCTATAATCCCAGCTATTCTGGAGGCTGAGGCAGGAGAATCTCTTGAACCCTGGAAGCGGAGGTTGCAGTGAGCTGAGATCATGCCACTGCACTCCAGCCTGGGCGACAAAGCGAGACTCTTTCAAAAAAAAAAAAAAAATTAGCTGGGTGTGGTGGTGCACAGGTGTAATCCCAGCTATTCGGGATGCAGGAGAATCACTTGAACCCGGGAGGCAGAGGTTGCAACGAGCCGAGATGATATTATTGCACTCCAGCCTGGGCAACAAGAGTGAAACTCCATCTCAATAAATAAATAAATAAATAAATAAATGACAGATGACGAAATAAAAATATTTTACCCAAAATACATTTCTTTGCTATATTTTGAAATCTGCAAAGCCATCGTTTGTGGTGGAAAATTTGCATCTGTAAAGAATCTCTATAAACACAACTGGATCTTTTCCCTTCCAGGCCCTCCCAGTCCTGAAGAGATTACCTGAGAGTCTAGTACCTTTTAAAGGTCTGACTAGGAAACATTTGCCACCTTTAAGACTTCATCTACATAATAAGAACCTTGGTCTCCACCATCCCTTCTCTTAACTCAGACCCTCATTTCTTTTCTTTTCTTTTCTTTTTTTTTGAGACAAGGTCTCCCTTTGTCTACCAGGCTAGAGTGCAGTGGTGCGACCTCTGCTTACTGCAGCCTCTGCCTCCCAGGTTCAAGCGATTCTCTTGCTGCAGCCTTCTAAGTAGCTGGGATGAAAGGTGTGTGCCACCATGCCTGGCTAATTTTTGTATTTTTTATAGTAAAAGGGTTTTGCCATGTTGACCAGGCTGGTCTCAAACTCCTGGCCTCAAGTGACCCGCCCACATCGGCCTCCCAAATGCTGGGATTACAGGTGTGAGCCATTGTGGTGGCCCCAGACACTCCTTTCTATTGATTCCAGATTTTTAGATGATAACCAATTGCCAATCAGAAAATCTTTAATCTGTGATATGTAAAGCCTCTCCCCTCCCCCACTGTAGTTGACCCACCTTTCTGGACAGAACAGATGTATACTTCACAGATACTGAGATGATGTTATATGTTTCCCTAAAATACATAAAACTGGCCAGGCATGGTGGCTCACACCTGTAATCCCAGCACTCTGAAAGGCCAAAGTGGGCAGATCACCTGAGGTCAGGAGTTGGAGACCAGCATGGCCAATATGGTGAAACCCTGTCTCTACAAAAAATACAAAAATTAGCCAGGCATGGTGGCACACATGTCTACTGAAAATAGAAAAATTAGCCAGGCGTGGTGTTGCACACCTGTAATCCCAGCTACTTGGAGGCTGAGGTGGGAGAATTGCTTGAACCTGGGGGAGGCGGAGGTTGCAATGAGCAGAAATCGCACCACTGCTTTCCAGCCTGGGTGACAGAGTGAGACCAAGCTGTAACTCAACCACCATCGGCACATGTTATCAGGACCTGTTGAAACCGTGCCTTGGGCCATGGTCGTTCATTTTTGGCTCAGAATAAGTCTTTTTAAATATTTTACAGTTAGATCCATTTCATCGACAGTAATGAAAGAGTATATGCTCGTATTTACCCCCAGACACAAGTACTTTACTTATGTCAACTTCGGTGATGGTGACAAGCTGAAATTAAAGTCAAATGGTTGAATGTCAGAGCCTCCTCCCTTAACTGTGATATTACACAGCCCCTTTTGCATTCTAGTTTCAGAGTGTTACCTTTCTCTATATTCATTCTCCCAGAAGAGGTGGTCTTCATTGTTTTTTCAATCCAACCCGTTCCAATTGAATTTTATCTATTCCTGTTTCTTCTGTAACCTTGATTTACCTATTACATCCTTTGTAAGGTCCTCCTATAGTCTTTCCTAGCCTTGATCCCCTCCCCTTTTGTTTTTTCCTACATAAACGATAGGACCACAGTAACTGCTTAGCTCTGTGCCTCTCATGGTAGCCTAGCCTTCTTCTTTCTGTCCTCCTTTGGTTTATTTTTTATCATCCTCTCATTAAGTTTTACTGCCATTTCCTTACCAATTGCCTTTTTTTGTTTTGTTTTGTTTTTGAGACAGGGTTTTGCTCTTTCACCCAGGCTGTAGTGCAGTGGTGCAATCTGCTCCCTATGGCCTCAACCTCCCTGGCCCATGCTATCCTCTTAGGCGGGTGCCACCATGGCTGGCTAGATTTTACTTTTTATTTTGTAGAGACAGGGTATCCCTGTGTTGCCCAGGCTGGTCTCAAACTCCTGTCCTCAAGTGATCCTCCTGCCTTGGCCACCCATAGTGCTGGGATTACAGGTGTGGGCCACCTCACTCAGTGCCAACCAGATGCTTTATCTCTCTTTTATCTATCTCTCTTTTTTTTTGAGACAGAGTTTCGCTCTTGTTGCCCAGGCTAGAGTGCAGTGGCATGATCTCGGCTCATTGCAACCTCCGCCTCCCGGGTTCAAGCGATTCTTCTGCCTCAGCCTCCAGAGTAGCTGGGATTACAGCCATGCGCCACCATGCCCGGCTAATTTTGTATTTTTAGTATAGACGGGGTTTCTCCATTTTGGTCAGGCTGTTGTCAAACTCCTGACCAAAGGTGATCCGCCCGCCTCTGCCTCCCAAAGTGCTGGGATTACAGGCGTGAGCCACTGCACCCGGCCCTATATATCTCTTAATCCTTTGTTGTCTGGCTTGGTCCTGCATTCCTCCTGAGCAATATCTCTGAGGTGAGTTCCTAGTTGCCTGGACCAAAGATTCTTTTCCTGATGTTTATTCTCCCTTGTTCTGACTAACTCCCCCTTTCCCATCATCCTTGCTGGGAGGGATGTTGCACATGCTTGGCATACACGTACAACTGTGGAGAGTATAGCATCATGAAGCATCATGTACCTGTCACCCAATTTCAACAATTATCAATACTTCTCCATCTTTTTCAATATATTCCCTATTTTTTGTTGTTGTTGGCTTTTTTTTTTTTTTTTTTTTTTTTTTTGAGACAGGGTCTCACTCTGTTGCCCAGGCTGGCATGCAGTGGCATGGCTCACTGTAGCCTCGACTTCCCAGCTCAAAGTATTCTCCAACCTCAGCCTCCTGAGTAGCTGAGACTACAAGTGCACACTGCCATGCCCAGCTAATTTTTAAATTTATGTAGAGATGGGGTCTCACCACATTGCCCAGGCTGGTCTCAAAACTCTTGGGCTCAAGCTATCCTCCTGCCTCAGCCTCCCAAAGTGCTGGGATTAGAGGTGTGAGCCACTGCACCAGGCTGTTGTTGGCATATTTTAAAGCTAGATCTAGACATTGACACTGAGTGTTTAATTAATAAGAACATTCTTATGTTCTTATTAATTACACGCCTGTAATCTCAACACTTTGGGAGGCTGAGGTGGGTGGATCACGAGGTCAGGAGTTTGAGACCAGCCTGATCAACGTGGTGAAACCCTGTCTCTATTAAATATACAAAAATTAGCCAGGCATGGTGGCGGGCGCCTGTAATGCTAGCTACTTGGAAGGCTGAGGCAGGAGAATCGCTTGAAACCAGAAAGTGGAGGTTGCAGTGAGCCGAGATTGCGCCACTGCACTTCAGCCTGGGTAACAAGAGGGAAACTCCATCTCAAAAAAAAAAAAAAAAAAAAAAAAGAACATTCTATTTTATTTTTTTGAGACAAGGTCTCGCTCTGTTGCAGTGGCACAATCTCTGCTCATTGCAACCTTCACCTCCCAAGGCTCAAGTGATCCTCTCACCTCAGCCCCAGGAGTAGATGAAACCACAGGTGTGTGCCATCATGCCCAGCTAATTTTTGTATATTTTGTAGAGAGAGGGTTTTACCGTGTTGCCCAGGCTGGTCTCAAATTTATAAGCTCAACCAATCTGCCCACCTCAGCTTCCCAAAGGGCTGGGATTACAGGTGTGAGCCACCGCCCCTGGCCGATTTGTTTATGAATCTTATCAAGTCTGGCTTGTAAGGCTCTGTTTAGGGCAAAGTAGAATTTACTGATTGACCGAATCCATGCTCTCAGCCCAAATTTCTCCACCAGAGACGTGTGACCTGCCCTTATCTGTCAGTTGGCTCCTGTTTTAAATGTTTTAAAATTTTTCTTAGATTAAATGTTTAAAAAATTTCTTAGATGTTTAGAGGAAGACTATTTTTTTTCTAGTCAAAATCATGTGCCATAGCAGCATCTTAAATATCAATTTCATTTCAAAGGGACTTTGGCAAGCCTTTCTCCTTTGAAGGTCCACTTCTCTCTCTCTCTCTCTCTTTTTTGAGACAGGGTCTTGCTTGCTGTGTTGCTCAGGCTAGAGTGCAGTGGCGTGATTATGGTTCACTGCAGCCTCAACTGCCTGGGTGCAAGTGATTCCGCCCACCTTAGCCTCCCAAGTAGCTGGGACCACAGACATGTACCACTATGCCTGGCTAATTCTTTAATTATTGTAGAGATGGGGGTCTTGCTATGTTACCCAGGCTGGTCTTGAACTCCTGGGCTCAAGCAATCCTCCCATCTCTGCCTCCCAAAGTGCTGGGATTACAAGCATGAGGCACCATGCTGGCACTTCTCTTACTGTCCCATAAGTGGAATAGCAAAGAATGCCTTGTGAAGTATATAGTCAATACATTCCTTAATAGAAATCAACTGTGTAATAGTAGCAGCATCAACAAATAGCCTATTTATTTTTGAGACGGAGTCTCACTCTTGCCCAGGCTGGAGTGCAGTGGCATGATCTTGGCTTACTGCATTCTCTGCCTCCCACGTTTAAGCAATTCTACTGCCTTAACCTCCCTAGTAGCTGGGATTACAGGCGTATACCACCACACCTGGCAAATTTTTTGTATTTTTAGTAGAGAGGGGGTTTCACCATGTTGCCCAGGCTGGTCTCAAACTCCTGACCTCAGATGATCCACCATCCTCGGCCTCCCAAAGTGCTGGGATTACAGGCGTGTATTAATGGCGTGAACCACTGCGCCTGGCCGACAATAGCCCACTGAAATGGAAAGGGTTACTCTTTCACATTTAATGTGTCTAAATTTTATCTCCACTGATATTCTCCCCAGGTTATACTCTCCAGCTTCCTAACCTCTTATAAGGAATCTTGAATCTTAATGAGGGTAGAACATTTGGCTTTTTGTGCTTGCATAAATCTTTCATGTTACATAAATAACATGGAGAATATTTATGTCCCAGATATCTTAAATTTAGTAAGTTTGGTGTCTTACACTTGGTAACTCGGTGCCTCCCCTGAGTGCTTCAGATCCAAACTGATTCATCCCACTGCCTCACTTGATTCCACTTGATTATGGATGGGTCTTTGCATCTGGGTTATTCTAGCTTCCTCAGAGCTCTTCCCTTCCCTACTGTTTTATCCACTCATTGTAGATTTGGTTTATCCAGTTTTGTCTGTGAGGAATGCATGTTTTCTGGGCTTGGCGCCAAATTTTTACTTAACTTTTGGGTAAAACTGTATCCCAGCTGCTGTTCTAGAGATGAGCTCTCTGAAACCAGTTTTATTTGTTTAGGAACCAGATAGTACATATTATGGTGGAAGATGTTATACCCATATTGAAAATAAAAACAATCTTGCTCCAAGTGGAACACCGGTTGTCTGTATGAGAGCCAACGTACTGATAAGTACTGGGCAGTTTCAGCTACAGGAGCTTCCAAATGGGCTACAGATATGATAAGGCTATGTAGTATTTTTGTAAGAGATACTGTTTTGTATGTTTCACATCTATGTAGGATTTGTTTGTGATGTGCTGCTGTTGACTGATTGCCATGTTGTATGCTGTGTGAATCCTCACAGCACAGAGCTGTGGATGCCATTATGCCAGTTGTACAGATGAGAAACTAAGTGATTTGCTCCAGTTAAGTGGTGCTGTTAAACCAGGTATCTGACACCAAAGAGCTCCCACCCCATGATATACCTATGGCCTCTTCAGCAGTGTTGATAGTAAAAGCTGAAATATGTGTGGCATCTGGTTTTCAACCTGGGCTTGTGTTTGAGGAGGAGGTCACAATAGCACTCTAGGCCCTGGTTAGGGAAACCTGGAAAAGAAACCTCATGTGTCTTTTACTCTTTTATTGAGGTTTGAAGAGCAATACTTTACTAGCATAATTTATTTTACCTTCCAAATCATTTTCTTTTTTTTCTTTTTTTTTTTTTTTGAGATGGAGTCTCGCTCTGTCACCTAGGCTGGAGTGCAGTGGTGCAGTCTCTGCTCACTACAAGCTCCGCCTCCTGGGATCACGCCATTCTCCTTCCTCAGCCTCCTGTAGTAGCTAGGACTACAGGTGCCCACCACCACGCCTGGCTAATTTTTTATATTTTTTAGTAGAGACAGGGTTTCACTGTGTTAGCCAGGCTGCGATCTCCTGACCTCATGATCCACCTGCCTCTGCCTCCCAAAGTGCTGGGATTACAGGTGTGAGCCACCGTGCCTGGCCCCCCAAATAGTTTTCAAATCTGGCCTTTCCTCTGGCTTTTTAACTGGCCTTCTATTTTCAATCCCCTTTTATTCCGCCTTCCACATTTCTTCCAGCAAATTTTTTTTCTAGGCCATGTTTTGAATACAATGTGCTAAATACTGAGCCAGGTATCTTTATTGTAGAATTTATATTCCTTCACCACTTGATCCTCTTAAGAAAATTTGAAGGTAGGGAATATCTTCATTTTACAAGTGAGGAAACAAACTGTGGTCCAAAGAATTTAAGTAGCTTGCTGAAGCTCATGTAGCAAAATGAGCTGGTACTTGTTTTCAGTTTGAAACTGTTCTTTTAAGCATTAACATTCTATGCCACAGAGTGACCTTTATAAAAGACGGATCTGCTTATACCATTCTGCTCTTGCTTGGAGGCTAAAATCCTATCTCCTTAGCAGGTCTCCAGGTTGCCCTATGTTCTTGGCCCTGTTACTTCTCCAGGCTCATTTTCTACTCTTCTCCCATACTTCCTACTTTATGCTTTAGTAATACAGACTGCTTGGATTTCCTTGAAAACATTCTGCTTTCTTGTCTCTGAATCATTGTTCATGAAATTCCCTATCTTTTTTTAGGTGAGACAGAGTTGCTCTGTTACCCAGGCTGGAGTGCAGAAATGTGATCTCGGTTCATTGCAACCTCCACCTCCTGGGTTCAAGTGATTCTCCTGCCTCAGCCTCCCAAGTAGCTGGGATAACAGGCATGTGCCGCCATGCCCGGCTAATTTTTGTATTTTTAGTAGAGACGGGTTTCACCATGGTGGCCAGGCTGCTCTTGAACTCCTGACCTCAGGTGATCTGCCCGCCTCTGCCTCCCAAAGTGCTGGGATTATAGGCGTGAGCCACCACGCCCGGCCGAAATTCCCTTTTATCTTTTTCTTTTTTTTTTTTTGAAACAGAGTCTCACTCTTTTGCCCACCCTGGAGTGCAGTGTTGCAATCACGGCTCACTGCAGCCTCAACCTCCCAGGCTCAAGCAATCCTCCCACCTCAGCCTCCTGAGGAGTTGGGACCACAGGAGCATGCCACCATTCCTGGCTAATTATTTTATTTTATTTTTTGTTCCCTATGTTGCCCAGACTGGTCTTGAATTCCTATGCTTAAGCAGTCCTTCTGCCTCAGCCTCCCAAAGTGCTGGAATTACAGGTGTGGGTCATCACGCCTGGCTTGGCTGATTTTTTTTATTATTTATTTATTGTTGAGACAAGGTCTCACTTTGTTGCCTAGGCTGGAGTGCAGTGGCGCAATTGTGGCTCACTGCAACTTTGACTTCCTGGGCCCAAGCAATCCCCCCACCTCAGCCTCCCAAGTAACTGGGACTATAGGTGTGTGGCACCCTGCCCAGTTAATTTTTTTTTTTTCCCCCTGAGACCGAGTCTCACTCTGTCGCCCAGGCTGGAGTGCAGTGGTGTGATATTGGCTCACTGCAACCTCTGCCTCCTGGGTTCAAGCGATTATCGTGCCTCAGCCTCCCAAGTAGCTGGGACTACAGGTATGAGCCACCACACCCAGCTAATTTTTGTATTTTTATTCTTTAAATTTTTTAAATTTTATTTTTTTTTGAGATGGAGTCTTGCTCTTGTTGCCCAGGCTGGAGTGCAGTGGCGTGATCTCGGCTCACTGCCACCTCCACCTCCTGGGTTCAAGCAATTCTCCCGCCTCAGCCTCCCAAGTAGCTGGGATTACAGGCACCCACCACCATGTCTGGCTAATTTTTGTATATTTAGTAGAGACTAAATAAACATGTTGGCCAGGCTGGTTTTGAACTCTGGACCTCAGGTGATCTGCCCGCCTGGGCCTCTGAAAGTGCTGGGATTATAGGCGTGAGCCACTGTGCCCTGCCATTTTTTGTATTTTTAGTACAGACAGGGTTTCACCATGTTGGCCAGGCTGGTCTTGAACTCCTGACCTCAGGTGAGGAGGTCACCCGCCTTGGCCTCCCAGAGTGCTGGGATTACAGGCATGAGCCACCATGCCTGGCCAGCTAATTTTTTTGTTTGTTTGTTTTGTAGAGATGGGGTCTCCCTATGTTGCCTAGGCTGGTCTCAAAGTCTGTGCTCAGCGATCCTTCTGCCTTGGCTTCCCAAAGTTCTGGGATTACAGGTGTAAGCCACCACACCCAGCTTGATATTTTGTAGAGATGAGGTCTCACTTTGTTGCCCAGGCTGATCTCAAACTCTTGGACTCAAGCCATTCTCCCACCTCAGCTTCCCAAAATGCTGGATTATAGGCATGAGCCACCGAGTCTGGCCAGAAATTTCTTATCTTTGAAGTCATTCCCAGGCAATACCTCTGCCTACCCCATTCCCTGGACATTACCTAACTGTCCAATTCTTTCTTCAAAACTCTCTTTGAGCCTCACTCTTAGTGTTTTTTTGCCTTTCCTGACCTGTCGTGTGTATCTTTGTGTCTCCAGTAGAGAGTAGTTTTTTAATAAGTCTTTGTTGAGCTGAACAGAATTTTTGGAGATGTGACTCTCTAGAATTAGACATTCCAGAGACCACCAAAGCTTCCACATTGGTAAGCTGTTTTGTAAATTTAAAAAACCTGAGTAGGTAAGGGTCAGTTTCTGACCTGAAGGATGTAAACGTATTAACAAGAGCATGTTTAGATTTTGGCACCTGGCTGTATTAGAACTATCTTTGTAGAACCATCTTCTTCCTCCTTTTTAAACTTCTATTACTATTTAATATTCATTTTTGGACTAGTACCCTAGGAGACTGTTCCTTATTTTAATGGCTTTCATTTCATGTGGTGCTTTCCAAGTATTGGTTCTCATCCATCCCATCTACTTTTTCTCTGAAGCTTCATAGAACAGCCTGATCCAAGCCCTGAGAGCCTCTTTATGTCAGGGTGCATAGAATGTGCATTTTAGTAGAAGGACCTCCTGGTTTTTGCCACGGTTCCCTCCCCGGTGTGTTCATCAAAGATCATCAGGGTCAGTAGTTAGAAAGTAATAATACCGTAGCATTTGCTTTATCATTTTGCTGAGAAGGGTTTATTTTTTATTTATTTTTTTCTGTGTTTAAGCATTTGGTAATATATTTAGTGAGTTTTAACTAATTGTTAAGCCTGCAGATAATGAAAGTGTTGACTCTCACTGACACTGGAAAAGGCCCAGGTGTGGGAGGATTAGTTATTAGGTGGTAGACTATCAGCTTGTTCTCCACAGATCAAGATGATCCCTTTTCTTTCACTGAGGTTTCTCTTAAATAATTCCTTAAATGTCCTGTGGTTATTTGTAAATCTTTTTTAAAACATGCCACTTCCTGTCAAGTTTAGAAGGCAGCCCAGAGGGGGACAACTTTTGGAAAGCAAAATTAAATAATTGATTTAGGTATCAATGGGCTTTTCAGGGTTTTGAGTCTGCTGGCTATAGTATTTTAATCCTGATGTTAATGGCTTGTATAGATACAAACCCTTCTCAAGGGTTTGAGGCTGCTCCCAGTGCCTGGTAAAGCCTTAGGAAATCTCAGGCCAGGCTTCTTTTCTATTCTTCTCTTAAATTGCGATGAAGCAGTATGTCTCTGCCTTACACAGGAAAACAGGGAGTGCTTCACTTTGGGCCACAGAATACATTAGATTTGGAGTCCTCCATTAGATGTAACTGAAGATAGGAGGTTTCTTTTCTATTCTTCTCTTAAATTGCAGTGAAGCAATATGTCTCTGCCTTATGCAGGAAAACAGGGAATGCTTCACTCTGGGCCACAGAATACATTAAATTTGGAGTCCTGTAACTGAAGATAGGAGGTTTGTTATCTACATGTAAACATAGAGTCAGGTGTTAGGAATGGAGAGACTGGATAGGAGGAGGTATAAGGGGAGCTCTTGGGGTCTGCCCTTTCCTTTAGCCTTCTAAATAAGGCAAATCAGTATTACTAGGATTCAGCAAAACTTAGACATTGGCTTCTTGGCTTAACTATATAGCCTGTTGAAGACACTGGCTCAGGCCAGGTGCAGTGGCTCACACCTGTAATCCCAGCACTTTGGGAGGCTGAGGTGGGTGGATGGCTTGAGCCCAGGAGTTCAAGACCAGCTTGGGCCAGATGGTGAAACCACATCTCTGTTTATTTTTTTAATTTTCTGTTTATTAAATTTTTAAAATTAAAAAAAGAAAGAAACTGGCTCAAATATAATAGGGGAAAAAGTTAAGAGAGAGCAGTCACAGCTTTGCAGGAGCATGTAGTGCATGTTATTTATATGTTAGGATGCTGTTAAGAAACAGCTTTTCATTTGAAGATCATATGTTTGATTCTTTTCTGTAAGTTCAAATGAGGGAAGCCTTATTTCTTCCCATTTTGTTCATCACACTCCTGAAGTCAGTGTCTAGACCTGAGATTAGAACAAAGAGGCCTTTTCACTCCTGTGCACTACTCACTACTCAGTCTAATTGCTAGTCCTCAGGTGCTTGGGGAAGCCTGCATGAGTTGCTAGAATGTCAGGAACATACCATATAGTTATTGTAGCGATTGTAAATAAGATTTTAAAAAAATTACACTTTCCAGCCTGGGCCACATAGACCCTGTTGCTACAAAAAGTGAAAAAAAGTTAGCTTGGTGTGGTGGCACATGCCTGTAGTCTTAGCTACTGGGTTGGCGTGTGGGGGTGCTGAGATGGAAGAATCGCTTGAGCCTGGGAGGTAGAGGCTGCAGGCTGCAGTGAGCCGAGATCTCACCACTGTACTCCAGCTGCCTGGGTGACAAAATGAGACCTTGTCTTAAAAAATATATATGTGTGTGTGTGTGTTTATATACTTGTAGGTAGTGACTACATAGAAATATAATAGATTTTTATTTATGTATTTTTTGAGATGGCGTCTTACTCTGTCACCCACACTGGAGTGCAGTGGTGCCGTCTCAGCTTATTGCAGCCTCTGCCTCCCCAGTTCAAGCATTTCTGCCTCAGCTTCCTGAGTAGCTAGGATTACAGGTGCGTGCCACCATGCCAGGCTAATTTTTGTATTTTTAGTAGTGATGGGGTTTCACCGTGTTGGCCAGGCTGGTCTTGAACTCCTGACCTCAGGTGATCCGCCCGTCTCGGCCTGCCAAAGTGCTGGGATTACAGGCGTGAGCCACTGTGTTCAGACTAAAATAGATTTTTCTTTATTGATCTTTCATGTAGCCACCTTACTGAGCTCCCCCACCCCCCCCTTTTTTTTTTGAGACGGAGTCTTGCTCTGTCACCCAGGCTGGAGTGCTGTGGCGCGATCTCAGCTCACTGCAAGCTCTGCCTCCCGGGTTCCTCCCATTCTCCTGCCTCAGCCTCCCAAGTAGCTGGGACTACAGGCGCCCGCCACCATGTCTGGCTAATTTTTTGTATTTTTAGTAGAGATGGGGTTTCACCATGTTAGCCAGGATAGTCTCGATCTCCTGACCTCGTGATATGCCCGCCTCGGCCTCCCAAAGTGCTGGGATTATAGGCGTGAGCCACTGCGCCCAGCACTGAGCTCCCTTTATGTCTAGTAGTTTGACTATAGATTTGCTATGTTGAAATAATGTAATCCTTGACTCTTTACAGTTTTCTTTCTTTGTTCCAGTCCCTTTGCCTTTTTTTCGTCTTACTTATTGTAGACTCCAGTTTGATGTTGAGAGAAACACTGACTGACAGCATGCAACCTTATCTTGTTCTGAATTTAAAGGGTACACTCCCAGTCATACTGTGTGGGGCTTGTTTCTAGTAGACTCCCTTTATCCAGTGAAAGTTTTCTTCAAGTTTGCTAAGAGTTTGTTTGCTTTTGTAATCATGAATAGGTTCTGAATTTTATCACAGCCTTTTCTGCGTTTTTTTTTTTTTTTTTTTTTTTTTTTTTTAATGACAGAGTCTCAGTCTGTCACCCAGGATGGAGTGTAGTGGTGCCATCACAGCTCACTGCAGCCTCGAACTCCCAGGCTGAAGCTTTCCTGAATAGCTGTGACTATAGGCATGCACCACCATCTTTTCTGCATTTTTAGAGATAGTTATGTCTGTTGACCCTGTTGGCTCTTTCTTCTGTTTGATTAGTTCCTCGTGCGTTTGTACATTCAGTTTGTGAGTAAGGCTTTATCTGTGGGAATCTCACATGGCCTGGGTTGAGATATGTGCCTGAGCTATTTTGCGTTTGCTTCTAGGCACCTAAGATGTATCATTTGCCTAGGACCACTTTAGTTTTGGTTAATTTCTTGGACAGTGTAGGTAAGTATATATTTAAACCTCAAACTGATTTGAGGGCTGACTGATGATTACAGGCTCCCATTTTGTCTCCATCCTCCAACCTAGGTTGATGCAGCTTTTATGTTGTCTTCTGTATTGGCTGGCAGATTTTTTTGTAGTTTACTCTTTCATGAGATTGTAACTCCTTAAGGTCCTGGCTTTAGGTAGAGGTCATAGTTACTCCTTTTTAGCTTTTTTGAGCCCAAGGCATTATCTCTTATCTTTTTATTTGTTCCCCAAGATTGGCAACCTCTTCTGCCAGAACTGCTGCAGTGTCAAATCTCAAGAGTATTAGTCTTGTGTTTTCAGTTTGTTTTTCATTCTTGGTCCTTGGGGGTTTATATTAACTTTTTATAAGCATAGCTGTGAATCATTTAAAAAGGACAGTTATTATAATTTTATCCACATTTCTACATGTTTCGCAGTGGGATAAGTTGCAGGGTCTCTTAACTGCCAAGGTACCAAGTAGGAAGTTCTTGTCCAACTCGTTAGATGTACCTTTTTCATTGTGTTATCTTGTTGGTTTCTACCAGTTATTCAAGTACTTCCTCTCAGTACTTTTTTTTGTTAACTTTTGCAATTTTTTTGTTTTTGCAGATAATAATTTTACAGGCTTTTGCTGCAAAAATGGAATCAGTAGGGAAGCTATAAAATGACATACTTAATCTTGGTTTGTGTTAATTCTGAAATTTGAAATGGGTGTATTTCATAGTTATTGATCAAGATAGCAGCAGCACTAAAGGTGTTTGTAAAACGACAGGGGTCCTTTTCATCCTTTTATGTGAGTGGTGCTTTTCTGAATCTATCCAAGCTCAAAATATGTAATTATTCTTTTAATTTTAATATTTTATTTACTGTAAAGAGTAAACTCCAGTTGCTACAGTATTAATATGTAGTCAAATCTAAGTAGAGGCCTTTTCAGTACGTCATATCCAAGCTAGCACAAAAAATAATTTAGTACAGGAATAAGGCAGGAGAATCCCTTGAGCCCAGTAGGTCGAGGCTGCAGTGAGCTATGTTGGTGCCACTGCGCTTGAGCCTGGGTGACAGAGCAAGACCCTGTCTCAAAAAAAAAAAAAAAAAAAAGAATGTCTTAAAAATGGGGACATTTGGATGTGAAGGTGAAGTTATGCTGACACGTAACTCCTGTCAGAATTGTTATGGTAGCTCATGTTTTTTATCTTTAGTTAGTGGGAGAGATCATGAGATTCTAGAAATGGAAGTGGCTGCGGTGTGGGGCATTTGGTAGTTTATTACTTAGTATGGCTGAGTGGCAGCCTCCAGCCCTGGTTTATAATGTTCTGCAGCTGTCACCGTTGACTTAGCTGGGCCTTTTATTCAGCTTCACTGTTATGTAACAGTGAGTTGCACTCCTCATTCTTGTATGCTGTGGTGAGCAGGAGGGAGGATTAGCTCCTCATCCTGTCCTTTTTCTGTCATTCACTCCTCTTCCCTTTTTTGGACTGACATTTTTATTTTGGCTGCAGTGCTGGGGAAATGTCCACTTGAGACTAGGTCACAAGAATGTTTAATAACTACTTGTTGATTGAATAACCAGAAGATTGTAACTTCATTAACCCTCCTACTCAAATGCAGGCCTGGAGTCTTTGTCCTTGAGATTTGGCAGTTTTTTCTAGGTGTTCCACTTTTCTTCTTCACTCTCAGTCAACTAGATAGTCTGAGACAATGAATGTTGCCAACTGTTATAGGTTGACACAGTGAGCACTGGTGAGGCAGGGATTTGGGGTTTAATTCCAGGCTGCAGCCCCATGGTTAGAAACTATGCAGACCTACATGGTACTCTTAACTGCTCTAGGATGAATGAGTATCCTTGAGCAGTAGGGTACCAGGTTGGAGAGTGTAGAAGTGTTCAGGGCAGGATGTGTAATTAGGGAAGAAAATGCATTGTAAATTTCCTGGTGGGGAATGTAGTGCTATCTTTCATTTTTGTATTAGGGATATAATTTTATATTATCATATGTTTTAATTTGGTGTTTATTCAAATTGTCAACCTTAAATAATGCATTTCAGAGGATATGATTAAGTATGGAGTTTATTTGAGTGCAAAGCTTGAGGATGGCCATCTGGAAACACTGAGTCCAAACAAATGGGGTCAGCATTCCAAAGTGGAGGAGTTAAGGTTTCACTTATGTAGGTAGAGACAGAGAAGTTCCAGCAGGATTATAACATTTTCCACAGAAGACCAATGCATATCTGCAACAATTTGATTGGTTACAGATTGCTACATTTCAAGCAAGATTACTTTATTACTTAATAAGTAGGGGCAGGGATCTGAGAGGTCTTATCTCTAGTGCCACTGGTCTTCCTAATTATTTATAGAAAAAAATACAGAAGTTATAGCTGCATGCCAAGTCACTCAGGCAGCATAACCACATTCCTCTCAAGGCTCAGAATAATTTAAAATTCTAACAGCTTTAAGTTTGAATTATTTATTTTCACAAAATGATGCATACTTCTTTGATGGCCCAAAATGGTATTTTTGTTGATTCTATTTTTTTTTTTTTCTAGACGGAGTCTTGCTCTGTCACCCAGGCTGGAGTGCAGTGGCGCGATCTCAGCTTACTGCAGCCTCCACCTCCCAGGTTCGAGCAATTCTTCTGCCTCAGTCTCCCAAGTAGCTGGGATTACAGGTGTCCACCACCACGCCCAGCTAATTTTTGTATTTTTAGTAGAGACTGGGTTTTACCATGTTGGCCAGGCTGGTCTTGAACTCCTGACCTCATGATCCGCCTGCCTTGGCCTCCCAAAGTGCTGGGATTACAGGCATGAGCCACTGTGCCCAGTCTAATTCTCTCTGTTTTTGAGTCAAATAGTCTTACTGCTTTTTTTCTTATGTGAGTTCTTTTATTTGATGGATATATTTGTGCATCATAGTGCCTGGCACAGTGTCTTTTTAATTTATATTTTTATAATATGCTAACATTTTATTTATTATTATTTGTTTTATTTTATTGTATTTTCAAGACACAGTCTCACTCTGTTGGCTGGAGTGCAGTGATGTGATCACAATTCACTGCAGCCTTGACTCCCTGGGCTCAAAATACTTCCACTTCACCTTCCTGAGTAGCTGGGTCTACGGACGTGCACCACTATGCCCAGCTGATTTTGTAGTTTTTTATAGAGACAGGGTCTCACTATGTTGCCCAGGCTGTTCTCAAACTCCTGTCCTCAAGTGATCCTCCTGCCTTGGCCTCCCAAAGTGTTGGGATTACAGGTGTGAGCCACTGTGCCCAGCCTTTTTAATTTTTTTTTTTTTTTTTTTTTTTTGAGACAGAGTCTCACTCTTACCCAGGCTGGAGTGCAGTGGCGCGATCTCAGCTCACTGCAGCGTCTGCCTCCCGGGTTCTAGCAATTCTCCTCCCTCAGCCTCCTGAGTACCTGGGATTACAGGTGCCCGCCACCACGCCTGGCTAACTTTTGTATTTTTAGTAGAGATGGGATTTCACCATCTTGGCCAGGCTGGTCTTGAACTCCTGACCTCTGGATCCACCTGCCTCGGCCTCCCAAAGTGCTGAGATTTACAGATGTGAGCCACTGCACCCGGCCCTCTTTTAAATTTTTATTTTTATTTATTTATTTTGAGACAGAGTCTCACACTCGCCCAGGCTGAAGTGCAGTGGCGCGATCTCGGCTCACTGCAACCTCTGCCTCCTGGGTTCAAGTGATTCTCCTGCCTCAGCCTCCCGAGTAGCTGGGATTACAGGTGCGCGCCACCACACCCAGCTAATTTTTGTATTTTTAATAGAGACGGGATTTCACCATGTTGGCCAGGATGGTCTTGATTTCTTGACCTTGTGATCCGCCTGCCTCGGCCTCCCAAAGTGCTGGGATTACAGGCATGAGCCACCGGTGCCCAGCCCTATTTTTAAGAATCAATGTTTTGTCATTGGCGTGGTGTCTTTGTACAGAAAATGCATAGGCTTTTATTTATTTGTTTATTTTTGAGATGGAGTTTTGCTCTTGTTGCCAAGGTGGAGTGCAATGGCATGATCTTGGCCCACTACAGTCTTCGTCTCAGGGGTTCAAGCGATTTTCTTGCCTCAGCCTCCTGAGTAGCTGGGATTACAGGTGCCTGCCACCGTGCCTGGCTAATTTTTGTATTTTAGTAAAGACGGGGTTTCACCATGTTGTCCAGGCTGATCCCGAACTCCTGGCCTCAGGTGATACACCCGCCTCAGCCTCCCGAAGTGTTGGGATTATAGGAGTAAGCTGCTGCGCTCAGCCAGAAAATGCGTAGGCTTTGAACTAAATAAATTGTTTGCATTTCTGCCTTTCCCTTTGATCATCATTTTTTTTCTCCAAAATAAAGGTCAGCCACTTTTTCCATTAAAATATTTTCTCAGGCTTTTAGTTCATCCCAGCCTTTGCCCCTTGTTCCCTCTACTGTGACAATATTTCCTGACCATAAGGTCCTTGTATGAATTATTTTGGTCTTTGTACCTCCCATTTTGGTGTCTAATGAAATTTGGCTGTGTCTCTGTGGAATACCTGCTTTTTTTTTTTTTTTTTTTTAAAGACATAGTCTTGCTCTGTTGTCCAGGCTGGTGTGCAGTGGTGCGATCTCAGCTCACTATAACCTTCGCCTCCCGGGTTCAAGCAATTCTCCCTCAGCCTCCCAAGTAACTGGGACTATAGGTGCATCACTATTTTTAGTAGAGATGGGATTTCACTATGTTGACCGGGGCAGTCTCAAACTTCTGACCTCAGGTGACCTGCACACCTGGGCCTCCCAAAGTGCTGGGATTACAGGCGTGAACCACCATGCCTGTCCTCAAATAGCTTATTTATCTGATGAGTGGTGGGACATGCATAGTCGGTTATGTGTACATGTACGCATGCACACGCACATGGCATTTTCTAGTCTTTGACAGATGCCCCTTCTTCTCAAGAATTAACATCTATTATTTTCCACTTATAGAAATAGGGGTTTTTTTTTACTTCATTTTTTATTATTTATTTATTTACTTTTGGAAATAGAATTTTTCTGCACTTCCTCTTACTTGCAAAATCTGTAGTCTGGATTTTGTCCAGACTCCATATACTTTTCCCCAGAGAATAGGAGTATTAGTTTAAAAGAAGCCTTTTTTCTACTTTGCTATTTTGGTTTTAGGTGAAATGTACACTTTCTTTCTCATCTATCTTTGCTAGTATTCACTTGTCACTGTTTTCTTCGGTATTTATGTCCAGCATTAGACTAGAGAGAGACTTACAGGGCTCTATACATTCCTTGTACATATGTAACCGTGATTGGTTAGAAGTGGTGTAAATCTGGCCAGGCATGTTGGCTCACGCCAATAATCTAAGCACTTTGGGAGGCCGAGGTGGGTGGATCACCTGAGGTCAGGAGTTCAAGACCAGCCTGGCCAACATGGTGAAAGCGCCCCCGTTTCTACTAAAAATACAAAAATTAGCCAGGCGTTGTGGTGGGCACCTGTAATCCCAGCTACTCAGGAGACTAAGGCAGGAAAATCGCTTGAACCCAAAAGATGGAGGCTGCAGTGAGCCAAGATTGTGCCACGGCACTGTAGCCTGGGTTTCAGAGTGAGACTCCGTCTTAAAAAAAAAAAAAAAAAAGGCTGGACATGGTGATTCACGCCTGTAATCCCAGCTACTTGGGAGGCTGAGGCACATGAATTGTTTGAACCTGGGAGGCAGAGGTTGCAGTGAGCTATGATTGTGCCACTGCACTCCAGCCTGGGCGACAGAACAAGACGTCTCAAAAAAAAGTAAAAGGTGCTATAAATCTTTTTTTTTTTTTTTGAGATGGATTCTTGCACTGTCACCCAGGCTCGAGTGCAGTGGCGTGATCTCGGCTCACTGCAACCTCCGCCTCCCGGGTTCAAGCAATTCTCCTGCCTCAGCCTCCTGAGTAGTTGGGATTACAGGCGCCTGCCACTACGCCCAGCTAATTTTTTGTGTTTTTAGTAGAGACGGCATTTCACCATGTTGGCCAGGCCGGTCTCGAATTCCTGACCTTGTGATTCGCCTGCCTCAGCCTCCCAAAGTGCTGGAATTACAGGTATGAGCCACTGTGCCTGGCAAAAGGTGCTATAAATTTTAAGCACTCTTATTTCTACAATGCTAAGATATGTGTGTGTGTGTATGTGTGTGTGTAGGAGCCTAAAACAGAAACAGAAAATGTCGGCACAGGTTAGAATAACTTTGTCCATAAAGTAATGGTGAAATATATAATCTAGATGGATACATAAGTCGCTTTACAAGATTCTTCAAAACTGGGCCACGTCCATACACAGAGGGAGGGCAAGCTGGTGAGTACAATTTCTACCTGCTTGTGGGGTGCCGTTTATTTATGTCATTGATCATGCTTAGAGCCTTCCAGAGACAAGCCAAGTGAGACTTTTTCCTCAGAGATGGTTCTAGTTCCTGCTGTGCTCAGAGGAAGAAGGAAAGAGACTCACCCCTTTAGAAGGTAGGCTTAATTAGCCTTTTTAACCCTAAGGCATTGTGTCTTAAAGGAAAGGAAGTTTGTTACTAATTTGTTATTAACTAACTACAGAGAATAGTCAGTTAGGTTATATTTCAAATCTATCTATTTTTTTTTTTTGAGATGGAGTCTTGCTGTTTCCCAGGCTGGAGTGCAGTGACACAATCTCACTGCAACCTCCACCTCCTGGGTTCAAATGATTATTCTGTCTCAGCCTCCAAATAGCTGGGATTACAGGCAAGCGCCACCACGCCCGAGTAGGTGGGACTATAGGTGCGCCACCACGCCTGACTAATTTTTGTATTTTTAGTAGAGATGGGGTTTTGCCATGTTGGCCACGCTGGTCTCGAACTCCTGACCTCAGGTGAGCCACTGCGCCTGGCCCAAATCTATACTTTGAAATGAGGTATTTTGGGATTTGTTAAGTGTTTAAATCTTTGGAGAACTAGGGAAAGAAATTTTTATTTTCTTCCTTGTAATTGTCTTTTAGAAAGTTATTTATTTATTTATTTTTAAAAATTATACTTTAAGTTCTAGGGTATATGTGCACAACGTGTAGGTTTGTTACATATGTATACATGTGCCATGTTGGTGTGCTGCACCCATTAACTCGTCATTTACATTAGGTGTGTCTCTTAATGCTATCCCTCCCCCCACCCCCACCCCACAATAGGCCCCGGTGTTTGATGTTCCCCACCCTGTGTCCAAGTGTTCTCATTGTTCAGTTCCCACCCATGAGCGAGAACATGCGGTGTTTGGTTTTCTGTACTTGTGATAGTTTGCTCAGAATGATGGTTTCCAGCTTCATCCATGTCCCTACAAAGGACATGAACTCATCTTTTTTTATGGCTGCATAGTATTCCATGGTGTATGTGTACCACATTCTCTTAATCCAGCCTATCACTGATGGACATTTGGGTTGGTTCCAAGTCTTTGCTATTGTGAATAGTGCCACGATAAACATACGTGTGCATGTGTCTTTATAGAAGCATGATTTATAATCCTTTGGGTATATACCCAGTAATGGGATGGCCGGGTCAAATGGTATTTCTAGTTCTAGATCCTTGAGGAATCGCCACACTGTCTTCCACAATGGTTGAACTAGTTTACAGTCCCACCAACAGTGTAAAAGTGTTCCTATTTCTCCACATCCTCTCCAGCACCTGTTGTTTCCTGATTTTTTAATGATCGCCATTCTAACTGGTATGAAATGGTATCTCATTGTGGTTTTGATTTGCATTTCTCTGATGGCCAGTGATGATGAGCATTTTTTCATGTGTCTGTTGGCTGCATAAATGTCTTCTTTTGAGAAGTATCTGTTCATATCCTTTAACCACTTTTTGATGGGGTTGTTTGATTTTTTCTTGTAAATTTGTTTAACTTCTTTGTAGATTCTGGATATTAGCCCTTTGTCAGATGGGTAGATTGTAAAAATTTTCTCCCATTCTGTAGGTTGCCTGTTCATTCTGATGGTCATTTCTTTTGCTGTGCAGAATCTCTTTAGTTTAATTAGATCACATTTGTCAATTTTGGCTTTTGTTGCCATTGATTTTGGTGTTTTAGTCATGAAATCCTTGCCCATGCCTGTGTCCTGAATGGTATTGCCTAGGTTTTCTTCTAGGGTTTTTTTGGTTTTAGGTCTAACATTTAAGTCTTTAATCCATCTTGAATTAATTTTTGTATAAGGTGTAAGGAAGGGATCCAGTTTTAGCTTTCTACATATGGCTAGCCAGTTTTCCCAGCACCATTTATTAAATAGGGAATCCTTTGCCCATTTCTTGTTTTTTGTCAGGTTTGTCAAAGATCAGATGGTTGTAGATGTGTGGTATTATTTCTGAGGGCTCTGTTCTGTTCCATTGGTCTATATCTCTGTTTTGGTACGGGTACCATGCTGTTTTGGTTACTGTAGCCTTGTAGTATAGTTTGAAGTCAGGTAGCGTGATGCCTCCAGCTTTGTTCTTTTTGCTTAGGATTGTCTTGGCAATGCAGGCTCTTTTTTGGTTCCATATGAACTTTAAAGTAGTTTTTTTCCAATTCTGTGAAGAAAGTCATTGGTAGCTTCATGGGGATGGCATTGAATCTATAAATTACCATGGGCAGTATGGCCATTTTTACGATATGATTCTTCCTATCCATGAGCATGGAATGTTCTTCCATTTGTTTGTGTCCTCTTATATTTCATTGAGCAGTGGTTTGTAGTTCTCCTTGAAGAGGTCCTTCACATCCCTTGTAAGTTGGATTCCTAGGTATTTTATTCCCTTTGTAGCAATTGTGAATGGGAGTTCATTCATGATTTGGCTCTCTGTTTGTCTGTCATTGGTGTACAGGAATGCTGTGATTTTTGCACACTGATTTTGTACCCTGAGACTTTGCTGAAGTTGCTTATCAGCTTAAGGAGATTTTGGGCTGAGACAATGGGGTTTTCTAAGTATACAATCATGTCATCTGCAAACAGGGACAATTTGACTTCCTCTTTTCCTAATTGAATACCCTTTATTTCTTTCTCCTGCCTGATTGCCCTGGCCAGAACTTCCAACACTATGTTGGATAGGAGTGGTGAGAGAGGGCATCCCTGTCTTGTGCCAGTTTTCAAAGAGAATGCTTCCAGTGTTTGCCCATTCAGTATGATATTGGCTGTGAGTTTGTCATAAATAACTCTTATTATTTTGAGATATGTTCCATCAATACCTAGTTTATTGAGAGTTTTTAGCATGAAGGGCTGTTGAATTTTGTCAAAGGCCTTTTCTGCATCTATTGAGATAGACATGTGGTTTTTGTCTTTGGTTCTGTTTATATGCTGGATTACATTTATTGATTTGTGTATGTTGAACAGCCTTGCATCCCAGGGATGAAACCAACTTGATCGTGATGGATAAGCTTTTTGATGTGCTGCTGGATTCGGTTTGCCAGTATTTTATTGAGGATTTTTGCATCGATGTTCATCAGGGATATTGGTCTAAAATTCTCTTTTTTTGTTGTGTCTTTGCCAGGCTTTGGTATCAGGATGATGCTGGCCTCATAAAATGAGTTAGGTAGGATTCCCTTGTTTTCTGTTGATTGGAATAGTTTCAGAAGGAATGGTACCAGCTCCTCTTTGTACCTCTAGTAGGATTCGGCTCTGAATCCATCTGGTCCTGGACTTTTTTTGGTTGGTAGGCTATTAATTATTGCCTCAATTTCAGAGCCTGTTATTGGTCTATTGAGGGATTCAACTTCTTCCTGGTTTAGTCTTGGGAGGGTGGATGGGTCCGGGAATTTATCCATTTTTTCTAGATTTTCTAGTTTATTTGTGTAGAGGTGTTTATAGTATTCTCTGATGGTAGTTTGTATTTCTGTGGGATCGGTGGTGATGTTCCCTTTATCATTTTTATTGTGTCTATTTGATTCTTCTCTCTTTTCTTCTTTATTATTCTTGTTAGCAGTCTATCAATTTTGTTGATCTTTTCAAAAAACCAGCTCCTGGATTCACTGATTTTTTTTTGAAGGGTTTTTTGTGTCTCTATTTCCTTCAGTTCTGCTCTGATCTATTTCCTGCCTTCTGCTAGCTTTTGAATGTGTTTGCTCTTCCTTCTCTAGTTCTTTTAATTGTGATGTTAGGGTGTCAGTTTTAGATCTTTCCTGCTTTCTCTTGTGGGCATTTAGTGCTATAAATTTTCCTCTACACACTGCTTTAAATGTGTCCCAGAGATTCTGGTATGTTGTGTCTTTGCTCTCATTGGTTTCAAAGAACATCTTTATTTCTGCCTTCATTTCGTTATGTACCCAGTAGTCATTCAGGAGCAGGTTGTTCCGTTTCCATGTAGTTGAGTGGTTTTGAGTGAGTTTCTTAATCCTGAGTTCTAATTTGATTGCACTGTGGTCTGAGAGACAGTTTGTTATAATTTCTGTTCGTTTACATTTGCTGAGGAGTGCTTTACTTCCAACTATGTGGTCAATTTTGGAATAAGTGTGATGTGGTGCTGAGAAGAATGTATATTCTATTGATTTGGGGTGGAGAATTCTGTAGATGTCTATTAAGTCTGCTTGGTGCAGAGCTGAGTTCAATTCCTGGATATCCTTGTTAAGTTTCTGTCTCGTCGATCTGTCTAATGTTGACAGTGGGGTGTTAAAATCTCCCATTATTATTGTTTGGGAGTCTAAGTCTCTTTTTAGGTCTCTAAGGACTTGCTTTATGAATCTGGGTGCTCCTGTATTGGGTGGATATGTATTTAGGATAGTTAGCTCTTCTTGTCGAATTGATCCCTTTACCATTATGTAATGGCCTTCTTTGTCTCTTTTGATCTTTGTTGGTTTAAAGTCTGTTTTATCAGAGACTAGGATTGCAACCCCTGCTTTTTTTGGTTTTCCATTTGCTTGGTAGATCTTCCTCCATCCCTTTATTTTGAGCCTATGTGTGTCTCTGCTTTGGCTCACACTCCGTGGGCTCCACCCAGTGTCCGACAAGCCCCAGTGAGATGAACCTGGTACCTCAGTTGGAAATTCAGAAATCACCCATCTTCTGTGTCGCTTACGCTGGGAGCTGTAGACTGGAGCTATTCCTATTTGGCCATCTTGGAACCTCCCCCCAGTTACTTATTTATTTTTACCTCTAAATACTTTATTATTTCATTCATAGACACATCATTATGTATTGCCTAAGGATGTTCTGTTACATAACCACAGACCAATTCTCAAAATCAGGAAATTTAATATTGATACAATACTATTATCTAATTTATATTCTGTACTCAATGGCATCAGTTGTCCCCAAATATTATTTCCCCTAGGCCCTTGTAGCTATTTTTTCCCCCACACTCCCCCCCTGCCCCACCCCCTGGTCCAGGATCTAACCCAGGATCCCTCATTACAGTTAGTCTGTTATAATCTGAAACAGTTTTTGGAGGATTATTTTACATACATGTTGAGGTATACACAGGTAGTCCCAGGATCCTTGTCTTCTAATTCTCATTCTGATCCTGACTTCCTCACGACATTCTAGGGAACAATGCTGCTTCCTTGAGAGGAAAAGGATTGTGTTTGAATATAACTCATTTGTGTAATTCAATTCCTATGCATTTTTGTAGCAACTAATAGATTTGGTAGCCTAAGGGGGTATGTTGGCCAAGGGAGAGGAGATAGACTGCTGATGGTTAGACTGCTGATGGAATGTATTTTGAACTGCTCAGATCACTACTGATCTTCATTGGTTCTGCTAATTTTGAAGCAGGATATTTCCTTGACCCCCTCATGGGTGGGAACTGGAGTACATGGGGACTAGCAGGAGTGAACTCCGCTCACTCGCTACTCTACTCATCGTGGGAGGGGGAGCACTGGTGAGTGGGTGCAGGAGCTGGGGCTAGTGCTTTTGGGCGCTGGGAAGAGCAAACTCTTTACTGGCCTCGTGGCAGCATCTAGGGGAGGGTGCCTGTGACCCCTGAAGCCCTAGAGGAAGTGTTGCAGTACTCTTTTAGCTTTGTAATCTGTGGATGGCTTAAGTGTTAACAGCTCAGTGGAGGGTCCGTGTGACAGCCTCTTGCACCCACCCTCATGGCACCTGAGTTCTTGTTCGGTATCCAGGAAGAATGAGGTCACACGAACGAATTGAAGGTGGTAAATGTGGGGGATTTTATTGCTGATGAAAGTGGCTCTCAGCCAGAAGGGGAGCTGAAAAGGGGACAGAGCGGGACCGTAATCTTCCCCTGTAGGCCTTCCCTGGCCGGACTCCTCTCCGAAGCTACACCATCAAGCTGTCCCTCTGAAGTCAAGCCGCTTTTCTGTGACATCCAACCGTAGTCTCTGATGCACACCTGCTTCTCCTCTCTCTGCAGGCTGAGCCTGGGCTTTTTTTTTTTTTTTTTTTGAGACAGAGTCTCACGGTGTCGCCCAGACTGCAGTGCAGCGGTGCAGTCTTGGCTCACTGCAAGCTCCACCTCAAGCCTGGGATTTTTATGGGTGCAGGATGGGGGGCAGGGCGGGCCATGGGTGGTTTTGGAAAAGGAAAACATTTGAGTGGGAAAACAGATGTAAGTTCTCACTTTGGGCCATGGTTCCAGGCTTGAGGGTGGGGCCCTTGCCAGGGACCTGCCCTCTTCTGCCCAGAATTTCCCTGCCTCCTGTTCCTATCCTAATTCTCATTATCAGTTTTATTATTACTTAAAATATGGAAAACAGTTTTCTCCTAATTCTCATTATCAGTTTTATTATTACTTAAAATATGGAAAACAGTATCTGAAACAAATTTGGTTCATGTGAGATTCCTGTCTTCCTTTGTGAATTGAGGGGGTGAAACTCACTACGTATTTCCATTTACGAACCCCGGTACCATTTAATTACTAAGTCAACTAGAAATGTGACATTTAGTAGTTTAAAGGTACAGTTTAGGGGCATGTGTTCTCAGGACCTCTGAGGCTATATCACAGGCAAACAAAAAAGTTAAATAAGTAGTATATAGATAAGAAAAGGTACAGTTTACCGGTTGTGTTGAAATAATTCCACAGTTTATTTTTACACATGGGAAGTCAAGAAATCCATCTTCAAACTTTCTGTTGCATTTTGCAGATAGAAACTTTTTACCCTTATTTGCCACTTAAATCCATGTGACACTATATTTCCAACACCAACAATCACTTCTCCAAACAGCACCATGGTGTTTCCAACACTAACAATCAATTTTCCGATTCTCTGGACACCAACTAGATGTTCAACAGTATTCAATTCTGACACTGCCGGGAGTTGGAGCAGATACCACAGGCTAAGGGCTCGGTATTGCAACAACACCCCCACTTTAGACACTAGTCTCAAGTCTTGGCCCACCAGTAACTTCTGACTGACCAGCTATGAATAGGGCATTCCCAAGACCCCTCCTCAGGTTTAATAATTTGCCTGAATGGCCCATAGAACTCAGGAACACATTTTGCTTAGGTTTACCTGTTTCTCATAAAGGATACAACTCAGGAACGGTGAAGTGGAAGAGATGCCAAGGACAAGGTATGGAGGGAGTGGAGCACAGAGCTTCTGTGCCCTATCCTGGAGTGTCACCCTCCCAGCACTTTGATGTGTTCTCCAACCTGGAAGTGCTCTAAATCTCATTGTTCAATAATTTTTATAGAGCTCAATTTCCAGCCCCCACAACCCTACTTCTTAGAGTTCAGTGAGTGGGGCTGAAAGTTCCACCCTGTAGTCCCTGGTCATTCTAGGGACGGGGTCTTTCTAGGTCTTTCCAGTCCCATCCTGGGGCTATCTAGGGGCCCCACCCTAAGTTTATTAGCATAAACTCTGGTGTGATCAAAAGGGGCTGATTATAAATAACAAAAGACACTCCCATCACGTAGGAAATTCCAAGGATTTTAGGAGTTCTGTGCTGGGAACCTGGGACAGAGACCAAATATATTTTGTCTTATACACAAAGCACCACAAAGGGCCTGCAGCTGACTAACATTACCATTGATTTTAGAACTGTGAGAAGCAGAGCCAAAAGAGTTTACTCCTGTCTTGAAGCTAAGTGCATAGAGTGCCCAAGTCACTGGCAAAGTCACAGTGGAAAAGCGTTAATAACCATCCAAATGCAATAATATTAGTACGTTATATTATTTTCTGTAGAATATTTTGAAAATACAAAAGTATATATCACAACGTAGTAGTCATCCATTAACACTTTTATTTGTACTAGATACCAATTAAGGAAAAACTATAGAAACAACCTATATACCATGTAGGTGTAGCTATTTTAAAAGAATTGGTAATTGAAAATCGAAAGTGACCAGTGTCAGCTCAGAAAATCAGCGGTGGTTGTTATTATTATTAACGAGACTCTGTCGCCTAGGCTGGAGTACAGTGGTGCAGTCTGGACCCACTGCAACCTCCATCTCCTGGGTTCAAGCGATTCTCCTGCCTCAGTCTACCAGGTTGCTGGGACTACAGGCACGCACCACCACAACCGGCTAATTTTTGTATTTTTAGTAGAAACGGGGTTTCACTGTGTTGGCCAAGCTGGTCTCGAACTCCTGGCCTCAAGTGATCCACCCACCTCGGCCTCCCAAAGTGCAGGGATTACAGGCGTGAGGCACTGTGCCTATTTGCATTATAAAAGGATTCATATAGAATTCCTGCACGGTCTTATTTAAAAGCTTTGATTTGTTGAAATGCTACTTCCACAGAGCTTTTCAGGATCATGTCTGGTGAGTAGTTTGACTAGATAGAATCTTTGTCACACAGTTCATACTGAATGTTCATGCGGCTATGAAGGGCAAAACATCTCCTCTGTGCGCAGCTTGTATCGGTCTGGGCTCGAAAGCACCCAGACTGAGCTCTGTGGCTCTGTGATAGAGCTCTCAGGAGAGGGAGGATCCTCAGAGGGCTTGTACTTTGAGAAGAGACTGGCAAGGGAGAATGGAGGCAGTGGTGATTGGGGAATTGGAAGGATGAGACACTGAGCATGGCTTGGCTTTTTTCCAAGCCTCTTCAGTCTCATTGTCTAGCAGATAAACCTGATCTGCTTTTAAGCTGTTCTGAACTCAGGGCTGACTTAGGCTTAGGGAAGTCTGAGGAAAGTGGACCCTCCATGTCCCTGCCATGTGGGTTCTTGTTTCTGTAGTCTCCCTTCTCTTTTCTTTTTTTTTTTTTTGAGTCAGGGTTACTCTGTCACCCAGGCTGAAGTGCAGTGGTATGATCATGACCCACTGGAACCTTGAACACCTGAGCTCAAGTGATCCTCTGGCCTCAGACTATAGGTGGGCACTAGCATGCTGGCTAATTTTTAAATTTTTTTGTAGAGATGAGGTCTCACTATGTTGCCCAGGCTGGTCTCAAACTCCTGGGCTCAAGCAATCCTCCCACCTTGGCTTCTCAAAAGTCCTGAGATAATAGACATGAGCCACTGTGCCTGGCCAGTAATCACCAGCTTAAGAAGTTATAGCTGTGTGGAAAGACACAGGACTCATAGGTCAAATGGTAACATCCTACATACACAGAAGGAAACACACACACAAACAAAGCCTTTGTTCACAAGCAAAGAATTTCTTTCTCATTCTTGCCTCATCCCCTGTATCCAGAGATCTTATTTTTTTCCTCTTCTTATCACCTTCATTTTACACTGGTCTGATGTTTTTTGTTTTGTTTGTGTGTGTGTGAGTGAATTTTTCAGAGCTCAGCTTTCTAGAGGGTGGAGCAGTGTCTGTCACACGGGCTTCTCATAGCTCAAACTGTCATCCCTGCTTTAGCTCATCTCTTCCTAATTGTTCTCTACCCTCCACCCCCCACAACTCTGCCTTTTTTTTTTTTTTCCTGCTGGCCATGATTCCATGGAGAAGGAAACGAACCTTTCATTTGCTCCCCTCAGAATGGCCTTCTAGAACTTTGCCTCTGTTTACTCAAGGCGTCTGGGAATAATCCTGTAGGGGTGTGCTATTCAATGACTTCCTACTTGAAGGGTCTAAGCCAGGGAAGTCTTTTTTTTTTGAGACGGAGTCTCGCTCTGTCGCCCAGGCCGGACTGCGGACTGCAGTGGCGCAATCTCGGCTCACTGCAAGCTCTGCTTCCCGGGTTCACGCCATTCTCCTGCCTCAGCCTCCCGAGTAGCTGGGACTACAGGCGCCCGCCACCGCGCCCGGCTAATTTTTTGTATTTTTAGTAGAGACGGGGTTTCACCTTGTTAGCCAGGATGGTCTCGATCTCCTGACCTCGTGATCTGCCCACCTTGGCCTCCCAAAGTGCTAGGATTACAGGCATGAGCCACCATGCCCGGCCAAGAATGTTAATATATCTTAAAAATTAATAAACTTACATGTTAGCAAATAACCTTTTTAATGAAAAATATTTTCTAAAACAATAAAATTGGAAGAGTAGAATTGTTTTACGCATTTGAAAATTTGAAGATGTCTGGCTCCATAGAGACAGCTAGATTCCTAGATCTCCTTCAACATATAGCCTGTTGTGACTTATTGTTTTGATGTTGACTTAACTGTATTGTTGAAGCACATGAAGAAAAACGAGCCTCACACAGAAATGTAGTTGGAAAAGGAAGGCATGTGTTTTAATAAAGCCTTTTCAGATTGTGTATATTCTTTGGTACTATGCCAAAACTCTGATAAGTGGTAGCTTCTTTTTTTTTATTTTTTTTTTTTTGAGTCTCGCTCTTCTTGCCCAGACTAGAGTGCAATGGCCTGATCTTGGCTCACCACAACCTCCACCTCCCGGGTTCAAGCAATTATCCTGCCTCAGCCTCCCAAGTAGCTGGGATTCCAGACATGTGCCACCACGCCCAGCTAATTTTTTTTTTTTTTTTTTTTAGTAGAGACGGGATTTCTCCATGTTAGTCAGGCTGATCTTGAACTCCCGACCTCAGGTGATCTGCCCGCCTCGGCCTCCCAAAGTGCTGGGATTACAGGCATGAGCCACCACGCCCGGCCGACAAGTGGTAGCTTCTTAAAGGTTAATTGTAATACAGAGTTTGAAAAAGTTACCTCGAGGAATTTTTTTGTACTTTATTAACATAAAAATCCATTTTTTATCTTGCACTTTGAATGGCTTTTTTTTTTTTTTTAAACTGGGGTAGCCTCTTGAGCCATGGTGGGCTCAGAGACTCCCTGAATGGCTCTTTAAACCATAATTTTGACATTGTGGTTCCATTGAAAGGGTCTTGGGGACTCCCAGGGGTTCCCAGACCACACTTTGAGAATTGCTGTTTTAGAATCTGGAAGAGATCTTGAAGATTAACTCAGGCCCATTTCTCCCCTGGGTTGGAATAAGAGGAGTGATTGAAGCTGAGGGAGGACTGACTTGCCCAAAGTCATTTAGCTAGTTATTCATAGAGCTGTGGCTGGAATTAGGTTTCTTGACTGATTCTGTAAACATGTCTTTAGTGCTATGCTAGGTTCTGATTCCCTGGGCCAGGCTACATTGTGCTATCTTTTGGAGGTAGTTGTCTCCTGTGGAGAGAGTTGTCTTCTGTGGCCCTGGTCCTTCGAGTCTTGAATGCATTTGTTCACCTTTTGTTTCTTATTTTCTCTTAAGTTTCAAATTGCCAAAATCATCATTATATTTCCAAGTAAAATGTTGAGCTGTTGTGTCAGTTTAGCTCTGTGGCTGCTTTGTGTGTATCTAAATTTTCTTTATGTAACTGATAGACACTCAAAAGGCATTGGGCTACATGGAGGTTTGAAGTATGCATTGGGTGTGATTGGAGTAGTGTCTGTTTTGCATAGGAAGGTATTTGGAAAGAACTTTAACAGTCCATAGTGGATCTCTCAGCAGACTGGAAGAATTCTGTGGGTACTTGGTGAGTACTATACTCCGTATAGTACTCTACAGTACTATATATATATATATATATGCTATATATACTATAATATATATACTCTATAGTACTTACTATAGAGTAACTGAACTTTCTTTTGTCTTTGAATTATATAAATTCCTTGTCTATTTTTTTTAAGGGTATTGACCAAAACTTTGGACTGAATGTTTTCCTGCTGTTCTTTTTAAAAATTTTTTATTTATTTATTTATTTTTCGAGACTGGCTCTGTTACCTAGGCTGGAGTACAGTGGTACAGTCATGGCTCATTGCAGCCTTAACCTCCCGGGCTCAAGTGATTCTCCCACCTCAGCCTCCCAAGTAGATGGGACTACAGGTACACACCACTATGCCTGGCTAATTTTTTTTTTGTAGAGGTGGGGTCTTCTCTACAAAAAAGCCCAGCCCAGGCTGGTCTCAAACTCCTGGGCTCAAACGATTCTCCTGCCTCAGTCTCCCAAAGTGTTGGGATTATAGGAGTGAGCCACTATGCCTGGCCTGTTTTTCTACTCTTAAAAGACTTTCTTCCCCTTGTAAATTAGCTCAAATCCAGTGTTTTGTATAGATATTCTTCAAGAAAAAAAACAAGTCATTTGCGCTTGCTGTGGACTTGCTTTGAGACCACTTGACAGAATTTAGTACTACTGAAGGTCACCAAAATTAATGAGGACATGGCAGTCTGGGAAGGATCTTTTTATTTAAAAGGAACAATCATGATGCTATCAAGGACCATAATGACATCTGTGAAATTTCATGAGCTGCCTCACAATGATGAGGCAGCGTGTGTGCTCGGAGTCTTATGATTTCAGTGTGAACTCTGCAAGCCTGGTCGTCTGCTTTGTGAACAAAGGCTTTGTTTGTGTGTGTGTTTCCTCTTGTGTATATCCTAATATCCCCACCTTGCCATGCCTCATGTCTCTAAGGCCTGTGCCTGCATGATTAATTCTGCTGATTGTTGGCCAGGTACCACTCTATTGACAGGTGGCGTTGTCTTTGAACTTAGCAAGGCAGAACAATATTTTCCTTCACTCTCACGATTGCTATGAGGTGCTAGGCTAGGATTGGCTATGGGTTTCTTCATAATTACAGCCTCCTTTTAACAAACCTAATATATTAAACTGTAGACTTATTAAAACACTTAGGGGTTGAATATTTGCTTTTCAGAGCGGTCCTCTTTAGAGTTCCTTTAAATAGCTAGTTCTCCAGTTTCATTAAAATACAATTTGATTCCCAGAACTTGCACTGTAAGAACACAGGTCCTCATTAAGGTGCAGCATACCCATTATTGCTCTCCTGGTTTCTGTGTATTAGAGGCAGAGCCCCTTGTCACTGGAGATTGTAGCAGTGTTTTGCCTAGAATGAGGAGCAAATGAGGGAGATGGATTATTTTCTTTATCACCACCCCGCCCCCACCGCCACCAACCATGTCTGTCTAACAGTTCTGCTAAGAGCTGACTACTGAATCAAGGCTGCCTTGTGTTCTGAAAGGCTATGCCCACATAGACGTATGTGTGTGTGAGGGTGGAGCCCCTTAGAGAAGAATACAGTTGACTGCTGCTGCCCACCAAGACCAGCCTTTCCTCCTTTTCACTTGTTGCCTGGGCTCAAGTGATCCTCCTGCCTCAGTCTCCCAAGTAGCTGGGACTACAGGTGCACACCACCAAGTCCAGCTAGTTTTTGTATATTTTGTAGATATGGGCATCGCTGTGTTGCCCAGGCTTGTCTTGAACTCCTGGGCTCAAGCAATTCCCCCACCATGGCCTCCCAAAGTGCTGGGATTACAGGCATGAACCATCACACCAGGCTCTTTGTTGCCTTTGTTTTTTTTTTTTTGGAAGTCTCTGTCGCCACCACACAATTTCTTCTCTAGAATGACAGGCATTCAGGTTGCCTAAAAGTACTTGCTAATTAAAAATGGTTCTCTAAAATCAGCCAAGCACACTGCAAAGAAAACACTTTTTTTTTTTTTTTTTTGAGATGGAGTTTCACTCTTGTTGCCCAGGCTGGAGTGCAGTGGTGGGATCTCAGCTCACTGGAATCTCCACCTCCTGGGTTCAGGCGATTCTTCTGCTTCAGCGTCCCGAGTAGCTGGGATTATAGGCATGCGCTACTATGCCTGGCTAATTTTGTATTTTTAGTAGAGATGGGGGTTTCACCATGTTGTTTGGGCTGGTCTTGAACTCCTGACCTCAGGTGATCTGCTCACTTCAGCCTCCCAAAGTGCTGGGATTACAGATGTGAGCCACCATGCCTGGCCAAAACACTCTTATCTCAAGGAGTCTAGGATGAAAGAGAGGGGTTGTGCTGTTTACAACCATTGACTTCCAAACACAGAGTAGTTACTGATGAATATACTAACATTCAGAAATAAATTTCACTGCAAATATTAAGAAGTAAATTTTACTTTCAAAGTTGTTGATATCTAATTGATTTACTACTTCCTTTCTAAAACCTATTAAATGAACCAGTGACACAGGGTAGTGATTTCTTTCTTTTTTTTTTTCTCGAGATGGGAGTCTCGCTGTGTCGCCCAGGCTGGAGTGCAGTGGCGTGATCTCGGCTCACTGCAAGCTCCGCCTCCCGGGTTCACGCCATTCTCCTGCCTCAGCCTCCCAAGTAGCTGGGACTACAGGCGCCCGCCACCACGCCCGGCTAATTTTTTGTATTTTTTAGTAGAGACGGAGTTTCACACGTGTTAGCCAGGATGGTTTTGATCTCCTGACCTCGTGATCCGCCTGCCTCGGCCTCCCAAAGTGCTGGGATTACAAGCATGAGCAACCACGTCTGGCCGGATAGTCGTTTCTGCAGAGATTTAAAATCTGCCAGGTCACTAAGTGAATGGTAGCTCAGCATTAACTATATGAATTTGTATTTGTCGATCACATTTATCCCCTGTCCCTTAATGCCCTTTGCAGATGTTTTTGGAAGTGAGTTATTAATGCAAAAATTTAAATTTTATTACTAGATCATTTCACAGCTGTTTTTTACTTTGAGAGGCTAAGTACATGAACCATCTGCACACACACACTCGTAATTCCTGTTATTTCTAACTCTGAACAATTCTTAAGTTCTAGTTTTCCAAAACTCTAAATAATCTAGTTTGCTTTTCTTTTTTTCTTTTCTGTTCAGGAGAAGATAGATGTTATGTTTCAAATTATCTGAAGCTTAGTAAGATATTGCAGTTCTGCAGTACTTTTTATGTTAAATGACTAGAGACTTGTACTTCAGTTTTTATTTTGGGAGATAGGAATTTGAGGATGATCTGATTGTTGATGTATTTATCTGCAGCAGTTTGTCTTGTAAAAGATGATTTATGGCCGGGTGCGGTGGCTCATGCCTGTAATCCCAGCACTTTGGGAGGTCAGGAGATCGAGACCATCCTGGCTAACACGGTGAGACCCCGTCTCTACTAAAAATACAAAAAATTAGCCGGGCGTGGTGGCAGGCGCCTGTAGTCCCAGCTACTTGGGAGGCTGAGGCAGGAGAATGGTATGAACTCAGGAGGTGGAGCTTGCAGTAAGCCAAGATCGCACCACTGCACTCCAGCCTGGGTGACAGAGTGAGACTCCATCTCAAAAAAAAAAAAAAAAAAAAAAAAAAAGATGATTTACCTCTTCTCTGATTTTAGTGTGAAAATTTGAGGCTGGGCACAGTGGCTGATGCCTGTAATCCCAGCACTTTGGGAGGCTGAGGCGGGAGGATCACCTGAGGTCAGGAGTTAGAAAACAGCCTGGCCAACATGGTAAAACCCCGTCTCTGCTAAAAATACAAAAATTAGCTGGGTGTGGTGGTGCACACCTGTAGTTCCAGCTACTCGGGAGGCTGAGGCAGGAGAATCACCTGAACCCAGGAGGTGGAGGTTGCAGTGAGCTGAGATCGTGCCACTGCATGCCAGCCTGGGTGACAGAGTGAAACTGCATCTCAAAAAAAAAAAAAAAAAAAAGAAAAGAAAATTTGAAATATACAGAAAAAATG
Organism: Homo sapiens; assembly: GCF_000001405.40. Classification (NCBI taxonomy): domain Eukaryota; kingdom Metazoa; phylum Chordata; class Mammalia; order Primates; family Hominidae; genus Homo; species Homo sapiens. Next base: position 51,588,587 of record NC_000003.12, read on the forward strand.
GAAAGAATTGGTCAGTGAATTTACTAGTTAACATTTTGCTATATTTACTTTATCAAAGAGCTAACCCAACTAGCCATCTCTTTACCATGGTTTTTATTTTTTTACCCTCACGAAGGAATGGCCTTTACAGCTAATAGTAAAGTGATAAGAGAGACAGACATGCACAGTGCCTGACACATGATAGACATAGTATAGCAGGTTAGCAAATGATGGACTGAATGTGAATGAATGAATAACTTGGGTAAAACATACTTCTAGCTCCTGTGTACTCCCAGCCACTCCTCCTCTGCCGTTGGTGCTCGGTCTTCCTGGAACACACTCCCTCAAGATGTCTTTACGGCTTCCTTCCTTCCTTTTGGTTTCTGCTCAGTGAGAACTTCACTGACCTCCCCTATATAAACTAGCAGCTCCTCCTGCCACACACCAGCCCTAAGTATTCCCTGCATGCTTTGTTCTGCTTCCTGCTGTGTCCCCAAACTCTAGAATAGCACCTGCGATTATATACAACTGTTCCTCCATGTACAATGGGGTTACATCCTGATAAATGCATCGTAAGTTGAAAATATTGTAAGTTGAAAGTCTATTTAATACACCTAACCTACTGAACATCATAATTTGGGCTAGACTACCTTAAAGGTGCTCAGAACACTTAACACTGTCTTAGCCAGGCATGGTTGTATGTGCCTGTCGTCCTAGCTACTCAGGAGGTCTTAGGCAGAAGGATTGCTTGAACCCAGGAATTTGAGGCTGCAGTGAGCTATGATTGTGCCTCTGCACTCCACCCACACTCCAGCCTGGCCAACAGAGCTGGACCTTGTCTAAAAATAAATAAATAAAATAAAGAGCACTTACATTGTCTACAGTCAAAATCATCTGGCAGCACAGAAAACTGCACACTTCATGATAGCATGGTGGACTGGAAGCTTTGGCTCATTGCTGTTACTCAGCATTGCCAGAGAGTATAGTTCCATATGTCACTAGCCTGGGAAAAATTTAAAATTTGAAGCACAGTTTCTACTGAATGTGTGTCATTTTCGCACAATTGTAAGTTAAACCATCGCAGGTTGGGGACTCTATACATATATATATATATATATACACACACACACACACACACACACATACACACACATATATGTATATGTATAAATAGATACAGAGAGTTGGTGCTCAGGAAACAGTTGATACAGGAAGGAATGAACAAATGGGATTTCCAAGGTTTATAGTTTTGTTGTTATTGTTACTTTAAGGTGTTTTCTTGTCAAAATAGCCAAGAGATGTTTGAGCTATGCAGAGTCACTAAAACATGTCTCAGAGCCAGAACACTCATAGGGAAGGTGGTGATTTGGATACGGTTAGCTTGCCTTGCTTAGAGAAGTTCCGGGGAATTCATGTTCAGCATTTTTTTCTTTGTTTTTCTTTTGGAGAGAGTCTCACCTCGTCGCTCAGGCTGGAATGCAGTGGCGCCATCTTGGCTCACTGCAACCTCTGCCTCCCCGGTTCAAGCAATTCTCATGCCTCAGCCACCTGAGTAGCTGGGATTACAGGTGTGTGCCACCATGCCTGACTAACTTTTGTATTTTTAGTAGAGATGGGTTTTCACCATGTTGGCCAGGCTGGTCTCGAACTCCTGACCTCAAGTGATCCACCCACCTTGACCTCCCAAAGTGCTGGGATTACAGGCATGAGCCACTGTGCCCAGCTAGCATTTTTTTCTTTGAAAGACTTGTGTTCCTAAGCAAAACCCTTGGTGATTCTGATGCCTTTCATCCTCTCCTAGCACCCCTGCAGTGGACCATGAGTCGGTAATGCCCACTGAGGACCTCTGGGAGCCATGTCAGACGAATCTGCCTCAGGGAGCGATCCAGACCTGGACCCGGACGTGGAGCTGGAGGATGCGGAAGAGGAGGAGGAGGAGGAGGAGGTGGCAGTGGAGGAGTGTGACAGGGATGATGAAGAAGACCTGCTGGATGGTAAGTGGGCTCTATTGAGTGACAGAAGTTGCCTTATATTTTCCTCCAGTGGAATTTTTGCTGGGAGACCTTGGCGTTTCCAGTTAGATTTCTTAGGCCATCCATAGTGGGAAGATACAGACTAGGAACTGAGATGCAATGAATTCAGATGCTCATTCCTAGGAAATAGATTATTGTTCCTCCACATAAGCTTTGTTTTACTGCTGGAAGAACCTTTAGCCTTTAGCTTGTCTCTGACAGATGTTTGGACTCAGGTCCAGAGATTCGAGTGTTGCATACTTGCCCAGGTCATGGAGGAGTCAATGGCAGAGTTCCTATGGTAAGACTTTGCAGTCTGGAGGCCATGGGCTCTTCAGGTAGATGTGAGGGTAACTGTGAGTGGTCTGTAAGTTTTCTGAAATTATACATACAATTGTGCTTGTGTGTACATGAGGGAATTGTCCAGGCAGAGATTCTTAGACAGATTCACAACTTCAGAAAGCTCACTGCATCTCCTGCAGTGCTGCGCTACCTCTTGGCCATTCCAGTGACTATAAATTGCCCCTACTGGGAGGGCACTACATCTCCATAGCTGGTAGATCCCCTTTTGATGCCTTCTATTTGGTTTGCTCAGCTCACTCCTTCCTTTGCCCTCAGCTTCTTGAAATGGCATTGAACTTTTAATGTTCAGTCTAATGTTAGGTTATTTGGCCAGCCACAAGGCTTCTCAATTAATTCCAGCCTTTTATGGCATAGGATTTAGTTGTTTGTAAGCTTCCTACTGACTGAGGAATAGGGTTTTTGTCTGTTCATAACAGACCCCCTAGTGGGACTGAACGTTGCATTAGATCATCTAATTACTTGAATCTGAAGGAACGTAGGAAAATGTACTCCTGCCGTTCTCCAGATTCCAGGAGGATGAGCACTGATCCTCTGTCTTTACTGGTGTTTACTATCTTCAGTTCTCATTCATCCTAACAGCTGTCATGTGGCTTGGGAATCCGTTTGCCCTCCTTTATACTGTCCAGAAGCCTCTCTCCATTTCTGCGGGGAAATGACCATTCACTTTTATCCCTCCAGTAGCATTTGCTGTCTGTTGCTAGCTTATTCAGTTGGAGTCTCATTTCTAGAAAGTAGAATGAATAGAAATAATGGAAGACAGTAATGTTTGCTTGGCTCTCATTGTTCCTGAGATGCTGTTAGAGTCCCTAGGTGTCAGCATCACTTTTTGCTTTTCATCATTGGGTTCTCATAATTGTATTTACAGACACCCTTAGAACTCCCATCAGGTTTAGATTGGATTTTAGATGCTTCTGGTGAGTGTAATGGATATATACACACTATCTTCCCTGTTGGCTTCTTGGAATTCTCTTTTCCCTTTTCCTTGTAAAATTGTTAATTATTCAAAAATTATATGATATGCTTCTGCGGACTTTACTATTATTTATTTAGAAATGACAAGAATTTAATTGTGATTTGTCTCAGAATAATGTAGCTGTGCAATTTGGTTTTGGTGTTTTTTTTTTTTTTTTTTTTTTTTTTTTTGAGATGGAGTTTTGCTCGTTGCCCAGGCTGGAGTGGAATGGCGCCATCTTGGCTCACTGCAACCTTCACCTCCTGGTTCAAGCGATTCTCCTGCCTCAGCCTCCTGAGTAGCTGGGATTACATGTGCCTGCCACCATGCCTGGCTAATTTTGTATTTTTAGTAGAGACGGGATTTCTCTATGTTGGTTAGGCTGTTCTCGAACTCCTAACCTCAGGTGATCTGCCCGCCTTGGCCTCCCAAAGTGCTGGGGATTACAGGGGTGAGCCACCATGCCCGGCCTTAAATACTTTTTTAAAATTTTAAAATGACTCATTTTTATTGAAGTTCAGAGTGATAAACAAACGTTCCATTAGGCCCTATGTCCTGCTGTGCTCTGCTAGGTTAACTGACTTCTTGGAATTTGACTCAAGGACCATTTTTATATTTCACTACAGTGTTAGAGCCACAAAAATAAAAGTAATACTTCTGTTACTTCTGGTGTTTTTGACCCTATTTTACCTCTTAAAGCTTTTTTTTTTTTCTTTTGTTGGCCCTGGCTGGAGTGCAATGGCGCGATCTCGGCTCACTGCAACCTCCGCCTCCCAGGTTCTAGCAATTCTCCTGCCTCAGCCTCCTGAGTAGCTGAGATTACAGGTGCCTGCCACCATGCCCAGCTAATTTTTGTATTTTTAGTAGAGACAGGGTTTCACCATTTTGGCCAGGCTGGTCTTGAACTCCTGACCTCAGGTGATTCACCTGCCTCGGCTTCCCAAAGTGCTGGGATTACAGGCGTGATCCACACCCGGCCTAAAGCTTTTCTTTTCCTCTCATGTTGAGCACTCTATGCAGTTTTCCTGAAAAATCCAAAACCTGCCTATTTCTTTAGTCTTGTCCTTGCTGCCATCCCGTAGTCATGGGCAGAGCAGCTAGCTATTCTACTAGTAAGAATAGCTATGAATAATCTAGTTTTAGTTGGTGTAGTGTGATGTGGCCCTTTTGTTTTCTTAGAGCAGTGGTTCTCAACCTGGTATGATTTTGCTTCTTAGGGAACAGTTTACAATGTGTGAAGACACTGGTTGTCAGGATTGTTGGGGGTGGGGTGGGGATGCTACTGTCATCTTGTGGATAGAGGCTGAGGATGCTATTAAACATCCTACAATGCATAGGAGAGCCCCTAGCTCACCCCAACAATTATCTGTCCCAAATGTCAATAGTACTGAGATCTGAGAAACCATTTCACAAAAGAAACTTACTTCAGCCCCTTTTTTTTTTTTTTTATGTTTTTTTGAGATGGAGTCTTGCTCTGTCGCCCAGGCTGGAGTGCAGTGGCGCGATCTCGGCTCACTGCAACCTCTTCCTCCCAGGTTTACGCCATTCTCCTGCCTCAGCCTCCTGAGTAGCTGGGACTACAGGCGCCCACCACCATGCGTGGCTAATTTTTTGTATTATTAGTAGAGACGGGGTCTCACCGTGTTAGCCAGAATGGTCTTGATCTCCTGACGTCGTGATCCGTCCGTCTCGGCCTCCCAAAGTGCTGGCATTACAGGCGTGAGCCACTGTGCCCGGCCACTTCAGCCCTTTTTATTTGAAGTTTCATCTCTACTGGATAACCACAGCTTACTTTTATATTGTTTGTCATAGTTTACACAAGCATGTGAACAATCTTATTCTTTTCAAAAAACTGTCTTTTGGGTTTGGTGTATTGTGTTTGTTTTCTTTGTAATTTCTACTTTCTAATTTTCTGTTTCTTTTGGGTTTATTTTGCCTTTCTTTTAGACTTCTTAGGAATGCGCGTAGCTTATTAATTTTCAGATGTTTTTCTACGTAAATATTTAAAGCTTTCTTTCAAACTTCTTAAGAATGTGCGTAGCTCATTAATTTTTAGATTTTTTTTCTATATAAGCATTTAAAGGTATAATTTTCCCTGTAAGCTTTAGCTCCATCCCCCCATAAGCATTTTGACACACTTTATCATACTTAATTGTCTTTCTTTTTTCTTTTTCTTTTTTTTTTTTTTTTTTTTTTGAGATGGAGTCTTGCTCTTTTGCCCAGGCTGGAGTGCAGTGGCATGATCTCAGCTCACTGCAACCTCCACCTCCTGAGTTCAAGCAGTTCTCCCACCTCAGCCTCCCGAGTAGTAGCTGGAATTACAGGCATGCACCACTATGCCTGGCTAAGTTTTTGTATTTAGTAGAGACAGAGTTTCACCATGTTGGCCAGGCTGGTCTCAAACTCCTGACTTCAGGTGATCCTCCTGCCTTGGCCTCCCAAAGTGCTGGGATTACAGGCATGAACCACTGTGCCCGGCCCATACTTAATTGTCTGGATAATCTTGTATGTTAGGTAGGGTAGATACATTTTACAGATGGGGAAACTGGGGCTCAGAAAGGTGAGTGGCTTACTCAGTATAACTTAGCAAGAAATTGGCAAAGCTGGACTTTTGGTCTTCAAGGCATTGCTCCTTTTTCAAACCAATGCTGCTTCTGAGACCATAGATTCTTATAATCGCCTTTCCTGTGATGTGTTTGCTTTCTTTCCTAGTTTCTGCTTTGAGGGAAGAAGGTGATTGTTAATTATTGTTGAGCAGAGGTGGAAGGACAGTTAGAAGTAACAGGAGGTATAAGGCAAAGTAGAAGGGAAAGTATGGCAAATGCTAAGGAATGATGAGCCGTCTTATTTGTTAATGCACTGGACACAAGAGGGGTAATCACCAGAGTGAGACTGGAGAGATGACCTATGGTTAGATCATGGAGTAGTTTAGAATTTGTTTTATAGGCAACATGGAATTGATGGGCGCTTTTTTTTTTTTTTTTTTTTTTTTTTTTTTTGACGGAGTCTCGCTCTGTCATCCAGGCTGGTGGCACAATCTTGGCTCACTGCAACCTTCACCTCCCAGGTTCAAGCGATTCTCCTGCCTCAGCCTCCTGAGTAGCTGGGACTACAGGCACGCGCCACCACATCCTGCTGATTTTTTGTATTTTCAGTAGAGACAGAGTTTTACCATGTTGGCCAGGCTGGTCTCAAACACATGAACTCAATTAATCCACACGCCTCAGCCTCCCAAAGTGCTGGGCTTACAGACATGAGCCACCGTGCCTGGCCGATGGGCCCTTTTACTGAGGAGCATCCATCAGACCTTTGACTTCAGGAATGGTACTCTAGCACTGTATCAAAGACATGGCCTGTAGACAGGGAGGATCAGTTAGGTCTGTAGTAGAACTCTATGGGAAAGGGTAATGAGGATTAGAACTGTTTGTGTCAGTCGATCACACAAGAGGAGTAAATGGTCAGACTTGTTGCACTGGATTTTATAGGACTTGGTGACTTACTGGATTTGTAGGGCAGATTGAAGAGGGATGGGTAAAAGCCCAGGAAGATCATGAGATCTTTTACAAAGGTGGGATGAACAGGATAGGGAGTGGATGGGGGAGTGAAAGATATTTTTGGCTTTGGTACAATAAGTCAGGCCATTGTTTCCTCCTTGATACTGACCTTTGTATGTTGAGTAGTGGGATAGTAGTGCAAGAACTGGTTATTATAGAACACGGAGGTTTGGCTGTTGGAGAACAGCACCATGACTTTGTCTTCAAACCAACCTTCAAGTGAGGAGAAGGTAGTGTTTTTTGTTTATAACATGTTAAAGGACCCATGACATGTTGTGAGACATTTTGGATTTGGTTTTTCATCCCCCTCTTTTTCTTTTCTCCTGATATCTGTCCTTAGCTTTCTCTGTTCTTTCAGAATGGTAGGGAAAGTTGGGTGTTAACACGTTTAGGGTCTGTTGTTATTAAAGGTAGGGGTTCAAAATGTGATACCTCTGGGATTGGCTTTCCTTATATAATAGTTTTTCTTTCTTTCATTCATTCAGTCTTCTTTTTTTTTTTTTTGAGACAGGGTCTCACCCAGGATCACCCAGGCTGGAGTGCAGTGGCGTGATCACGACTCACTGCAGCACCCCAGGGTCAGGTGGTCCTCCCACCTTAGCCTCCCAGGTAGCTGAGACTACAGGTGTGCGTCACCATGCCCAGCTAATTTTTGTATTTTTAGTAGAGACGGGTTTCACCATGTTGGCTGGGCTGGTCTCAAACTCCTGACCTCAAGTGATCCACCCACCTCGGCCTCCCAAAGTGCTGGAATTACAGGCGTGAGCCACCGCTCCCGGCCTTACTTCACTCTTTAAGCCTGCAGTAGACTCTTACTTAATGGTTGATGGCTCTGTCAACTGTCCGTGATAGGGAGCCCAGACCAAGAGAGATGTCCAAGGGTCTTTCAGTCTGTACAAATGGCAAAAATCCTAATATTATTTCTCCAAAGTAGTTTCTTGTCCTCCTGCAGCAGAGAAACATGGGAGAAAAATAACAAGAAGAAACCTGGGCTTGAATATGCACTAAAGATTGGAGGGTAAAGGAGACTCTTAGAATTTAATATGTTTTCTTTGTTTAACAAGAGCTTCATGTTTCTTATTCATTCAGATTTATGGATCCAGTTCCTAGTTTCACTCCAAAATTTCAGCTATTTTCTAGATATATGTAAAATCTTAGTTAATAATGAGATTCCCCTTCCCACTACCACTTGCATTTCTTTTAGGCTACCCTTTTTCGTATGTGAATATTTGCAAGGAAAAACCGGATGTCCCAGTTCTTTTCCTCCAGTGCTTTTACTTTATTACCTGTGCTGGGTTTCCTTGGTCTTTGGTTCTCCAAGAAGGTATCCTGAGCCACCACCATCCTTTTCTTCTGAGAACACACTGCTCATCCAAATTGTTTGGCCTACGTTGTGGACAGCCATGTTCAGCTAAGACAAGAGTAGGGCTTTTCTTGCCAGGGTGCAGTGGCTCACGCCTATAATCCCAACACTTTGGGAGGCCAAGGCAGGCGGATCAGTTGAGGTCAGGAGTTCGAGACCAGCCTGGCCAACATGGTGAAACCCCATTTCTACTAAAAATACAAAAATTAGCCGGGCGTGGTGGCAGGCGCCTGTAATCCCAGCTACTTGGGAGGCTGAGACAGGAGAGTTGCTTGAACCCAGGAGGCGGAGGTTACAGTGAGCCGAGATTGCGCTATTGCACTCCAGCCTGGGGGACAAGAGCAAGACTTCATTTCAAAAAAAAAAAAAAAAAAAAAAAACCCCACAAAACCTAGGGCTTTTCTCAAGAATTTTATAACAAATCAAAGTCCAGGTCAGAAACTACAGACATAAGTAACTTACTGATTATTCTAAGAATGACTGCTTGCCAAAGAGTTTTATTTCCAAACTTAGTTCCTCCATTTGTGGTTGGGGGTAACTGGGAGTTTATGGAGCTTTAGGATGAACTTGACAAACTTGTTAGAATGTCAGTTTTACTGGAAGATTGGTGAAGTGGTGTCAAGGTTAGGAGGTTCGGTACTTTAACTGGTAAGGAATTTAAATGTTTTTAATAATGAAAATTATGACATAGAAATCAAAATTCACATACGTTTTTTGAGATGAAATAAGCTATTTTGGCTGGGCGCGGTGGCTCATGCCTGTAACTCCAGCACCTTGGGAGGCCAAGGCAGGTGGTTCACCTGAGGTCAGGAGTTAGAGACCAGCCTGGCCAACATGGAGAAACCCCATCTCTACTAAAAATACAAAACTTAGCTGGGTATGGTGGCCCATGTCTGTAGTCTCAGCTACTTGGGAGGCTGAAGAACGAGGATCGCTTGAACTCGTGAGGCAGTGGTTGCAGCGAGCCGAGATCGTGCCATTGCACTCCAGCCTGGGTGACAGAATGCAGTGGTGCTCACCTGTAATCCCAGGTACTCTGGAGGCTGAGGCAGGAGATTCGCTTAAACCTGGGAGGCGGAGGTTGCGGTGAGCCGAGATCACGCCACTGCACTCCAGCCTGGGCTACAGAGCGAGACTTTGTCTCAAAAAAAAAAAAAAAAGAATGAATATCAAAATAATTATGCTGAGTGAAAGCCAGAACTCCTGAGAGAGAGAGAAAGAAAAAGAGCAAGAGAGTGAGAGAGAGAATGAGAAAGAATGTGGTATTAAGCCTAAAATACCCATGATATATATATATATATGTGTGTGTGTATATATATATATATGTGTGTATATATATATGTGTGTGTGTGTGTGTGTGTGTGTGTGTATATATATATATATATATATTTGGCTTATAACTCCCATAGTCTTTGTTACAGTCTTTTGTTATAATGGTGCATGTGTTAGGCCTCAGGGGGAGACCTCAGGAAACAGAATCTCTCTGACCTACTCCTGCCATCCTTTTACCTGCCCCAAGGCAGGACTCTAAAATTCCAAACCCTCCTTTCTAATTATGGGTCATAAGACCCTCATTCCAGAGAGGGTCCCACTCATACGCTGGGGGAAGTAATACTGACATGAAGCTTCCATAAAAATCCTAGAGGGGATGGGTGCGGTGGCTCACGCCTGTAATCCCAGCACTTGGGGATCACAGCACTTTTGGGAGGCTGAGGAGGGAGGATCACCTGAGGCCAGGAGTTCGAGACCAGCCTGGTCAATATGGTGAAACCCTGTCTCTACTAAAAAATACAAAAATTAGCTGGGCATGGTGGTGCACGCCTGTAATCCCAGCTACTCGGGAGGCTGAGGCAGGAGAATTGCTTGAACCCAGGGGGCAGAGACTGCAGTGAGCCAAGATTGTACCACTGCACTATAGCCTGGGTGACAGAGCGAGACTCTGTCTCCAACAAACAAAAAACCCTAGAGGACTGAGTTTGGAGAGCTTATGGATAGCTGAACATGCGGAGGTTTCTGGAGGGTGTCACACAAAGGGAGGGTATGGAAGCTCTGCACCCCTTCCCCCATCCCTTACCCTAGCATCTCCTCATCTGTATCCTTTATAATAAACCAGTAAACATTTCTCTGAGTTCTGTGAGTGGTTCCAGCAAATTAATTGAACCCAAAGAGGGCTTCATGGGAACCCCAACATGAAGCCTATCAACTGGTGTGCGTCGGGGGGCAGTCTTGTGACTGAGCACTTAAATGGATCTGACACTATCTGACATAATTTCCAGGTAGATAGTGTTAGAATTGATTTGGAGGACACCTAGCTGATACCTACTGCAGAATTAATTGGTCGCTTGGTGGTGGGGAGAAATCTCCACACATTTGGTCACTAGAAGTCTTCTGTGGTGATGATTGTTGTTGTAGTGGTGTGAGAGCAGAGGAAAAACATGGTTTTAGAGTTTTTCCAAAAGAGAGTGAGAGAGCAAGAGAGAATACATCATGTGATTCCATTTATATTAAAAGTCTAGAAAATACAAACCAATCCTTAATGACAGAAAGCAGCTTAGTGCTTTTCTAGGGATAGGATTAGGGGCAGAGAGAGGAGAGAAGGACTTTAAAGCGGCATAAGAAAAACTTTCAGGGGTGACACATGATCATTATCTTGATTTTTATTAGTTTTATATAAATAGTATACAATCAAACCTGAATAAAGGTGGGAAAAATGTGAAAAAAAATAATCCAAGTAGCTTTTCTTTTCTTTTCTTTTTTTTGGGACAGAGTCTCATGCTCTGTCACCCAGGCTGGAGTGCAGTGGCTCAGTCTTGGCTTACTACAGCCTCTGTCTCCCAGGTTCAAGCAATTCTCCTGCCTCAGCCTCCTGAGTAGCTGAGATTGCTGAGATTGTAGGTGTACCCCACCACACCCAGCTAATTTTTGTATTTTTTACCAAAAAAAAAAAAAAAAGGGCAAAAACCGCGATTACTTTTGCAACAACCAGATAGTAGAAATGGGATTTCACAATGTTGACCGGGCTAGTCTCAAACTCCTGGCCTGAAGTGATCCACCCGCCTCAGCCTCCTAAAGTGATGGGATTACAGGCATGAGCTACTGTGCCTGGCCCCAAGTAACTTTTTTATTTTTTATTTTTTTTGAGACGGAGCCTCACCGTCACCCAGGCTGGAGTGCAGTGGCGTGATCTCGGATCACTGCAACCTCCACCTCCTGGGTTCCAGTGATTATCCTGCCTCAGCCTCCCAAGTAGCTGGGACTGACTATGGGCACCTGCTACCATGCCTGGCTAATTTTTGTATTTTTAGTATATTTTTAGTAGAGACGGGGTTTCACCATGCTGGCCAGGCTGGTCTTGAACTCCTGACCTTGTGATCCGCCTGCTTCGGCCTCCCAAAGTGCTGAGATTACAGGCGTGAGCCACCGCACCTGGCCCCAAGTAACTTTTAATATAGTACTCTTGTCTATATAGCTTCAGTGGGACATATTATATGGAAAAAAGTACTGTAAAAAAGAAAAATCTTAGAGCTGGCCACAATGGCTTACACCTATGATCTTAGCACTTTGGGAGTCCAAGGCAGGAGAATCCCTTGAGCCCAGGAGTTCAAGACTGGCCTGAACAAAATAATGAGACTCCATCACTACAAAAAATTTAAAAATTATCCAGGCATGGTGTACAGCTGTAGTCCAAGCTACTCAGGAGGCTGAGGCAGGAAGACTCATTGAGTCTGGGAGGTCAAGACTGCAGTGAGCTGTGATCATGCCACTGCACTCCAGCCTTGGTGACAGAGTGAGACTCTGTCTCAAAAAAATAAAGTAAAACCTTGATCTTTACTTAGATTTATTGTTTGTAATGAAACTATTTGAAACTATTTTGAGGCTGGGTGCGGTGGCTCACGCCTGTAATCTCAGTACTTTGGGAGGCCAAGGCGCATAGATCACGTGAGGTCAGGAGTCAGAGACAAGCCTGACCAATATCGTGAAACCCTGTCTCTACTAAAAATACAAAAATTAGCCGAGTGTGGTGGCATGCACCTGTAATCCCAGCAATTCGGGTGGCTGGGACAGGAGAATCGCTTGAACCCAGGAGGCGGAGGTTGCAGTGAGCCAAGATCACGCCACTGTACTCCAGCCTCAGTGACAGTGAGACTCCATCTCAAAAAAACAAAAACAAAAACAAAACCCACCTATTTTGAGTATATTGTAGGACTGGGCAAATAAGTAAATGTATTGATGCTGTTGGAAACAAGGTTCTCACTGTGGGGCAGAGGAGATACAGATATGGAATAGAAGAACTGAAATTAAGAGTACTGTTATGAACACGATTTTTAAAATAAATGTATTTCCTAACTAATCACCATGCCTGGCTAATTTTTTTTTTATCTTTAGTAGAAAGGAGGTTTCACCATTTTGGCCAGGCTGGTCTTGAACTCCTGACCTTGTGATCCACCCGCCTCAGCCTCCCAAAGTGCTGAGATTACAGGCATGAACCACTGCGCCCGGCTTTTTTTTTTTTTTTGAGAGGGAGTCTCGCTATGTCCCCCAGGCTGGAGTGCAATAGCGTGATCTTGGCTCACTGCAACCTCTGCCTCAGGGGTTCAAGGAATTCTCCTGCCTCAGCCTTCTGAGTAGCTGGGGTTACACGCACGTGCCACCACGCCCTGCTAATTTTTGTATTTTTAGTAGAGATGGGGTTTCACCATGTTGGTTAGGCTGGTCTCGAACTTGTGACCTCGTGATCCGCCCACCTCAGCCTCCCAAAGTGCTGGGATTACAGACGTGAGCCACCGCGCCCGGGCTAATTTTTTATATTTTTTAGTAGAGACGGGGTTTCACCATGTTGGCCAGGCTGATCTTGAACTCCCGACATCAGATAATCTGCCCTCCTCGGCCTCCCAAAGTGCTAGGATTACAGGCATTTGCCACCACACCCAGCCAGAGATTCATTCTTGTATGTTTGAATAGCTCATTCCCTTTCATTACTCAGTAGTATTCCACTTTATGGATATGTATCCCAATTTGTTTATCCATTTCATGTGTTTTTTTGTTTTTTTGTTGTTTTTTTTTTCGAGAAAGAGTCTTGCCCTGTCGCCAGGCTGGAGTGCAGTGGTGCGATCTCGGCTTACTGCAACCTCTGCCTCAGCCCCCTGAGTTGCCAGGATTGTAGGCGCCTGCCACCATGCCCAGCTAAGTTTTTGTATTTTTAATAGAGACGCGGTTTCACCATGTTGGCCAGGCTGGTCTTGAACTCCTGACCTCAAGTGATCCGCCTGCCTTTGCATCCCAAAATGCTGGGATTAAAGACGTGAGCCACCACACCCAGCTTTGTTTTCTTTCTTATTTTTTTGGCCCAGGGCATTGTTTTTTTATTTTTGTTTTCAATTACAAATAAGACCACTATGAACATTCATGTACAAGTCTTTGTGGGGCATGTGCTTTCATTTTGCTTAGATAATGAATTCCGTCAGACTACTGACTATCCACATCATGGGGAAAAAATGGAATAGGATAAAACTGAGAATAGAACTTAGTGGCACTTTGGTAAAGATCTCCCTTTAGATGAACCATTATCATTCAGTGAATAAGGTTATTCATCTGTCTGTGAATCTACGTGACTACTCTCCAGCCCACAGATCACCATATGATCTATAGGACTATCAGAATAGACTTTGTCAAATGTGTTAGTGGAAATTAATTTCTTGTTAGTTAGGTACCTGGTAGTTAAGAGTCGGCTTGGAGTCGAAGTTGCTTAAAAAGCTGTGTAGCCCCATGAGTATCACTGCCTAAAACAATGGCAAGTCTCAAACAGACCAGGGGGCATTAGGAAAGCAATAACAGTGTGCGAGAGCAGCAGGGGAAAGAGATACATTCATCCAGTCATTCAATAATAATTATTGAGCACCTGCTGTTTGCCAGGCATTGTCGTGGGCATTGGGAATGGGGAACAAAAATGCCTCTCCTCATGGGATTTTCATTTTAGTAGGTAGAGATAAATGGTAAACAAGTATATAAACAATATGTCAGAAGGTATAAGTGTTATGAAGAAAGGGAGAGTAGGTAAAGTCTGGGGTGGTGCTTCCTTTTTAGAGACAGAGCTCACTGTAGCCTTGAACTCCTGGGCTGAAAGGATCCACCTGTCTTAGCCTCCAAGTACCTAGGACTACAGGTGCATACCACCACTCCAGCTAATTTTTAAAAAACTTTTTGTAGAGAGGCTGGGCCTAGTGGCTTATGCCTGTAATCCGACCACTTTGGGACACTGAGGCAGGAGGATCAGTTGAGGTCAGGAGTTTGAGACCAGCCTAGGCAACATAGTGAAGACCTCATTACTACTACAAAAAAAAAAAAAAAAAAAAGCCAGGCATGGTGTCAAGCACCTGTAGTCCCAGTTGCTTAGGAGGCTGAGGTGGGAGGATCACTTGAGCCAGGAGGTTGAGGCTGTAGTGAGTCAACTTTGTGCCACTGCACTCCAGCCTGGGTGACAGAGTGAGACTTTGTCTCAGAAAATAAATAAATAGGCTGGATGCAGTGGCTCACACCTGTAATCCCAGCACTTTGGGAGGCCGAGGCAGGTGGATCACTTGAAGTTGGGAGTTTGAGATCAGCCTGGCCAACAAGGTGAAACCCCGCCTCTACTAAAAAATACAAAGATTAGCTGAACATGGTGGTAGGTACCTGTAATCCTAGCTACTTGGGAGACTGAGGCGGGAGAATTGCTTGAACCTGGGAGTGGAGGTTGCAGTGAGCCAAGATTGTGCTGTTACACTCTGGCTTGGGTGACAGAAGGAGACTCTGCCTCAAAATAAATAAATAAATAAATAATAGGGAATCTCCAAGCCTACTGTGGCTTGGAAGGCTGCCTGAAAAATAAACAAATGAATAAATAAATAATTTTTGGGGTAGAGGTGGGGTCTTGCTCTGTTGCCCAGGCTAGTCTTGAACTCCTGGCCTTAACTTGTACTCCCACCTCAGCCTTCCAAGTGATGGAATTACAGATGTGAGCCACTGCACCTGAGGGAAGTAAGTGGGCTAGCCAGGTGGTTGTCTAGGGAAAAAATATTGTAGGCAAGTGGAATAGCAAGAGCTGTTGGAGAGTTTGGGCAGAGGAGTGACACAATCTGACTTTTAAAAGCTTATTCTGGCTGATATGGAGGTAATTGCCTGTATGGGGGATAAGGGATAAAGTAGGGAAACCAGCTAGGAAGATAATGCAGAAATCTAAGTAAGAGGCGATGATAGCTTGGTGGAGGTGGTGAAAGTAGTTGGATTCAGGATATGTTTTGAAGATAGAGCTAATAGGATTTGTTGGTCAAATGGATATAGATTGTATGAGAGAAATTAAGGATGAATTCCATGGTATTTGGACTGATAAACTGGAAGATGCCATTTTCTGAGCTTGGGAAGATTGTGGGGGAGGTACAGATGGGGAGCAGATAGGAGTTTGGTTTTGGAATCCATCGTTTAGGTTTGTAATCCATCTGGAATTGATTTTTGTATGATGTGAGATAGGGGTCAAGGTTCATCCCCCTCTGCCCCAGTATGGTTATCTAATTTATCTAGGACTTTGCATTGCATTTTTATTGTACCCTTTGTTGTAAACCAAGGTATAGTACATGTGTGGATCTGAACTCTCTATTTTGTTCCCACATAGCTTTCAGGGAAATGGGAGTAGAGGGGAAGTAGTGCAGTGTGGTGGCTTAGAGCATGGACCTTGTAGACAAATCAACCACCTGGAATCAAATCTTATCTTTACTCCTTAGGGCTTTGTGAGGTAAATGTCCTCATCTGTAAAATGGGAACAATTAGAGCATGATCTCCTTAATATAGTTGTTTGATGACTGAATTAGTTTATGTTCGCAAGGTGACTAAATAGCGGAAGAAGGATAATAAGCATTGCTGATGGGCTGGACCCAGTGCTCCTGCAGGAGTGACTGGAGTAGTTGTTAGATGGCCTTGGACATGACTGGGAATACAATGGGGTTCCTCTCTAGCAGGGCTCACCACAGACTTGGGACTGGGGCTGTAGGCAATAGTTGTTCTGCCAACCCTCCTGAAGGGAAGGTGGTTAAGTATTCTTTGAATTGTTATCTTCTGAAGTCTTCCAGTGGTCTTTTTTCTTTTTTTCTTTTTTTTGAGATGGAATCTCACTCTGTTGCCCAGGCTGGAGTACAGTGGCGTGATCTCGGCCCACTGCAACCTCTGCCTCCCAGGTTCAAGTGATTCTTCCTGCCTCAGCCTCCCGAGAAGCTGGGATTACAGGTGTGAGCCACCATACCTGGCTAATTTTTTTTTTTTTTTTTTGAGACTGAGTCTTGATCTGTCGCCCAGGCTGCAGTGCAGTGGCGCGATCTCCGCTCGCTGCAGCCTCCGCCTCCTGGGTTCAAGTGATTCTCCTGCCTCAGCCTCCCGAGTAGCTGAGATTACAGACCCCCACCACCATGCCCAGCTAATTTTGTATTTTTAGTAGAGATGGGGTTTCACCATGTTAGCCAGGCTGGTCTGAAACTCCTGACCTCGAGTAATCCACCCACCTCAGCCTCCCAAAGTGCTGAGATTACAACTGTGAGCCACTGCACCTGGCCTTCCAGTGGCTTTTGATACAATTTAGAATACAGAAACAGGATGTATTTGCTTGAATTTGAGGGTTTTTTTTTTTTTTTTTTGAGATGGAGTTTCACTCTTGTTGCCCAGGCTGGTATGCAGTGGCGTGATCTTGGCTCAGTGCAGCCTCCACCTCCCAGGTTGCAGCGATTCTCCTGCCTCAGCCTCCTTACTAGCTGGGATTACAGGTGCCCACCACCACACCTGGCTAATTTTGTAGTTTTAGTAGAGACAGGGTTTCACCATGTTTGCTAGGCTGGTCTCGAACTCCTGACCTCAAGTGATCCACCCGCCTCGGCCTCCCAAAGTTCTGGGATTACAGGCATGGGTCACTGCGCCCAGCCTGAATTTTATGTACTTTAGATACGTCTAGTTTTGAATGTAGTTTCTCAAACAGTAATTATAATTAGAGACAGCAGCAGCCATTGCCTTTCTCTCTGCAGCTTTACTGATAGGCACTGCAGTGTGGTAATGTTGGGCACACTGGAATGAAGAGAAAGGAACCTAGAGAAGGCTTTCTGGAGGAATAACCATTAAACTGAAACCTGAGAACATGAATTAGAATTAAGTCATTCGTAACTGTTGGATTAAGAGGTGGGGAAAGAAGGAGAGAGCATCAGCAAAGGCCCAGAGACCTGTGAGAGCACTGCGATTTTGAGGCTGGAGACCATCGAGCAGAAGCTGTGTGGGTGGAGGTGGTTGGCAGGAGGTAGTTGGTGGTCAGAGAGAAGGCTAGAGGTGAGCAATCAAAAGAACCTTTAAGCATTTCAGATTTTTATCCTAAGTGCAAAAGGGATAGGTGTAGTGTCTTAAAAGATCCTGGGTGGGTGAAGACTCACATGGTCAAATTCAGAAAGCTCACACTGTCTGCATTGTGGGTTGGAGAGGAAGCAAGTTAGGAGGCAGAGAGACTATGTGGAAGTTGGTGTAGGAATCCAGACCAGATAGTGGCAATGGTATGGAGAGGAGTAGCCTGAGATTCTTAGGTATACTCTTTAGGTACAGAATCCGTGATGGACATGAGAAAAGGCAAGGATGAGATTTTTTTTCCTTGATGGTGACATTGTGGAGTGTAGGATCTTGAGAGAGCCACTGCTCTAAAAATGCTCTTCTAGCTTAGAGACTTTGTACTGTGTTTTAGCAACTCCTCTTTTCATTGTTCCTTTTCACCCATCAGGAAGCACCATTACAGCGTGGCCCCAGATAGATACATATTTTCTTTGAATTTTATATCACCCTATGGAAAAAGTTTATTTTTTTTTTTATGTATCTATGTATGTATGTATTTATTTTGAGACAGAGTCTTGCTGTGTCCCTCAGTCTGGAGTGCAGTGGTGTTATCTTGGCTCGCTGCAACCTCCACCTCCCGGGTTCACGCTATTCTCTGGCCTCACCCTCCCAAGTAGATGGTATTACAGGCGCCTGCCACACACCTGGCTAATTTTTGTATTTTTAGTGGAAACAGGGTTTCATCATGTTGTCCAGGCTGGTCTCAAACTGCTGACTTCAGGTGATTCCCCCACCTTGGCATCCCAAAGTGCTGGGATTACAGGCATGAGCCACCGTGCCTGGCCTATTGTTTTATTTATTATTATTATTATTTTAATTATTATTATTATATTTTTAAAAGATATCTAACTTTTTTTGGATTTCTCTTTTTATTTTTTTTTATTTTTTTATTTTTTATTTTTTTATTTTATTTTATTTTTTTTAGTATTTATTGATCATTCTTGGGTGTTTCTCGGAGAGGGGGATTTGGCAGGGTCATAGGACAATAGTGGAGGGAGGGTCAGCAGATAAACATGTGAACAAAGGTCTCTGGTTTTCCTAGGCAGAGGGCCCTGCCGCCTTCCGCAGTGTTTGTGTCCCTGGGTACTTGAGATTAGGGAGTGGTGATGACTCTTAACGAGTATGCTGCCTTCAAGCATCTGTTTAACAAAGCACATCTTGCACCGCCCTTAATCCATTTAACCCTTAGTGGACACAGCACATGTTTCAGAGAGCACGGGGTTGGGGGTAAGGTTATAGATCAACAGCATCCCAAGGCAGAAGAACTTTTCCTAGTACAGAACAAAATGGAGTCTCCTATGTCTACTTCTTTCTACACAGACACAATAACAATCCGATCTTTCTTTCTTTTCCCCACATTTCCCCCTTTTCTATTCGACAAAACCGCCATTGTCATCATGGCCCGTTCTCAATGAGCTGTTGGGTACACCTCCCAGACGGGGTGGTGGATGGGCAGAGGGGCTCCTCACTTCCCAGACGGGGCGGCCGGGCAGAGGGGCCCCCCACCTCCCAGACGGGGCGGCGGCCGGGCAGAGGGGCTCCTTACTTCCCAGACGGGGTGGCCGGGCAGAGGGGCCCCCCACCTCCCAGATGGGGTGGCGGCCGGGCAGAGGGGCTCCTCACCTCCCAGACGGGGCGGCTGGGCAGAGGCGCCCCCCACCTCCCAGATGGGGCGGCGGCCGGGCGGGGGCTGCCCCCCACCTCCCGGACGGGGCGGCTGGCCGGGCGGGGGCTGCCCCCCTCCTCCCGGACGGGGTGGCTGGCCGGGTGGGGGCTGCCCCCCACCTCCCGGGCGGGGCAGCTGCGGGGCGGAGATGCTCCTCACTTCCCGGACAGGGCGGCTGCCGGGCAGAGGGGCTCCTCACTTCCCAGACGGGGCGGCTGCCGGGTGGAGGGGCTCCTCACTTCTCAGACGGGGCGGCCGGTCAGAGACGCTCCTCACCTCCCAGACGAGGTGGCGGCGGGGCAGAGACACTCCTCAGTTCCCACACGGGGTCGCGGCCGGGCAGAGGCGCTCTTCACATCTCAGACGGGGCGGCGGGGCAGAGGCACTCCCCACATCCCAGACCATGGGCAGCCGGGCAGAGACGCTCCTCACTTCCTAGATGGGATGACGGCCGGGAAGAGGCAATCCTCACTTCACAGACTGCGCCGCTGGGCAGAGGGGCTCCTCACATCCCAGACGATGGGCGGCCAGGCAGAGACGCTCCTCACTTCCTAGACGGGGTGGCGGCCGGGCAGAGGCTGCAATCTCGGCACTTTGGGAGGCCAAGGCAGGCGGCTGGGAGGTGGAGGTTGTAGCGAGCGGAGATCACACCACTGCACTCCAGCCTGGGCAACGTTGAGCACTGAGTGAGCGAGACTCCGTCTGCAATCCCGGCACCTCGGGAGGCTGAGGCTGGCAGATCACTCCTGGTCAGGAGCTGGAGACCAGCCCGGCCAACACGGCGAAACCCCGTCTCCACCAAAAAATACGAAAACCAGTCAGGTGTGGCGGCGCACGCCTGCAATCCCAGGCACTCGGCAGGCTGAGGCAGGAGAATCAGGCAGGGAGGTTGCAGTGTGCCGAGATGACGGCAGTACAGTCCAGCCTCGGCTCGGCATCAGAGGGAGACCCAGTCCAGCCTTGGCTTGGCATCAGAGGGAGACCGTGCAAAGAGGGAGAGGCAGAGGGAGGGGCAGGGGGAGGGAGAGGTAATTATTATTATTTTGAGACGGTAGTCTAGCTTTGTTGCACAGTTTGGAGTGCAGTGGTGTGATCTCAGCTCACTGCAACCTCCCCCTCCCAGGTTCAGGAAATTCTCCTGCCTCTCCCTCCTGAGTAGCTGGGATTACAGGTGCCCACCACCACACTCGGCTAATATTTGTATTTTTAGTAGAGATGGGGTTTCACCATGTTGGCTAGGCTGGTCTCAAGTGATCTGCCTGCTTTGCCCTCCCAAAGTGCTGGGATTACAGGTGTGAGCCACCGCGCCCAGCCTGTTTTATTTTTTAAATGGCTAGTCAGAAAAGGCTTTACCTGTCTTCTCTGACCAGAGTTTACTCTCCAGCTTTTTGCATTCACAGGGTTTCAACTAACGAGATAGGTCAGGAGGCTCATTACATGCATTAGTTTATTATTTTGCCAAGGCATGGCTTAAAATGATGCTTGCTTTATCCCTTCTCTTAGGCTGGGGTGTGGGAACTGGTAACTTGGCCCTGCCCTCCACAGCATATGCTCTTCAACCTACTCTGTTCTCTGCTCCCAAATTAGCAATTCTTATCATCATTAAGGTTCTGAAGGGATCATTTAAAATTTTCAGTTACACTTGAGTGCATTTTGTGGAGGAAATTATGGGCTATAGCAATATTCTTTAATTTGTGATTTTGTAAAGGTTTCTTATTTCTTTGCCTCTTGTGCTTTCCCAGCATGGTGTCTGCTGTGACATCTGATGCTCTGCTTGTGAAACCCCAGTCTTTGTTCAGTCCTTTTTTTCTCAACTACTGAATCCTTGTGGGCATTTGTGTGTGTGTGTGTGTGTGTGTGTGTGTGTGTGTGTGTGTGGTTTGTAGTCTCAGTGTTTCAAAGTGTTCACCTGAGTCCTCTCAAATAAAATAAACAGAATGAGCTATTTTTTCTCTTTGCCCATTCCTTCTTAAAAGGGACAGTAGTTTCCTCTCCTAGTTTCTTCTTGCTTGATGTGGCCACCTCACATGGGGCCTTAGAGGAGTTTGTGTGTTATGGAAAGATTTGTATACTATTCCATACCTCTGTTACCATTTAAAATGGATTTGGGGTAAAAAAAAAAAATTAGCCGGGCGTGGCGGCAGGCGCCTGTAGTCCCAGCTACTCTGGAGGCTGAGGCAGGAGAATGGCATGAACCCAGGAGGTGGAGCTTGCAGTGAGCCGAGATCGAGCCACTGCACTCCAGCCTGGGCAACAGAGCGAGACTCCATCTCAAAATAAATACATAAATAAATAAAATGGATTTTGGGGAGGGAGAAGCGATGTGATTCTGCACTATAACATAAGACTTTACCTGTCTGAGCCCTTAGGGAAGGGTCACAATCCCCCGAGGCTACAAACAGATTTGTTCTCATTATTATTACCTGTATCTCATTCATTATTAAAGAATGAATCTTTGGGACCGGGCATGGTGGCTCACGCCTGTAATCCCAGCACTTTGGGAGGCCGAGATGGGCGGATCACTTGAGGTCAGGAGTTTGAGACCAGCCTGGCCAACATGGTGAAACCCCATCTCTACTAAAAATACAAAAATTAGCTGGGCGTGCTAGCAGGCACCTATAATCCCAGCTACTCAGGAGGCTGAGGCAGGAGAATAAACCTGGGAGGCAGAGGTTGCAGTAAGCAGAGAATTGCTTAAACCTGGAGGCTGAGGTTGCAGTAAGCCAAGATTGTGCCACTGCACTCCAGCCTGGGTGACAAAAGCAAGACTCCATCTCAAAAAAAAAAAAAAAAAACAGAAAGAATGAATGAATCTTCTTTAATAATCTCCCCTTTTGGGATATAAAGATTCCTTTTGCTCCTCCAACTCTCAGCTCCCAGGCTCTCTGGAGATGCTAGGAGAGAGCTTTCTGGGTCTCCTTGAGAGAGGCTGCCAGTTGGAACCCCTAAGAGGGGCAGGAAGCCCAGCACCGATTGACATGACCCTTATACCAGCTCTAAATCCAACACATCAGGCAACTGCAGCATCTGGAACCATTTTATTCCTTCTAATGCATAATGGCAGGTGGAGGAATCACTGGCCCTTTAGTGATTCTGAGGTTTCCAAGAATAATATGCTTAAGGCTTTAATGCTATTTTTATTTCTTCCCATGTTTTACTCATACTTTGGGAAGTAAGCAAGAAAATATTTTATCACCTCTGTTCTCCTATTCAGATACCTAGCCCATTCCTTTAACAGATTTTTTTTTTTTTCCCTTAGAGAGATGAGAGACCCTTGGAGGTAAAATTGTAAGAGGAGCTCTTGTTTCCTCTCCAACCTATTGTCACTTGAATCCTTTGGCAGTGCCTGGAAGGAAGGGTTCAGATGGGTTAACAGGGACCAAGGATTGCTTGTTGCCTTTTTTTTTTTTTTAATTTTTGTGAGTACATAGTAGGTGTATATATTTATGGAGTATATGAGATGTTTTGATACATGCATACAATGCATAATAATCGCATTATGGAAGGTGGGGTATCCATCTCGTCAAGCATTTACTGTTTATGTTGCAAACAATCCAACTATATTCTTTTAGTTATAAAAGCTGTGGTTCAATGCCTCAAAGTAGGTGGCTTTGCCTTAACTGTATGTGTATTGTCAGACTGAGGGCCTCTTTCATCCTTGTCAAGGGGAGTGTTAACCTTTTCTCCTTTCTTTCTTTCTTTTTTTTTTTTTGATTGAGATGGAGTCTCACTCTGTTGCCCAGGCTGGAGTGCAGTGGCACAGTCTTGGCTCACTGCAACCTCAGCCTCCGGGTTTAAGCAATTCTCTGCCTTCACCTCCCGAGTAGCTGGGATTACAGGTGCCAGCCACCACGCCCGGCTAATTTTTATATTTTTACTAACGACGAGTTTGACCATCTTGGCCAGGCTGGTCATGAACTCCTGACCTCGTGATCCACCCGCCTCGGGCTCCCAAAGTGCTGGGATTACAGGTGTGAGCCACCGCGCCTGGCCTACCTTCTCTCCTTTCATACAGTACTTTTGAATGAGCTGCAGCCATTTTCAGGTAGGACCTAGCTCTATGTTCTCTGGTCCCTGGGCGGTAGAGTTTCCCATCCTTAATGTGTGGTGATGGCTACGTATAAGATTGCTTCTGGAATTCTGGGAGATGGAAGGAATGAGGGAAATCAAACTAAATATGTGATTCAGCATTTATGTTTGGCTTTGGTATAAGGACTTTGGTTAAAAACATAAAATTAGTGGATCTTTTCTCATAACTGATGGAATAATGAAGTTGAGTGATTGGAGAAAGTGGGGGAGTACTTTTAAAAATCAGCTCAAGGCCGGGTACAGTGGCTCATGCCTGTAATCCCAGCACTTTGGGAGGCTGAGGCGGGCAGATCACCTGAGGTCAGAAGTTTAAGACCAGCCTGGCCAACATGGCAAAACCCCATCTTTACTAAAAAAACAGAAATTAGCTGGGCATGGTGGGCACCTGTAATCCCAGCTACTTGGGAAGCTGAGGCAGGAGAATCGCTTGAACCTAGGAGGTGGAGGTTGTGGTGAGCTGAGATTGCACCACTGCACTCCAGCCTGGGTGACAGAGCAAGACTCTGTCTCAAAACAAAACAAAACAAAACAAACAAACAAAAAAGAATCAGCTCAAATTTCTGAAGCAGTGATGCAGTGATGTTAGGTTTGGATATGTGAGATAACAGTGTTTTACATATTTGTAAGTGTTATTTTTGTATTCTAGATATACTAATCCTTTGTTACTTATATACTTATGTTGTTAGTAACAGCTAGTCTGTGGCTTATGTTTTAACTTTGTTCATGATGGTCTTTGTTGTAAAAAAAAAAAAAAAAAACCTGTAATTTTATTGTAGTCAGTTTAAGCAATCTTTTCCATTGTTTCATAGTCATTTATTTCATGAGTGAAAAAGTAAGTGGACATAGGAGAGGCATACTTTAAAGATTGGAATATGATTTTCATCAGTGTCTTCAGTTTTAATTTGGATTTTAAAAGTTTGGACTTTCTGAAATTTTTCTTGATATTACCCTGTCTGTAAGATTTTAGTAGAAAAGGCATGTACTTTATTTTATTTATTTATTTTTTTGAGACGAGTCTCGCTCTGTTGCCCGGGCTGGAGTGTGGTGGCGCAATCTTGGCTCACTGCAAGCTCTGCCTCCCGGGTTCATGCCATTCTCCAGCCTCAGCCTCCTGAGTAACTGGGACTACAGGCGCCTGCCACCACACCCAGCTAATTTTTTTATATTTTTAGTAGAGATGGGGTTTCACCACGTTAGCCAGTGTGGTCTCCATCTGACCTTGTGATCCACCCGCCTCGGCCTCCCAAAATGCTGGGATTACAGACATGAGCCACCACGCCCGGCCCCACGCATGTGGTTTCATAACTCTGTGTTATTCAGAAATTTAACTAGAATCCTTCAAGTTATCAAACTTAGTCTTTCTTCTTTTACCTCTAGCTGAGACGTTCCCACTTTGTGGCTGGTTTGCTGAGAACATGGTAATTCTTGCCTATGGTTGCAGTGGTGGCCAAAAATCATCGTGATGCTGAGCAGAGTCAAAATTAATTCTGTCTTCAATACAGGGATAGAATTTAAGATGGTTAAAAAGGCATGTAGGCCGGTCGTGGCGGCTCACGCCTATAATCCCAGCACTTTGGGAGGCTGAGGCGGGTGGGTCACGAGATCAGGAGTTCGAGACCAGCCTGGCCAACATGGTGAAACCCTGTCTGTGGTAGAAATACAAAGATTAGCTGGGCATGGTGGCGTGCACCTGTAATCCCAGCTACGGGAGGCTGAGGCAGGAGAATTGCTTGAACCTGGGAGGCGGAGGTTGCAGTGAGCTGAGATCATGCCACTGCATTCCAGCCTGGGCGATAGAGTGAGACTCTGTCTCCAAAAAAAAAAAAAAAAAAAGGTACGTAGTTGTGTTTAAGAATGATTGTTTTGTTACTACTGTTTTAGCGTTAATTCTGCTAAAGCAGTGATTCGCAACTGGGAATGATTTGGCCCTGAAGGGGACATTTGTCAATGTCTGGAGATATTTTTGGTTGTTACGATCAGGATGCTACTACTGGAATCGAGTGGATAGAGGTCAGGGATGCTGCTAAACGTCCTACAGCATGAGGATAGCTTCTCCCACCACAGCATTATCTAATCCCAAATGTTAGTAGTGCTAAGGTTGAGAAACCCTGTGTAGCCCTGCTATCTTTTAAAAATGGTTTGTAGTTGTTCCCATCCCTTGTGAGAGCTGAGTGGGAAGGCTGGCCATTTCATTTCTTCATGTTCTGTTTCTTTTTTTTTTTTCTCTAGAAACAGAGTTTTGCTCTGTTGCCCAAGCTAGAGGGCAGTGGAATGATCTTAGTTCCCTGTAACCTAGA
This sequence comes from Homo sapiens, assembly GCF_000001405.40. Classification (NCBI taxonomy): domain Eukaryota; kingdom Metazoa; phylum Chordata; class Mammalia; order Primates; family Hominidae; genus Homo; species Homo sapiens. The sequence continues at coordinate 51,614,249 of NC_000003.12, forward strand.
TCTCCTGGCCTCCAGTAATCCTCTCATGTTAGCCTTCCAAGTAGCTATGACTATAGGCATGCGCCACCATGCCCAGCTAATTTTTTTTTATTTTTTGTAGATACAGGCTTTTGCTGTGTTCCTCAGCCTGGTCTCGAACTCCTGACCTCAAGCGATCTTTCTGCCTCAACCTCCCAAAGCGCTGGGATTACAAACATGAGCCACCCCACACCTGGCTTAGGTTGTTTCTTGAGCAGTCAGAATGATCTTGGTCCCCTTGCTCTCAGATCTCTTTTTTTTTTTTGAAACAAGATCTTGCTCTGTTGCCCAGGTTGGAGTGCAGTGGTGCAATGATAACTCACTGCAACCTTGAACTCCTTGGCTTAAGTGAACCTCCCATCTTGGCCTTCTAGTAGCTGGAAATATAGGCATGTGCCACCATATCGGGCTAATTTTTTAAATTTTAGTAGAGACAAGGTATCATTGTGTTGCCTGGGCTGGTCTTGAACTCCTGGGCTCAAGCAATCTTCCTCTCTTGGCCTTCCAAAGTTCTGGGATTACAGGCGGGAGCCACTGGCGCCTGGCCTCTAATCTCATTTTTAAAGATATATTTAAATTAGAACCCCCTAACAGTCTTTAATATTAATGCTATGATGATTTTTTTCATCCCAGGGTGTAAATATGATGAGGAATTTTTTTTTTTTCTCAAACTGGCTTCATGACTATTTCAAAGGTGAATTACATTTTGGTTTGCATGAGTTTTTAATTAATTAATATTTTATTTTATTTTATTTTATTTTTCTGTGATGGAGTTTTGCTCTTGTTGCCCAGGCTGTAGTGCAATGGCGTGATCTTGGCTCATTGCAATCTCTGCCTCCTGAGTTAAAGCGATTCTCCTGTCTCAGCCTCCCAAATAGCTGGGATTACAGGCACCCACGACCATGCCTGGCTAATTTTTTGTATTTTTAGTAGAGATGGGGTTTCACCATGTTGGCCAGGCTGATCTTGAACTCCTGACCTCAGGTGATCCACCCGCCTTGGCCTCCCAAAGGGCTGGGATTATAGGCGTGAGCCACTGCTCCCAGCCGAGCTTTTAATTTATTTAGGCGTCTTGGCAAATATATTGGCTTTGTATAACATGAAGAGTTAGGGAAAGCGTGGTCCACAGAGAATATCTACGTGTGGTTGTGGATGATAAATAAACATATTGAATAAGATCTGATATACCTCAGTGGATTTTTTATTCATACATATTTTACTCTAGCGGCAAAATTTTAAAACTAAGCTCATTTAAAATTAATTATTGAATGTCTGTTATGTGACAGGCATTTTTGTCAGGCATAATGATACAATGGTGAATGAGATGGACATAATCCCTGCCCTCAAGGAGCTGCATTCTAGAAGGGAAGACAGATGACAAATGTTTGATCAAATTACTAAAATTGGTAAGATCTTGGTAAAAATCATGTAGACAATAAAGGAGTGAGCCCCAGCAGTGGGGAGGAAGGGCCTATTTCAGCTAGAGTGGTCAGGAGTCTTCTGAGGAGGCAGCATTTGTACTTGTCTTTTCAAAACAATCAAGTTTTGGTTGTGGTTTTGTTCTTTTTTTAAACTTATGTCTGGTTTATAAAGAATATTACAATGTTTTTATTCTTAACATTATTTTTCATTTCTCTGTTTTATTAATCTGCTTTTTGTTTTCTTCCTACTACTTTTCTGGGGTTTAATTTCTAGTTCTTTCTCTAATTTCTTCTTTTTCAAAAAAAGTTTTTTAAAATTGATGCATAATATACATATTTGGGGGGCACACGTGATAATTTAATACATTCATATTTTTCAAGATCAATTCAGTATAATTGGGATATCCATAACCTTCAATATTTATCTTTTCTTTATGCTAGAAACATTTAAATTATTCCCTTCTAGCTATTTTGAAATAATACAGTAGAGTATTGTATAGTCATCCTACTGATCTATCAAACACTAGGTCTTATTTCTTCTATTATACTGTATATTTATACCCATTAATCAATCTCTCTTCATCCTCTCTTCCCTACCCTTCCAACTTCTGGTATCTCTAATTTCTTGAGAAGAAAATTTATATCATTGATTTTTTACCTTTCATTCTTTTTAAACGTGTTCATTTAAGGCTATGTATTTCCTTCTAAGCATAACTTTAGCAATATCGTAAGTTTTTTTTTAAAAAGTCAGCATTAATGTGTAATTTAAATACAATAAAACTCACATATTTCACATGTACATGACTGTTGGTTGTATACATCCAGGTAATAATCAAGGTAAAGAAAATATCCACTGTCAGCTGGGCGTGGTGGCTCATGCCTGTAATCCCAGCACTTTGGGAGGCTGAGGTGGATGGATCACCTGAGGTGAGGAGTTTGAGACCAGCCTGGCCAACATGGTGAAACCCCGTCTCTACTAAAAATAGAAAAATTAGCTGGGCTTGGTGGTAGGCGCCTGTAATCCCAGCCACTTGGGAGGCTGAGGCAGGAAAATTGCTTGAACCCAGGAGGCGGAGGTTGCAGTGAATGGGGATCATGCCACTGTATTCCAGCCTGAGTGACAGAGTGAGACTCTGTCTCAAAAGAAAAGAAAAGAAAAGAAAAGAAAATATCCATGGTCCCAGAAATTCCTCTTTTTGGGCTTTAATTTTCCAGGCAACCAATGAACTGATTTCTGTCATTATAGATTAGCTTTGCCTATTCTAGAATTTGATGTAAATGAAATTATACAATACATATTCTTTTGTGTATGGCCTCTTTTGCTCAGCATAATGTCTGTGAGATTCATCTGTGTTGTTGCACGTGTCCATAGTTTGTTCCTTTTTATTGTTTAGTATTCCAATTGTATGAGTGTACTAAAACTTGTTTATCCATTCATCTGTTGATGGACACTTGACTCTTATGAATAAAGCTGCTCTGAACGTTCATCTAGAGATGGTTTGCTGTTTTTTTCAAAATTATAGATATGTTTTCGTTTCTCTTAGATAAAATACCAAGAAGTGAATCACTGGGTTATATAATAGATGTGTTTAACTTGATAAGAAACTGCCAAAGTGTTTCCCAAAGTGATTATACCACTCTTTACTCCTGCCAGCAGTGTATGAGAGTTCCAGGTGCCCCACATCTTCGTTAGCACTTGTTATTAGTTTTAGTTATTCTAGTGAGTGTCAAATGTCATCTCATATTTTAAATTTGCATTTTTCTAATGATATTGAGCATCTTTTCACATGTTCATTGGCTATTTGTATGTCTCTTTTTGTAAAGTATCTGTTTCTTCTCATTTGCCCCTTTTTATTGGATTCTGTGTAGTCTTACTGAATTGCAAGAGTTTTAGAAATATATTCTAGGCCAGGTATGGTGACTCATGTCTGTAACCCCAGAGATTTGGGAGGCTGAGGCGGGAGGATTACTTGAGGCTAGGAGTTTAAGATCAGCCTGGGCAACATAGTGAGACCCTGTCTCTACAAAAAATTTAAAAATTAGCCAGGTGTGGTAGTGCTTGCCTGTAGTCCCAGCTGCTCAGGAGAACTACTTGACAGGAGGATCACTTGAACCTGGGAGTTTCAGGCTGCAGTGAGTGAGCCATGATTGTGCCACAGCACTTCAACTCTCGTGACAGAGCAAAATTCTGTCTCTAAAATATAAATACACACACCACATTTTAAATATATAATAAATAATGTATATTTAATACATACATGTTTCTAGATATGTAAGTCTTTTTTTTTTGAGACGGAGTCTCACTCTGTCGCTCAGGCTGGAGTGCAGTGGTGCTATCTCGCCTCATTACAACCTCCGCTTCCTGGGTTCAAGCAATTCTCTTGCCTCATCCTCCGGAGTAGCTGGGACTACAGGCACGTGCCACCATGCCCGGCTAATATTTTGTATTTTTTTTTTTTTTTTTTTTAAGTGGAGACAGGGTTTCACCATGTTAGTAGCCAGGATGGTCTCGCTCTCCTGACCTCGTGATCTGCCTGCCTTGGCCTCCCGAAGTGCTGGGATTACAGGCGTGAGTCACTGCACCAGATTGTGGCCAGATTGTGACTTGATTTTCCTTTTTCTGTGGGTGTCTTTTGAGGAGCAGAGGTTTTAAATTTTGATGAAGTACATTTTACCAGTTTTTTTCTTTGTGATTTGAGCTTTTTGTGTCCTGCTTTATTAAATCTTTATTACAAAATTAGCCAGATGTGATGGTGTGTGTCTGTGGTCCAGCTACTCAGGGGCCTGAGGTGGGAGGATTGGTTGCTTGAATCCTGGAGGTGGTGGCTGCAGTGAGCATTGATTGTGCCACCGTACCCCCGACTGGGTGACAGAGCAAGACTCTGTCTGAAAAAATAAAGAAAGAAGGACAGAGAAACTATACTTAAGAAGTGTATCCAAGGAACTACAGTGGAGAGCCACATCCATATGTCAATTTGAGTTAGACAATAAGATCTTGGACTTTGAGCTGACGCTGTAATGACTTGGGGGGGTTCTTCAGAGAGGGAAGTATATTTTGCATATGACAAGAATGTGAGTTACTGTGGCCAGAGAGTGGAATATGGCAGACTTTTTTCCATAGATAAATAAAACAATATCTTCTATCCCACATGGTTTTCTAGAGTTGACCTTGATACTCCTCCAATTGAGAGGTGGATTCTAATTTCTTTCCCTTGAATGTGGGTGGGAAATTGCTGAAGCTGCTGTGGGATAATATTCTAAGATTTTTCTAAGCTCTGTTTAATGGAGAAGGTCTGCTAGGTATGCCTTTAAGATCTTCAGGAGGCCTCTTGTCTGTTGGAAAAGGTCTGTGAGGCACTATCTTTTTTGTTTGTTTGTTTGTTTGTTTGAGACAGAGTCTTGCTCTGTTGCCCAGGCTGGAGTGCAGTGGCGTGATCTCAGCTCACTGCAACCTCTGCCTCCCGGGTTCAAGCAATTCTCCTGCCTCAGCCTCCTGAGTAGCTGGGATTATAGGCACCCGCCACCACGCGTGGCTAATTTTTTGTATTTTTAGTAGAGGTGGGGTTTCACCATGTTGGTCAGGCCGGTCTCGAACTCCTGACCTCGTGATCCGTCTGCCTTGGCCTCCCAAAGTGCTGGGATTATAGGCGTGAGCCACCACGCCTGGTCTAGGCACTATCTTAAATATTTTTGAGACTGTAACAAAAGGTCTCATAGGCCTGCTCTGGATTCAATCTCTGTTTTTCATATTATTGCAGGTGACAGAGTTGCTAAAGTTTCTGACACAGTGCAATGTGTCTCTCTTTTTTTTTTTTTTCCAGTTTCCTATAACATTTTCCTTTATACTTTACCAACAATGTCCTTGATGACCTGTAGGCTTTTACTACCGGTCTCCTCATGGCCTTTCCAGTTTTCCATTCACCACATTATCTCAAATACAGTGTCATGGTTTAATTTTTTTGTGTGTGGCAGGACCGATATACCAAATTTCTATTTCAATTACTACTGGTGTGTCATAAATCACCCTGAAACTTAGTGGCTTTAAACAATATTATTTCTCTTGGCTTCTGAAGGTAAGCAATTTAGGAAGGTCCTGGCTGGCAGTCTAACAGCTTAGTCTATCTACATTGCTCTTGACTGAATTTTCTGGGCTATGGATCATATTTTCCTGTTTCTTTGCATATCTAGTGAATTTTGATTAAACAATGCATATCTCTGTGCATTATGTATTGTAGAGACTGCATTCTGCTGTTGTCCTCTGTATTTTTGTAAACTAAGAGTGAGATCTTAAGGTGTGTTCAGGCTCCGGTGCAGAGTTTTTGGCACACAGACATCGTAGCTTGTAGTGTGTGCATCCAGTTGCATCACATCAGGAGAAATATGGTGAGACTTTGAGTCTTTTTTTTTCATTTTTTTGTTTTAATAGACAGGGTCTTGCTCTGTTGCCCAGACTAGAGTGTGGTGCAGTGGTATAACCTTGGCTCCCTGTAGCCTCAACTTCCTGGGCTCAAGCGGTTCTCCCACCTCAGCCTCCAGGGTTGCTACAGGCCTGCACCACTATGCTCAGCTAATTTTTTTTTTTTTTTTTTTTGTAGAGATGGCAGTTTCTCTATGTTGCCCAGTCTGGTCTTGAACTCCTGGGGTCAAGTGATCCTCCCACCTTAGCCTCCCAGAATGCTGGGATTACAGGCGTGATCCACTGGGCCTGGTCCTACTGGTCTTTTTTTTTTTTTTTTTTTTTTTTAACTTTTAGGTTCAGGGGTACATGTGTGGGTTTGTTATATAGGTAAATTGCATGTCTCAGGAGTTCAGTTCATCTTTTTTATACAATAGGAGAGAGAAGAGATGGAACCCCTGGGGAAAGAGTCCTGGAAGTGTTTGTACCTTGTACCTTCATTGAATGTAACGTAGGAATTTTTCTTTCAAAGCTACTCATTTGCCTAGTCAAATTTATAGTGGTGGTGTTCATAATTCATTCCCAAGAAACTTATGTAAGTGTTCTTTGGTGTTTATATAACTCTTGTGGTTACTGCTCACAGCTGGCTCACGTGAAGGAGAAAGTTCAGGGGTATTTGCAACTAGGCCTGATTCTGTAATCCTGAACTGTGGTAGTAATAGTCATTGACTTTTAAACTATGCAGATACTAATTTAATTTACATTTGTTGTCTGTCAAAGCACATGTCTCTTTACCTCCTTATTGAACTTTTTTTCTTTTCTCTCAGTAACTGTTGGTGGGTTATAGTCTAGAATCTGGGGAAGGGCTATTTTTTGGAAGTTACATTATTTTGCTTAGGTTGTGAATTCACTTGATTCAGTGTTCAGAAGGTAAAAAAAAAACAACACAGTGAAAAGTTACATTTTGACTGAAGGAAATTTAATTATAGAATTTTTGAAATAACAGATTTTTTATTAAGAATAGTTTATTAAAGGTATAGCATCTATTATAATGTTATGTAAAAACCATAATCATCATGAAACAGCAAAAATGAAGCACTTGAAAGACATGTATTTACATGACAATGAACTTTAAATATTAGCACATCTGTAAACTAAATTCCTTTAATAAGCTAAAAGTAGTTGTTGAACCCAGAAGCTGAGGATTCATTCAAAGAATGCTGGGTGGTAAGGAACTGGTTTAGACATGTATCATCTGTATAAGGCATGAGAATTAAATATACTGTGCCTGATGATTTTAAAATTGTTACTGCACTTGGCCACATTCAGCCTCATGTCAGACAGGAGTTCACAGTGGGCCACAAGCCTTATAACTTGGGATGAATGTTTGATAATAAATCTGTTGGTGATATTGAAAGGTCAGCAGGTTCCATTCTTTCTCCTCCCGGGAACAGCCCATTCCACAAGGCAGAAGCCAGAACAAGGAAATACAGCAGTTGGCAAAAAGTTCCCCCCTGCCCAGCAGATCAATTTCAAACCCTCTGGACTTGCCCTCTGTTCTCTGACTCTGTCCTATCTGCCTACTCTCTAATCTTGCCTCCAACTGTTCCTCCAAGTGATTGCTCAATAAATTTGCTTGTGAAATAGAAACAAAACAAAAAAGACCAGGAGAGCATCAGAGGTCATTATCAGAATCAGGCCAGAGGACCCAGCAAAACACTAAGTTGAAGTGTGCCAACCCAGCCTCAAGTGTAGTCGGTATGTTGTAGGCCAAGTTGCAGTATTGGTGGAAGTAGTCATTTAGCAGTAGATATCCTCTCTTGGGGAGTCTGCTGCCCAGCCAACTGTTTGGGATGAGGAATTTGATGGCCTCCCCTTTTAGGAGGGAAGAATTCAGGGCTGTGAAGTAGGAAGAAGTTGACAGCAGTATTATGTGAAAATGCTGTGGAAGTGTTAGGTCTTTGGAGGGGTAGAGGGCCAGAAAGAATGATAGTTCTTTTAAAGGAAAACAGGGAATTGCTGAACTTGCTCAAATCTGATGTTTCAGGTGGAAATTGGAGAGCACTGTTTGAAGAGGTTAGTGAATTTGAGAGGGTAGCTAGTCACACTTGGAGCTCTACTTTGAAACTTCTCTTTTAGTTCTCATGTCTGGCTGGGCACATAAGCAATGGCCCTTTGTTTCCTCAGCAGGTAGAACATGTCCATGAACCAAGGCTCACACACGCAGTACATTCCTAGTGCTGCTTGCCACCCTAGCCTCTGCTTTCTTTGGGAGGCTTTTTGTAATAGGCCTATTACAGACCGGTGGTAATGGAGAAAGGAGTGTGACATTTTAACCTCTTGTTTATGTTAATGGTATTGCAGTGTCCCATCATGAGCATTTCTTGTCTGATGCCTTTCTTGACCATTTCTCCTTTGCTTTTTGAAAAGCAAAAGCTGTCTACCCGAAACCGTCTCTCAGTTGAGGGCCAAGGAAGTTGCTGCCAGTGCTGCTGCAGGGGAGTGAATCATCCTGGGCATCCACATGCGAGACCCACCCATCTGTCCACTTTTACAGTAATCACATTAGTCTCCCATGTCCACCCAAACACCAGGGCAGTGGAAAGTAGAATGCCAGGAAGGAGAGGGTTGGGAGTAGTCTTACCCAGGACAGGGGTTGACTTCTGTACCAGCATCCAGAGAAGGATCTTGGATCCTCACCTAAGTCTCCCTTGGATGAGGAGCTCCAGGAAGGGGACAGGAAAGTGGTTGTTGGGTTGGAAGGTCCTTCTTGTTGCTGCTTTACTTCCTTCATTTTAGCTGGTGCCTACCCATTCTGTTATTTCAAACCCAGGTCTCGCTCTTCCCAAGGAAGCGCCCCAATGCCCAGCCAGTAAGGCTGGATTTGGTGTTTTTTCCTCAAGTGTTACTGCTCTTGGGCACTTTCCATATAGCATATGTGTTTCCCCATGTGGTCTATTCCACTGTGCCTTGGCACAGGGCCTGGAACCTAGCAGATGTTCATATGTGTGTTGGGCTAAATTGAAAGCAGGGAGCAGGAGAGGCAACAGTGGCTGGTTTGTAGTAGTCTCACGTGGAGAGGTTTAACATGAAAGTGTAGTCTACAATTTCATCGAGGCAGTATGTGTGTGTAAGAAACATTCATTTTGTGACAACAAGATGCAGTTTGCACATGTCATTTCTGCTTCCCCCTTTGCTTTCTTATTTCTGATCTTTGATTGGGAAATATAATTGAGATTTGAATTCTCTACACAAATGTCATCACTCAGCATGTCTGACCAAGGCCCCCAAGCTTTGCATGCTCCCAGACCATTCAATGTAGTTGGGAGTATGGAATTCCACGGAGTTAGGCAGATAAGGGTTTGAAGAATAGTATCTTCCACAAGATAACCATTGACATCCCTATTTTGCAGATGTGGGAACTGTGGCTCAGAGAAGTTGCATCCATAAACATAGAGCTACAGGATTTAAAGCCAGTACTGCCTAAATGCAAAGCTCATACTTTTAACTGCCTGCTCCTGTTTTTCTGCTTATTTCTTATATACCCATGGGCAAATATTTATAACTTCTCAGGGCTTCAATGTCTCATATTTAGAATTAGGGGAGCAAAGGCTGGGTATGGGGGCTCATGCCTGTAATCCCAGCACTTTGGGAGGCTGAGGCGGGTGGATCACGAGGTCAGGAGATCGAGACCATCCTGGCTAACACGGTGAAACCCCATCTCTACTAAAAATACAAAAAAAATTAGCCGGGCATGGTGGTGGGCACCTGTAGTCCCAGCTACTTGGGAGGTGGAGGCAGGAGAATGGTGTGAATCTGGGAGGTGGAGCTTACAGTGATCCGAGATTGCGCCACACTGCAGTCCAGCCTGGGTGACACAGCGAGACTCCGTCTCACAAAAAAAAAAAAAAAAAAAAAGAATTTAGGGGAGCAAAAATTCTCATATTTAGAATTAGGGGAGCAAAAGTCTCGTAGAGTTATTATAAGGGAGAAAGGAGGTAATGTAAAAAACAATCCATACCTCATACCTGGAATAGTAGTAGTCATAGTAAAAGCAGCAGCTGTTTTTTGTTTGTTTGTTTGTTTTTTAAATATAGTGTTTACTATGTGGCAGACATTGTTTTAGTTCTTTCTTTCTGGTGTGTGTGGTTTTTTTTTTTTTTTTTTTAGACAGGGTCTTGCTCTGTTGCCCGGGCTGGAGTACAGTGAGTGGCGTGGTCATGGCTCACTGCAGCCTCCACCTCCCAAGCTTAAGCAATCCTCCTGCCTTAGCCTCTTGAGTAGCTGGGACTACAAGCACAAGTGCATGACACCATGCTCATTTTAATTTAATTTAGTTTATTTTCTTTCTTTTTTTTGAGAGATGGGGTTTTGCTATGTTGCCCAGGCTGGTCTCAAACTCCTGGGCTCAAGCAATTCCCTGACCATGGCCTCCCAGAGTGCTGGGATTACAGGCGTGAGCCACACTTGGCCTGTTTTAGTTCTTAATTTAGGCTATCTTATAAAATCATCACCACAACCCTTAGAGGTTACTACAATTGTTCTCCTCCAGTCCGTTTTTAAACATGAACAGAAAGATATAATAACGGGCATAGCTGGAGTTCACACTCCATCAGTCTGGCTCCAGTGTCCTTACTGAACCCCTATGCCATGTTAACTTGTGGCAAACATTAGTTTTGAACTTCATGCTGTTCTAGAATCTGGCATCAACATGAAAGGGACCATAAGGAAACTGGAGTAGTAATATGACAAGGAGGAGGCCATACCAAGCTATGGAAGGTGAGCAGTAACATGGATACTCACAATTCCCTGATTCAGCCAGTGAGTGGTAAGACAGCCCATATGTTATTTCTTAGTGGTGGCTGAGTGCATAGGATGATGACCCATGGTACATCATTCTTTTGGCCTAGGGAACATCAGCTTACAGGTTCATTCATCAAGACTTAATGACAGCCCCACCTCTCTTTACCAAAGGCTCTCAGGTTGAATGTTTCTTACCCCAAAGACACTTGACTACATACTCATAGAAAAAAAGTTGAATAAATAAATGGGAGGCCGGGCACAGTGGCTCACTCCTGTAATCCCAGCACTTTGGGAGGCTGAAGTGGGTGGATCACTTGAGGTCGGGAGTTCGAGACCACCCTGACCAACGTGGAGAAACCCCATCTCTACTAAAAATACAAAATTAGCTGGGCGTGGTGGCACGTGCCTGTAATCCCAGCTACTCGGGAGGCTGAGGCAGGAGAATCGCTTGAACCCGGGAGGCGGAGGTTGAGGTGAGCTGAGATCGTGTCATTGTATTCCAGCCTGGGCAACAAGAGTGAAACTCCATCTCAACCAATCAATCAATAAATAGGACAATTCTTCCCTACAGAAAAATTCCAAATAATAAATGTAGAAGGAAAGAGGAAAATAGAAAACCACCATTAACATACCACAGTAATAATTGGCTCTAGGTAAGACCCACCGATGAACATTAAAATTAGTGGGTGAGGCTTGGTGCAGTGGCTCATGCCTATACTCCAAGCACATTGGGAATGTGAGGCAGAAGGATCACTTGAGGCCAGGAGTTTGAAACCAGCCTGGCCAACATATCGAGACCTTGTCTCTACAAAAAAGAAAAAAAAAATTAGCTGGGTGTGATGGCATGCACCTGTAGTCCCAGCTACCTGAGAGGCTGAGGCTGGGAGATCGTTTGAGTCCAGGAGTTTGAGGCTACAGTGAGGTATGATTGTGCCACTGTACTGCAGCCTGGGCATCAGAGCAAGACCCTATCTCTTACAAAAAAAAAATAGTGTTAAAGGTCATGAGAGACCAGAATAGACTGAGAAGCTGCCATAGTTTAGAGGAGACTAAGGTGACATGACAGCTAAATGCAACATAGTATCCTGGATGGGGTCCTGTAACAGAAAAAAGGATATTAATGGAAAACTGGTGAAATCCCAATAAAGTCTATAGTTAAAAGCAAACAATAAGCCACCAGCCCTCCAACCCCGCCGACCCCACCAAAAAAAAACAACCAAAAAAACCCCACAAAGTTCCTGGGTCCTTCCTGCCTGAGATCCAAATGGCATTGTCTAGAGCACCTCAGTTCTGGCATTTATATTCTAGTTCTGAATTCTTGTTACCTTTGGGAAAGACCTTTTGGTTGTGTAGTGCCTGTGTCTGGGAGGCTCTGATGAATTTGGGGACAGGCTTGTGGTCTATGTGACTCTCAAAGCCTGCCTACCCAGTGAACAGAATGCTACTCAGCAGGCTGAGGACAGGGGTATGCACATGGATCCGCCTACTCCAACCCCAGTCCTTGCTGGTATTGGATGTTACAAATGACATCCCCTGGACCCCCAACGATCTTTTTTTTTTTTTTTTTTTTTTTTTTAAGAGGGAGTCTCATTATGTCGCCCAGGCTGGAGTGCAATGGTGTGATCTTGGCTCACTGCAACCTCCGCCTCCTGGGTTCAATTGATGCTCCTGCCTTAGCCTCCCGAGTAGCTGGGATTACAGGCGCCCGCCACCATGCCTGGCTAATTTTTGTATTTTTAGTAGAGACTGGGTTTTGCCGTGTTTGCCAGGCTGGTCTCGAACTCCTGACCTCAGGTGATCCTCCCGCCTCAGCCTATCAAAGAGTTGGGATTACAGGCATGAGCCACCGCGCCCAGCCCCCAACTATCTTTTAAGGCATTACCTTTAGACATTCTGCTTATCTTTCAAGGCCTGACTCACATTTTACCTCCCATATAGTTCCTTCATGATCATTACATGTATTAGTATCTTTCAAATTCCTGTGATGTCTTCAACCTTAAAGTTCTTTATATCTGTTGATCTGCCCTTCCTGTGATATATAGCACACCTTGCCATGTTGAGTCTGTGTTTGTACATGCCCTGTCTCCCTAAGCAGAACACAAACTTCTTGAAGGGAAGGAGTCTTACAAAACCTTCTAAACTTCATGAGGGGAAGGAATCTTACAAATATCCCTTGAAGCGTCTAGGATATTGCTTGCCATAAGCCCTCATGAAATGATTGGCAAGTTTGAGTGAGTGAATGCTTTAAGACAGATGAGAGGTGAATGGACTTGCTTAGAGTCATACCACTGGGTATGAGCTATATTTGGAGCCTAGCTGCTCAGTTTGTCCCTTTCTGAGCATTCTGAGGCCATGAAACTTACTAACTCTGATCATAGCACTAAACTACAGTAATAGTGATGGCTATCATTTGTTGTGGGCTTACTCTGGGCCAGGCTTGGTTCTAGGCATGCACGCTATGCAGTCCTCACAATAGCTCTGAGGTATGGGCCTCACTATCCTCATTTTGTAGATACATCCACTGATGTTCAGAGAGATATAAAGAATTTGCCTTAGATTACCAGCTAATAAGTTGCTGAGTTGAGATTTGAACCCAGGTGTGTCTGTCATCCAGACTCATTCCCCCTCACCCCTATAAAGCAATGTCTTTCCCCTTGTTTTTTCAGACCCATCCCTGGAAGGCATGTGTGGCACTGAGCATGCCCAGTTGGGAGAAGATGGGCAGCAGCCGCCGCGGTGCACTTCAACTACCTCATCTCAGTCTGAGCCTTCAGAGCAGCTTAGGCGCCACCAAGGCAAGAACCTAGCCTCCGAGGACCCCAAAAAGAAGAGAGCTCAGAAGCCCTCCCACATGAGAAGAAACATACGGTGAGCTGTGCTCTGTGTAAGAGGAGAGGGAAAGGAATAGAGATTTTACCTTCATCTTAAGGCTGTCAATAGCAAAAAGACTGATTTGGGAAGGACAGTTCTCTCTCCAAAGGAGAAAAGTGTCAGGTGTGTGTCTTCATTAATAGTGAAGGTGCAGCTCAGGATCACTGGACTTGGGCATTCAGAGGACTGTAGGGAGAATGAGAAAGGCCTTGACCACTGCTGGAGGGTCTTCTACTCTCTGGAGGCCCCAGGTGGCAGCCCGAAGATGATAGGGTGCTCTGAGCTGGACTTTCCGGTTTTTCCTCTATTTTTCCTTTTGTCTCAAAACAAGAGGAGACTTTATAAAGTTGAGTTCTCATCTTCTTAGACGTCAACTTCAAATGGTAGAGGACTGTCTGACCCAAAGCAAGACTCCTTCTAAGAGCAAAAATGTGAACTTCTTTAACTATCCAAATCCCCAACAGTTCTTCCTTCCATCAAATAACAATGCGTGCCATTGAAAAGAAATGAATGATATCTTTTTCTCCTCCTGCCTCCACTTAAAAAAAAAAATAACGACAACTTGAAATATTACTCTGAGTTTGAAAATAATATAGAATCCCTGTAACCCTAGTTTCTTTTCTTTTCTTAATTTATTTATTTATTTTTTTTGAGATAAAGTCTCTCTCTGTTGCCCAGGCTGGAGTGCAGTGGCGTGATCTTGGCTCACTGTACCCCCACCTCCCGTGTTCTAGCGGTTCTTGTGCTTCAACCTCCTGAGTAGCTGGAACCATAGGTGCCCGCCACCACACCTGGCTAATTTTTGTATTTGTAGTAGAGACAGGGTTTTGCCACGTTGGCTGAACTGGTCTTGAACTCCTGGCTTCAAGTGAACTGCCCACCTTCGCCTCCCAAAGTGCTGGGATTTCAGGCATGAGCCACTGTGCCCGGCCAATCCTAATTTCTTTTCTACATGACAACACTATTTTTTTTTCTTGAGATGAAGCCTCACTCTGTCACCCAGGCTGGAGTACAGTGGTGCAGTCTTGGCTCATTGCAACCTCTGCCTCCCAGGTTCAAGCGATTCTCCTGCCTCAGCCTCCTGAGTAGCTGGGACTACAGGTGTGCACCACCACACCTGGCTAATTTTTGTATTTTTAGTAGAGACGGGGTTTTGCCGTGTTAGCCAGACTGGTCTCGAACTCCTGACCTCAGGTGATCCACCTGCCTCAGCCTCCCAAAGTGCTGGGATTACAGGCGTGAACCACCACACCTGGCCAACAACACTATTTTTAATACTGCTTTTCAGCTTTGTGAATCAAATATTACTCTAGTTTATTCTTGATCTGTTATGTGGAGAGATGAGTTGGCAGGTCGGGGAGTTAAATAATATAGAAAGTATTAGCCTAGAGCCATCTGAGTTTGATATCCTGTTTTTTGAATGCTGCTCCTTGCATGGGTATGGTGGGGCTGATGTGGCTTCTCCTTCTCCCGCCTCGACTCTGAGATCATCAATGGCTATTTCTCTCTTTAGCTTGCCATTACATTGCCCAAATCTTAATTGAACCCAAGTGCTGTCTCTTATGTGAATGTTTAGAAAGCTACTCCGGGAGGATCAATTGGAGCCTGTTACCAAAGCAGCACAGCAAGAAGAGTTGGAAAGAAGGAAGCGCCTGGAGCAGCAGAGGAAAGATTATGCAGCCCCTATTCCTACTGTTCCGCTGGAGTTCCTCCCTGGTAAGCAGTGGACATGGCAGGGAAGGCCCTTTGCTTCAGGAGGAAGAAGCCCTAGGTGCACACAGTGGTCAAAAGCAGATCTGGAATAAGACTGTGGCCTCTCGGCTGGGCGCGGTGGCTCACGCCTGTAATCCCAGCATTATGGGAGGCTGAGGCAGATGGATTGCCTGAGTTCAGGAGTTCGAGACCAGTCTGGCCAACATGGTGAAACCCCGTCTCTACTAAAAATACAAAAAAAAATTAGCCGGGCGTGGTGGCGTGAGCCTGTAATCCCAGCTACTAGGAGGCTGAGGCAGGGGGAATAGCTTGAACCAGGGAGGTGGAGGTTGCAGGGAGCTGAGACTGCGCCACTGTACTCCAGCCTAGGTGACAGAGTGAGACTCTATCTCAAAAAAATAAAAATAAAAATAAAAATAATTGTGGCCTCTCAGGAATCCTTTAAAGTCATTCAGCTTCTTGAGAGCACACAATCAGAAGAAGATCATTTAAAAAGCTAAAATGAATAAAAATGTACTCTTTAAATAGGTTTTATCTAGATTTTTCCTCATAACTTTGGATTTTAACTTACCAAAGGATTGGGACCTTTTCTGGTGGTCAGGTGGATAGCAGGAAGGAAAAACCAGTAGAGAAAGGGAATTTGGAAGGAGGGCTGAGGTTTTTGAGATGGGCTCTGCTTCTCTTCTCAGTGGATACTCCCCATGAGAGCTATAAAAGAAAAGGGGTGGTGAATTGTTTTGGGAAATATGTTAGAGCCAAATGTGGTCTTGACACCGTTCCCTTCCATTTTGCTTTTCCTAGAGGAAATTGCTTTAAGGGCAAGTGACGGTCCCCAACTGCCTCCTCGGGTCTTGGCCCAGGAAGTCATTTGTTTGGACAGTAGCAGTGGCAGTGAGGATGAAAAAAGCAGTCGAGATGGTAAGATCAAACCAGGTGCCTCCCTTTCTTCCGACCTGGTGTTCATGCTGAGATCGGCTATACTTTGAAAAGAGTCCAGTCCTTCCTCCTTCAATTTGGGATGTGGCTTTGACTAATTTCCCTGTGTCTCCTTGGTAAATATAAGTTTTTTGCTTGTCTTAACTTGAAGCTGAAAGAGAGAAATAGTAAAAGTCAAAATTTTAATAAGTGTTGACAAGTTCTAACTTTAAGTTTCTGTAGTCTTCTGCTCTGACTGTGTGCAGTAAATTATCTTCACTCCCTGGATTTTTGGTTTTGCTTTTTTTTGCTGTCTCAGAGGTGATTGAACTGAGCTCTGGAGAGGAGGACACTCTGCACATTGTGGACAGCAGTGAATCTGTCAGTGAAGATGATGAGGAAGAAGAGAAGGGTGGCACCCATGTCAATGATGTCTTAAACCAGCGTGACGCCCTTGGGCGGGTCCTTGTCAACCTAAACCACCCTCCAGAGGAGGAAAATGTCTTCCTTGCCCCACAGTTGGCACGGGCTGTGAAACCTCATCAGGTACAGCAAACCTTGACTGTTTTCTCCTTTTCCTTTTTGTTTCCTTGTTGTGAACATTGCCTGCTGGTGGTTATTAGCGTCACAGCCTGTGAAGTACTTGTTTGGTACCAAGAGCAGCTTGTTCAGCTGTTGGAAAGACCTGATACTTCCTTCTAGCAGTTGATGTTTCAGGATTCCTGATGAATAGGAAGGGACAGGGAAAGGGAAGAGACAAGCTTCAGGTTTGCCCTACTCCGTAGAAAGCACTGGATCTCTTGACCTAATAATTTGAGCCTCTTTCTGTGGGATCCCATGACTGAGGTGCTCTCTGGTGAGCAGTGCTTTGATTAGGAAGGTCTGGATCTAGAAGAGATGTGAGAGTCAGAAGATGGGGGGACTTTCTGGTATGAGGGAGTAGAGTAGTTTGTGTTGATCCAGAGCCTGGAACCAGGACTAGTGAGTAGAAGTACCATGAAGACAGACATTGACTCAGTTTACGATTAAGAACTCTTTTTTTTTTTTTTTTTTCTCCTGAGACAGGGTCTTGCTCTGTTTCTCAGGCTGGGACTATAGGCCTATACCACCACACCCAGCCAATTTTTTTTTTTTTTTTTGTAGAGATGAGGTTTCGCCACGTTGCCCAAGCTGATCTTGAACTCCTGAGCTCAAGCGATCCACCTGCCTCAGCCTCCCAAAGTGCTGGGATAACAGGCCTAAGCCATTGTGCCTGGCTGAAAACTCTTTGTTTTTGAGACAGGCTCTTGCTCTGTCGCCCAGGCTGGAGTGCAGTGATCACGACTCACTGCAGCCTTCACTCCCTGGGCTCAGGTGATCCTCCACCTCAGCCTAAGTAGCTGGGACTACAGCCTCATGCCACCATGCCCAACTAATTTTTAATTTTTTTGTAGAGACGAGGTCTCACTATGTTGCCTAGTCCGGTTTTGAAGTCCTGAGCTCAAGCAGTCCTCCTGCCTTGGCCTCCCAAAGTGTTAGGATTACAGGCGTGAGCCACCATGCCTGACCTGTCTAACTGTATTTTTGTACCCATTAACCAACGTCTCTTCCTCCCCCTCCTCTCCCTTCTCAGCCTCTGGTAATTACCATTCTATTTTCTACTTCCATGAGATCAACTTTTTTAGTTCTCCCACATGAGTGAGAATGTGTGATATTTGTCTTTCTGTGCCTGGCGGGTTTCATTTAACATAATGACCTCCAGTTCCATCCATGTTGCTGCAAATGACAGGATTTCATTTTTCGTGGCTGAATAATATTCCATTGTGCATAGGCACCACATTTTCTTTATCCTTTCTTCCACTGATAGACACTTGGGTTGATTACGTATTTTGGCTATTGTGCATAACTCAGCTTAAAAACTCTTCTGTTGTTGTTGTTGTTGTTGTTGAGACGAAGTCTCACTCTGTAGCCCAGGCTGGAGTGCAGTGGCACAATCTCGGCTCACTCCAATCTCCGCCTCCCAGGCTCAAGCGATTCTCCTGCCTCAGCCTCCCAAGTAGCTGGGATTACAGTTGTGCACCACTGCACCCGGCTAATTGTTTGTATTTTTAGTAGAGCCGGGGTTTCACCATGTTCACCAGGATGGTCTTGAACTCCCAACCTCAGGTAATCTGCACACCTTGGCCTCCCAAAGCGCCAGGATTACAGGCACGAGCCACCATGCCTGGCCTGTTAAAGAGTTCTTAAGGCTGGGCACGATGGCTCGTGCCTGTAATCCTGGCGCTTTGGGAGGCCGAGGTGGGTGGATCACCAGGGCAGGAGATTGAGACCATCCTGGCCAACATGGTGAAACCCCGTCTCTACTAAAAATACAAAAATTAGGTGGGCATGGTGGTGCATACCTGTAGTCCCAGCTACTCTGGAGGCTGAGGCAGGAGAATCACTTGAACCGGGGAAATGGGAGGTTGCACTGAGCTGAGATTGCGCCTTTGCACTCCAGCTTGGGTGACGGAGCAAGACTCCGTCTCAAAAAAAAAAAAAAGAACTCTTAGCAATAGGGACTACTTCTATGTGGCTGGGCACAGTGGCTCATGCCTGTAATCCTAGCACTTTGAGAGACCGAGGGGGGCAGGTCACCTGAGGTCAGGAGTTCAAGACCAGCCTGGGCAACATGGTGAAACCCTGTCTCCACTGAAAATACAAAAATTAGCTGGGCATGGTGGCGCATGCCTGTAATCCCAGTTACTCTGGAGGCTGAGGCAAGAGAATCGCTTGAACCCGGGAGGCAGAGGTTGCAGTGAGTTGAGATAGCACCACTGCACTCCAGCCTGGGTGACAGAGCCAGACTCTGTCTCAAAAACAACAACAAAAACAAACTACTCCTATGGAATGGGCTGCCTTAAGAGGGTGAGCTTTCCAATGCTGAGGGAAGCCAAGCTGACTGAAAGATCCTGTCAGGAATTTGACACTACCGATTCATGCATTACATGGGGTGTTACACTGTACTAGTGAATCCTTTTCTGTTTTTTCCAAGAGGACTGTCACCAGCAAATAGATCAGTCAAGGTACAGGGAATCTTCTATGGCCATCCACACCTGCTATCTATTATAACGCCTTCTCACTTACTTAATTCTTACTAATTACAAAGTGAGTAAAAACTGGAGCCCTCATCTTTGTGAGCCCCTCTGACATTTGTCTTTGTCCCTTGTCAGATTGGCGGGATCCGGTTCCTTTACGATAACCTAGTGGAGTCTCTGGAGAGGTTTAAGACCAGCAGTGGCTTTGGCTGTATTCTGGCCCACAGCATGGGTCTGGGGAAAACTTTGCAAGTGATCTCTTTCATCGACGTCCTCTTCCGCCACACGCCAGCCAAAACAGTCCTTGCCATTGTGCCGGTAAGAGTTTTTGGGAAGGCACCACTTAAGTCACTCCTGAAGAGCTCTGTGTTAATGCCTTTACTGGGCACCAAAAAGCTTGATGAGCTCAGCTCTGAGTTTGTTCCATAAAACTCTCTTTTTGGACTTGGCTTTCTAATAGGTTAATACTCTTCAGAATTGGCTGGCAGAGTTCAACATGTGGCTTCCACCTCCTGAAGCCCTCCCGGCTGACAACAAGCCTGAAGAAGTCCAGCCTCGGTTCTTTAAAGTTCACATCTTGAATGATGAGCACAAGTAGGTGGCCTGCCCTTTCCTCTCTGCCCCTTTCCTTTTAGACTTCTGTCCGTGATCTGATGTTAAGGCAGTCTCTTTGAGTGTGTAGCCTGTGCATCTAGATTTGTTTTTGGTTTCCTGATGTATCACTTTCTCTGTTCTTGCTACTCATTTTTTTCTCTACCTAGCTTTTCAGGAAAGCCAGAGTTAAGTAGCCTGAGAAATTTCCTGTGTTCTGCTTTAGGAGGCTTTTATATCTTGAAAAATATGTGGGCATGGTCATATTTTCCCATGCATATCGTAGTAAAATTCAACACGAAACAATGGATCTTTCCACTGTCTGATTTTTTTTTTTTTTTTTTTTTTTTTTTTTGAGACGGAGTCTTGTTCTGTCACCCAGGCTGGAGTGCAGTGGTGCAATCTCAGTTCACTGCAACCTCTGCTTCCCAGGTTCAAGTGATTCTCCTGCCTCAGCCTCCCGAGTAGCTGGGATTACAGGCACCCATCACCATGTCCGACTAATTTTTGTATTTTTAGTAGAGACAGGGTTTTGCCATGTTGGCCAGGCTGGTCTCGAACTCCTGACCTCAGGTGATCCGCCCACCTTGTCCTCCCAGAGTGTTGGGATTACAGGCGTAAGCCACCATGCCTGGTCTCTACTGTCTAATTTTTTACTTATTACATTTCACTTTTCTTAAAAACCTAATCATTAGTCACTTCTTTTAAGCACTGGTCTGCAATTGACCTTTAATGGTACAACTCCCAAAGCTTTGAAAGGTGTCAGCCTTGCTTTGTTTTAGATTTAAATAAAATTATCTATATATGTATGCCATAAAGTCAACCTGATTTCCAAAAGTCTAAAGCTATTTCTTGATCCAACAAACCAGCTCTACATGCTAACCTTTCCCCTCATTGGTGTGGATAATTGAGAAAGTAGACTTTACTATATTTTTTTCAGAGGGTGCCTTTTGTGATGTTTGGACACACACATAAAAATGAGGAGATGATTAGTTGACCTCACAGGTGGTTGCTCATTCAGGACTTTTAGTCCACATGCAATCAGTGAAATACAGTGAGTGCTCCGGTGTTTGGAAGTGGAGTGACTTACTGAGGGTCATCTGGTCTCTTCTCCTCTTTCCTCTTTACTGTTTGTGGCTCTTTATTCACTTGAGTCCAGGCAAGTAAACTGCAGAATGTTGCCCTTCCTTCTGTGACCTTGTATTTATCATGGGATTGAAATGCTCCTTCAAATGTTGAGTTGTAGTCATGCCTGAATATCCAAGGGGGTTGTCATTTTCTCTTGCCTTATGTAGTTGAATTGCTATGTTTCTTGCTGTTTAACCACCATCAATGATCCAGTTCATCCTGAGTGCAATTAGTTTCTCTGGGATGATGGGAGGTTCTTGGGTGGTAGGCTACCCCTGTGCTTGCTGCCACATGAAATCTTTGGTAATAAGAAGTTCTGAATGTACATCAACACAGCTTTGATTGTGAGCAATTCTTCCTTGGGAGCAGCAGAAACAATAATTCTTGAGATATAATTCACATCTCACACAATTTTCTCTGTTCATCTTGCAGGACGATGGCATCTCGTGCTAAAGTGATGGCTGATTGGGTGTCAGAGGGTGGCGTGCTGCTGATGGGGTACGAGATGTACAGACTCCTCACTCTGAAGAAATCATTTGCCACAGGTAGACCGAAGAAAACCAAGAAGCGTTCTCACCCAGTCATCATTGATCTAGATGAGGAAGATCGGCAGCAGGAGTTTCGGAGAGGTGGGCAGCCTATCCCAGGAATACTCTTGTTGGTGTTTCAGGAAAAAAGAAATCATGTCTACTAATAGCACCTAGTCAGATGTAAAGTGCATTATTGATGTGAATTGTTATCATGGACCAAAAATCCTGGTTCCCAAGATCAGTAGGATGACTTCCAATGGCTCTGAGAAGGTACTGCTTTCTCTGCCAGCTGTGCAGTTATGGTTAGGCCAGGCCACACACTGGCTTGGGGGAGATTCCTCTGTTCGTCTATCCCTGTTTCTCTTACAGAACAGTTGGAATAGTAACCATTTCCTTTACCACTTTCTAGAGATGTTCTGAGAAAGCATGAAGAAAATATAAAGTGTTTAAATCACTAATATAAAGACAAAGTAGTAATACTATTGTTTGTGAATTTATAAAAAAGAATTTATCCCAGTTGTTTTTAGTGAAAACCATTCCTGTCATAGTTCTAATTCTACTCCATCTTCTAAGGGGCCTTTGCTCATTTGGGGAAGAATGTTTTTAAGGGTTCAGAGGCCATTTCACTTTAGAAGTCTCTTCATCTATGAGATTATGTTTGTTCTAGGTTTGCTTCTATGGTAGAGCTGGGATGAATTTGCCATTTAGCAATGACTGGAAAATAACTGCGGGAAGACCCTGTCCTTTAGCTAGCTCCTACCAGCCAGCCCTCAGATGGAGTCAAGACGCTGGCAATGGTGAGAGCCTACTAAAGTGTCTGGATTATTCCTATTGGTTTCATCCAGGTGCATTTTTAATCCTAGGCTGGCACTCTGTAAGGTCCCTCTCTCTGCTGCCCAGTTGGTCTAAGCCCTAGGAATGCAAGTCAGTTATACTTTTCACATAAAGAAAAATAAAGTAAGGAAAGGAACGGAACGGGGGAAAGGGATATTTATTGCAAGAGTCAACTGCCAGAGGCAGATCATGAGGTCAGGAGTTCGAGACCAGCCTGGCCAACATGGTGAAACACCATCTCTACTAAAAATACAAAAAATTAGCCAGGCATGGTGGCGCATGCCTCTAATCCCAGCTACTTGGGAGGCTGAGGCAGGAGAATCGCTTGAACCCGGGAGGCAGAGGTTGCAGTGAGCGGAGATTGCGCCACTGCACTCCAGCCTGGACGACAGTGTGAGACTCTGTCTCAAAAAAGAAAAAAAAAGAGTCAACTGCCAGATTAGCATTCATACCAAGTCATACCAGTCATATCCAGGAGCTTGAATGGCTGGCACCCTCTCACCAAGGGGGGCTGACTCTTGCTTTCCTGCTTCCTTCATTTCTTCTGTCTCCTCCAGGGTGCACCCCTACTTCTCATATTATTGACTAAGAGCAGGCCCTGTCACCCTCTGACTCCGGATCCTCTTCCCTCCCTAGAGTTTGAGAAGGCTTTATGCCGCCCTGGCCCTGATGTAGTAATCTGTGATGAGGGACACCGCATCAAAAACTGCCAGGCCAGCACCTCACAGGCTCTGAAGAATATCCGCTCTCGCCGCCGGGTGGTGCTGACTGGGTACCCTCTGCAAAACAACCTCATTGAGTACTGGTGCATGGTGGACTTTGTGCGCCCAGACTTCCTTGGCACCCGGCAGGAGTTCAGCAACATGTTTGAACGCCCTATCCTGAATGGGCAATGTATTGACAGCACACCTCAGGACGTCCGCCTCATGCGGTACCGGAGCCATGTCCTGCACAGTCTTCTGGAGGGCTTTGTGCAGAGGTGAGCCATCCTCAGGGTCCTGCTTCCTGAATTTTCAGAGGGCCCTGTTGCCAAGGGCATGCCAAACCTGTTATACAGGATAGGGTGTTGGAGTAGGAGGGCCCCTTCCCTGGGGCAGTAGTAAAACTTTGCTTCCTGTGACAAGCTAGCAGATGGTGGATATCCACTGTTTCAGTTCTCTGAAAGTTTGGCCTAGAAGTGCTTCTCTCAAAAGTTATCTTTAAAGGTACTGGAGACACCTGTCTTACTTGCTGAGAGAAGCAAGAAAAAGGTACCATTCTGCTGACTTACCTTAGGCTAGTCTAAAGCAGACCCCTCATTTTTCCTTGTTGAGATGGCATATGGAGCGAAAGCTCAGAGAGGCAGCCCAAATTAAAGTAAGAACCTCAAGTTCCCCTGTCTCTGTCATGCAGTCAGACTTGACCTGGGACAGGTCACTCTGCCTCTTAGTGTTAGTTTTCATCCTTAAGGTGAGTTTCTTCTTGGTTGTTGAACCACTCTGCATTATTGCAAGGCTGCAGTGCATGTTGAGATCCTCAAGAGGGAGGTGTGGCAGGAGTGCAAAAGGCTCTGTTTTTATCTTGTGCTGACCCCTCCTGGCCACACTACCTTGCCGTTTCTGTTCTGTTTGCCTCCATAGGAGAGGCCACACTGTGCTGAAGATTCATCTCCCTGCCAAGGAAGAAAATGTGATCCTTGTGCGGCTCTCCAAGATCCAGCGAGATTTGTATACACAGTTCATGGATCGCTTCCGGGACTGTGGTAGCAGCGGTTGGCTGGGGCTGAACCCCCTTAAGGCATTCTGTGTGTGTTGCAAGGTGCATTGGGGCCTCAGGGAAGATTGAGATGGGGACTAAGGATACACATGGTCCCAAGGGAGTTACTCCTACTGAGAGTCTTCAATAAAGGGAGAATAAAGTGAGAGGGGGCCACCTCAGTTCACTGCACTGGAGGTTTGGGGGCTCCAAGGAGAGAGGTGATGGTTTTGTACCACATAACTCCTGGGGGTGCCATTCACACAGTGTAATATAACTGATGCCCCCTGCAGTGTGCAACTCAGCTGCACAACTTGTTATTCCAAGGGGATTAATGGAAAAATACTGTGGGGCAGCGTTTTTGACTGCTAGCATA
Source organism: Homo sapiens (assembly GCF_000001405.40). Lineage (NCBI taxonomy): Eukaryota > Metazoa > Chordata > Mammalia > Primates > Hominidae > Homo > Homo sapiens. Next base: position 51,638,635 of record NC_000003.12, read on the forward strand.
ATCAGAATTCAAGAGATATATAGCTTAGACAAGTTATTAGGGGTACCTTCCATTGGATTCCATACTTAATCAGATTGAGACCTCTCTCATTCTTTTCTTGAGGGACCTGTTTCATTGACTTCATACCTCTACCCCTGGCTACTCTTCAGCAGACCTGTTAGGTATTATTCTTAATTGACCACTGCTTTAATAAGTCAGCAGAAGGTATGTGTCTGGGGACAAGAGGGGTTTCCAAATATTTCTTTTATAGCCACAGTCCTGGGTCAAGGCCAGGAAACTAAGGCAAGCGTGGTCTGTGATGATGCTTTGGTATCACTGCATCCTTCCTTCTTCCTTTCCTCTCTTCTCCTGGGAGTTCTCAACTCTTGCTAGGAATACTCTGTGAAATGATATGTGATTGGTCTACTATAAGTCAGATACATTTTGTCTATAGTTTTATACAGTAGCAGACTGTAGCCACACTGTGAAACTGGAACATTCTTACTCTTATTTGAATAAGAATGTCAAAAAGGCTTGTGACAGCTTTTTTGATTATGTATCAAACATACTTACTGGCATGGCTCCTGGTATGCATGCTGCCATTCATGTGTCATGGTGACCAGAACTGATAATCAAAACAAATATGCAGGCCCTTTGGCTGTGAAGGGCTCTGACTTTAATTTTTGGTGTGACAGTGTTTATTGTGGGACGTGTGTGTTTGAGCAAGTATGTGTTTCCAGACTCCCTGGGACACCCTTGGAATGTTTTTTGTCCTGTGTCTCCTCTCCCTTTCCTTGAACCTCAGATCTGGAATCACCCTGATGTGCTGTATGAAGCCCTTCAGAAGGAGAGCTTGGCCAATGAGCAGGACCTAGACGTGGAAGAACTTGGCTCTGCAGGGACCAGTGCCCGCTGTCCACCACAGGGAACAAAAGGCAAGGGAGAGGATAGCACCTTGGCTTCCTCGATGGGAGAGGCAACCAATAGCAAGTTCCTACAGGGCGTTGGCTTCAACCCTTTCCAGGAGCGAGGCAACAACATTGTCACATATGAATGGGTGAGTCAAGCAGATCCTTCAGGAACCATAAACTATTGCTGAGAAGGGATGGTGCAAGCCCTGCCTGGGGAAGGGGTAGGGATGCATGGCTAGGGTCTCTGTATGGAATTATAAAGGTGGCCAGTGAGCTGCTGCCTTGGAAGGAAATAATTTTATTTCTAGTGATCTGGCCTTGGACCTGCTCTAAGCTGCCTTGTTTCTCTCTTGCAGGCCAAGGACCTTCTGACTAATTACCAGACTGGAGTCCTAGAAAACTCTCCCAAGATGGTACTGCTTTTCCACCTGATTGAGGAAAGTGTGAAGCTTGGGGACAAGATCCTTGTGTTTAGGTAGGATGAGAAACTTCCATTTGAGGCTGTGTGTCTATGGTAAAGAATGACAAAACCACCACAGAGCAAGACCAAGACCACCCCCGCCTCCCCCAAGTGCTATTGTGAGGACCTTCTTGCATGTTGTCTGTCTCTTGGAGTTTCTTTCATTGCCCAATTTGATTTCTCCACAGAGAACAATTTAGAACCCTAGGTTAGCACTGGAGTCTAATCTTTCAAATTCTGGCCTGTTTTTGTTTACTTTGAGAGCTAAGGATAGTTTTTACATTTTTAAAAGGTTATAAAAAACATACAAAGAATATGCAGCAGAGGTTCTATGTGGCCAAGAAAGCCTAAACTATTTGCTATCTGTCCTTTTACAGAAAATGTTTGCTGACCCTTGGTTTAATCTTCTATCCCGCCCCAACCTTTTATTTTAGTTTTAAGCTTTGTCTTTAAAGCCAAATAAGTGATGTAGTTTGCTCCGGAGTTATATTCTCAGTCTGGCTAGAGCTTTGAGTCTCATTAAGGCTTGACTCCCCAGGAAAACAAAGTTGATTGCTTCTCCTTCTTTATAATCTGACCAGATTATGCTCCAAGAAGAGCCAAGTGGCAGGAGCCTGGCTCAGGAGCCTCAGAGTGAGGGCTTCCACATGTGACACACTTTGAGAGGACAGCAGTGATTTTAGCTTGGGGAGAGCCTAGTGTTGATTTTATGGATCACTTCTAAGGACACTGGCTCTCATGGTATCTTGGAAGCAGTCGAGTGATTTTGTCTCTCTAGTAAAACCCATAATCATATCTGATGTATATTCATGCAGTGGTAGTGTTTAGTGCTGAATGCTATTTGTTACTCTGCATTGAGCTAAACCCCAGAAATTTTCAGCTGTGGAAGTGAAGAATGAAGAGAGTATTTTTTCAGTGTGGTGGTAGTCGTAAGTATGTGGATGACTCTGCTCCCATTATACGCTAGGAAGGATACCCTTGGTTGTTCTTGGTATAGTTACCTCTTTCTGTTTCTTTTTCTTTTTCTTTTTTTTTGAGATGGAGTTTCACTCTTCCTGCCCAGGCTGGAGTGCAGTGGTGTGATCTTGGCTCACTGCATCTTCCACTTCCCAGGTTCAAACGATTCTCCTGCTTCAGCCTCCTGAGTAGCTGGGACCACAGGCACGTGCCACCATGCCAGGCTAATTATTTTTGGATTTTTAGTAGAGATGGGGTTTCATCATGTTGGCCAGATTGGTCTCGAACTCCTGACCTCAGGTGATCCGCCCGCCTCGGCCTCCCAAGTGCTGGGATTACAGGCGTGAGCCACTGTTCCCGACCTAGAGTTACCCCCTTTTTTTTTTTTTTCTCCTGAGACAGAGTTTCACTCTTGTTGCCCAGGCTGGAGTGCAATGGCGTGATCCTGCACTACAGCCTCCGCCTCCTGGGTTCAAGTGATTCTCCTGCCTTAGCCTCCCAAATAGCTGGGATTACAGGCGTGTGCCACCACACCCAGCTAATTTTTGTATTTTTAGTACAGACGGGGTTTTGCCATGTTGGCTAGGCTGGTCTGGAACTCCTGACCTTAGGTGATCCACCCGCCTCGGCCTCCCAAAGTGCTGGGATTATAGGCTTGAGCCACCGTGCCCAACCTAGAGTTACCTCTTTTCAGTGGTAGGTTGTGGGAGCTCCCATTGTCAGAAAGTTGCACAAGAGTATGGACCTATTGGGAACAATGTTCCCTCAATTCTGGGAGCCATCTGAACGAAATGTTTTCTGTTTCAGCCAGAGTCTTTCCACCTTGGCTCTCATCGAGGAATTCCTTGGAAAACGAGAAGTACCCTGTCCACCTGGTACCGAGGGGCAAGGAGCACAGAAGTGGGTTCGAAACATCAGCTACTTCCGTGAGTTCATTGTTGCGTTGTTCTTGAAGCCTTGGCAAGGTCTGCTTAAGGGTTTCCTTTCCTTCTCTCTCTTTCTCTTTCTCCACTCCATCAAATGCATAGGAATATTTGTGATTAGTCAAGGAGCAGGGGGATACTAAGAGCCAGCTGTTGTTTACAAGGTACTGTACTAGGGGCTGGGGGATTGAGAGAGTTGGGAGAGTGTAGAGAAATAGAAGCCATAGTCCTTCTCTTCATCTGAGATGTGACAATTCAAGAACAATTGAGTGCCCCTAACTGGGGTTCTAAGGAGGATAGAATCACTGTGGTGAGGATGATTAGCTAAGGTGTCTCAAAAATGGGGAGGATTTGAATACACAGGGCTAGTGTTGCCTGAGGATCATTCCAGGCTGAAAGATCAGAGTGAACACAAGCCTAGATCATGCATTCTCTGTTGGGGAGATAATACTTTAAGGGGATGAACTTTTTTTTTTTTTTTTTGAGCAGGGGGTGGAAATCTTAACTTTTAAAATGTGTAAGTCAAGTACATACAGTACGTAAACAGATATACAGTTTATCTGTGGTATTAAATTTCATGAAGGACATAGTGTCATTGGGAAAAAAAAAGTCATTCCTTAGTGGGGTGGTAATGAAAAAAAAGTTGAGAAATACAGACCTCAGCACTGCTGACATTTGGGCCAGATAATTCTTTGTTATAAGGGGCTGTCCTGTATATTATACGACATTTAGTAGCATGCTTGGTTTCTACTCACTAGATGGCAGTAGTATCTCTCAGTTTTGACAACCAAAAATATCTCCAGACATTGCAAAATGTCCCGTGGGGAGTGGGAGTATGGAGAAATTGCCCTCATTGAGAACCACTGCCCTAATAGAAGGATTTAGAGAACTGGAGGTTCAGGGAGTAGCAAGAAGACCCCCAGCACAAGGTGTGGCTCAGAGCTTGCCCTATGAATCAGTGGTGAGCTGTGTTTGGGAACTGTTTGAACTCAGGTTGGAAAAGTAGGTTGGGGTCCTGACATAGAACCCCAGTACCAAGCAATTAAACTGTTGCTTCCTACAACAGTAGTAATTCAGTTTTCCATGTGGTATTTCATGCCCTTAGCTTTACCATTTACTCAAGATGACAAGTGTTGCCATTACTATTTATGCTTCTTAACTGAAGTCTTTTTTTTTTTTTTTTTTTTTTGAGACGAAGTCTTACTCTTTTGCCAGGCTGGAGTGCAGTGGCGTGATCTTGGCTGAACTGCAGCCTCCGTCTCCCAGGTTCAAGTGATTCTCCTGCCTCAGCCTCCCAAGTACTGGGACTACAGGCACAGGCCACCATGCCCAGCTAATTTTTGTATTTTTAGTAGAGACGGGGTTTCACCATGTGGGTCAGGATGGTCTCGATCTCTTGACCTCGTGATCTGCACGCCTTGGCCTCCCAAACTGTTGGGATTACAGGCGTGAGCCACTGTGCCCGGCCCTAAAGCCTATTTTTTCTCCCTCTTTGGAGCTTCCCTCCTTTCATTCATGTGTTCCATCCTACTGTTCCAGATGTATTTCCTTTATGTCTCTTTACAGCAAGTTCTTAGCTTCAGGAGCTGGTTAAAAATGCAGATTCCTGGTGGAGGAACATCATCCATATCAAAACCCTTAGTCCTGCACTCACCAGGACTCACAAGGCTGAGGCAGAGAGGTCACCTTGAGCCAGTATTTTCCAAATTCCCTAGGTGATTACTATACATTCCGAAGTCTAGGATTCTTGGCTTTAGAATTGACCTAAGATAGTAAAGGGGAGAAATGTAGTTTATAATCCATGGTGCATGTGAGAATCACCTGGGGGTATTTTCAAATTATAGATGCCTGGGCCTTACTTACTGTAGACCCATGATACGTCCAAGGGGTGAGATCTGAGCACTGTTGTATTTCTATTTGTTTTGCTCTTTAAAACATATTTGCCCAGTGATTTTGCTGTATATCCTTGCTCTAATATATCCACTGCTTATGGTTTTCCTTCCTTCCTAGGGCTAGATGGTAGCACCCCTGCCTTTGAGAGGGAGCGGCTTATTAATCAGTTCAATGATCCCAGCAACCTCACCACCTGGCTGTTCCTTCTCTCTACAAGGTGAGTGGATCCCAAGAGGGGAGGTCAAAGGAATCTGTTCAGGCAGTTGGCCACCTGGGCTGGTACCCCAAAACTCCAAGTTCCCTCAGAAGAGATCAGCTCAGGTTTGTAACTTGTTTCTGGGGTCAGAGAGGGAACTTCAAAAGGAAATTAGGTTAGCAGGGCAGTCATGATAGTATCATAAAATTTTTTGAGACCTTCATTAACAATGGTTGTGGCTCATGCCTGTAACCCCAGCACTTTGGGAGGCCAAGGTGGGAGGATTGCTTGAACCCAGGGGTTCAAGATACTGAGACCTTGTCTGTACAAAAAATCAAACAATTAGCTGAGTGTGGTGGCATGCACCTGTGGTCCCAGCTACTTGGGAGGCAGAGGCGGGAGGATGGCTTGAGTCTGAGAGGTCGAAGCTGCAGTGAGCTGTGATTGAGCCACTGCAATCCAGCCTAAGCGACAGAGTGAGACCCTGTCTCATTTAAAAACAAACAAACAAATGAACAACAACAACAAAATACCCAAGAGTTTTAATTAGCTTTTCTCTCAGGAGTGTTATGAGGCTTAGATGATGTGATGAATATGAAAGTGCTTTAAAAAGTAGAAAGTGCAAGGTGACTGTAAAAGGCTGATGGTATTGTCTCATGCCAAGCAGCTTGAAGGCTGTGCTGCCTTCTGCCATCGTAATGCCCTTGGCAGGATGTAAGCCAGTCATTCCCCTAAGCTGTTAGACTAAAAATAGTGGAAACATCTGTGTGCAGAAGTTTCCCCTCACCAAGGAACATCCCTCCAAGGCCAGGATGCGGGGGCCTTACTTGTTACAGAGGAGAGTGAGTTTTGTTTCTGAGCTGGTAGACACTTTCATGTTGGATTTCAGGGCACAATTTTCAGTGCTTGAGGAATGTACTGTTTATCAGCAGGACAGCAAAATCCTTGAGTATGTTGTACTTAGGGCTTAGGACAGAGTAATATTGGGGTAGAAGTCACAGAGGGCAAAACTGATTTGAAAACCTTTTTTAAGACTAAAGGCTCTGTGATTGTTGGCTTGTCTTTTAAAGGGCCGGATGCTTGGGTGTGAATCTGATTGGTGCCAACCGAGTGGTGGTGTTTGATGCTTCCTGGAACCCTTGCCATGATGCCCAGGCAGTATGTCGGGTATACCGTTATGGCCAGAAAAAGCCCTGTTACATCTATCGCCTTGTGGCTGATTACACTCTAGAAAAGAAGATCTATGACCGTCAGATTTCCAAGCAGGGCATGTCAGGTGGGCCATCTTCCAGACTTCGGAGAGGCACATCTATACAGGCTACCATCCTTTTAGTATCAAGGGTGGGAGAGGAGCAGGATATGGGAACACAGGCAGGCTTCGAGAAAGCCAGCATTTCCTCCTATCTCATTCTGATTCAAATTGCTTAAAAGGTAATTGACCTCAACTTGTTGAAGGTGAGTTTAATGATAACAGCCAAGCTCGTTATACAAGTTTTCCCCTTATATGATGTTTCCAGTGTCACCAGCACCTCAGACCTAGTCTTTGACTTTCAGATATGGGATGACTTTTCATTATTAGTGACCTTTACAGTTTTTAATGCCATGTGCTGACTTTCTTCATGTCTTTATCCTTCTAGATCGGGTGGTGGATGATCTAAATCCAATGCTGAACTTCACACGGAAAGAGGTGGAAAACCTACTGCACTTTGTTGAGAAGGAGCCAGCTCCCCAAGTTTCCTTGAACGTAAAGGGGATCAAGGAGTCAGTCCTGCAACTGGCCTGTCTGAAGTACCCTCACCTCATCACCAAGGTAAGAACTTGGTATGCATGCAATCCCCAGAGTGGCAGTCTCTCTGTCAAAGGAGGCTTGTCTTGTAAGCTTTTTTCTTCATCTGAGGTGATGTTTCATGCAGGTGACTTGGACTCAAGGACTTCTTTTTCTTGCCCCACTCAGTCCCCCTCCCTTCCCACAACCACTTACCCCGTCCTCTAATCTGGTCCTGGGAGTGCTAAGGTTAGCCATGTATAGTAATTTGGCCAGTGAGTCTTCTTAGCAGAAAGAGAGGGGGAAAGTTCTAAAAATGTAGTTTGTTAATTCTCTGAACTCCCCCATTCTTTTGATAGGGAAGGCAGACTTAGATGTCTAAAGCTGGTACTAGGTTAGAGCTATAAATTGTACTCTTGACAGAAAGACAGTAAACCTGCCTGTGTATCTCTGAGCAGTCTCTTCGCTAGTGCTGGAGACAGCCAGCTCTTTTCTTGGTCCTAAAGTAAGGCTCATTATCTATCAGCCATGTTGGTAACTAAATCAACATCCTCCTGTGTCCCCAGGAGCCTTTCGAGCATGAGTCATTGCTCTTGAACCGAAAGGATCACAAGCTAACCAAGGCTGAGAAAAAAGCAGCAAAGAAAAGCTATGAGGAAGACAAACGCACATCAGTCCCCTATACCCGCCCATCGTATGCGCAGTATTACCCTGCCAGCGATCAGAGCCTGACCAGCATCCCCGCCTTCAGCCAGAGAAACTGGTGAGTTGCTGAAAGGGGAGGGTCTGCTGCTGGGCCAGGCACAAACACCTTTCAACTTGTTCATATTTTAAATAAAGGCAGAGCCTACAACTTGTTCCTTGACTGCTGTGAATTGACAGGCTCTGCTCTAGGGTAGGTGTGAAAGCAGTTCAGTAGCCCTGGTGTTTTAAATGGTTCTGGTTTTGACTGCCCTAGCTGGAAAAGTGAGCTGCTGGCCCGTGACCCAGGAGAGTCTTTCTGGACACCTGGGTAGGAGACGGGGATAAAGCTTCCCAGAAAGAGGCCCAGCCATTCCACACAGGTGCATCTGACCCCTAGCACCTTAGTCCTAGGCCTCACTTAGAAGTGGTGTTCAAGGATGAAGGCTCTGTTCCCTTGGATTACAGTCAGGGAATCCTGCTGCTCCTAAGGGGATTCCATTCTGTGTCTGTGCCATGATCTGGAACCAAAAAATCTCTTTTTTGAGTATAACATCTAGACTTGTTCAGAATATTAACAGAATAGAAGCCAAGTGCTAAGCAGTGAGAGAGGCTCCTTGTAAGATATTATAGAACAGTTATCTAGGTTTAATTTTTTTTTTTTAATTTCAAGACAGTGCCTCACAGCTCTCACCCTCCACTTACTGATCAGATCTGCTACCTGATTCAGTAGTTTGCATTTTTAATTATTTGATTATCTTGAATTAAAAATAATTATTTTATTTGATGGGAACAGATTTAAATTTTCTCTTTCTTTTTTTGTGACAGGGTGTCACTCTGTTGCCTAGGCTGGAGTGCAGTGGTGCGATCACAGCTTCCTGCAGCCTCGACCTGCTGGGCTCAGGTGATCCTCACACCTCAGCCTCCCAAGTAGCTGGGATTACAGGTGTGCATCACCATGCCTGGCTAATTAAAAAAACTTTTTTGGCTGGGCACAGTGGCTCACGCCTGTAATCCCAGCAATTTGGGAGGTCTAGGCGGGCAGATCACCTGAGGTCGGGAGTTCAAAATCAGCTTTTCCAACATGGAGAAACCCCCATCTCTACTAAAAATACAAAAATTAGCCAGGTGTGGTGCTGTGTGCCTGTAATCCCAGCTACTCGGGAGGCTGAGGCAGGAGAATTGCTTGAATCTGGGAGGCAGAGGTTGTGGTGAGCCGAGATCGCGCCATTGCACTTCAGCCTGGGCAACAAGAGCAAAACTCCGTCTCAAAAAAAAATTTTTTTTTCTTTTAGTCGAGATGAGGTCTCACTATGTTGCTCAGACTGGTCTTGAACTCCTGGGCTCAAGTGATCCTTCCATATCAGCCTCCCAAAATGTTGTCATTACAGGTGTGAGCCACCATGCCCAGCCTAAAATTTTTTTCCTTACTAAGACTCTCATGTTAAAAACAAACAAGCTGCAGCTCCCACTGTGATCGACACAGAAGACAGGTGATTTCTGCATTTCCAACTGAGGTACCTGATTCATCTCACTGGGACTGGTTAGACAATGGGTGCAGCCCACAGAGGGCGAGCCGAAGCAGGGTGGGGCATCACGTCACCTGGGAAGCTCAAGGGGTCTGGGGATTTTCCTTTCCTAGCCAAGGGAAGCCATGACAGACTGTACCTGGAAAATCGGGACACTGCCACCCAAATACTGCGCTTTTCCAACGGTCTTAGCAAACGGCACACCAGGAGATTATATCCCGCACCTGTCTCAGTGGGTCCCACACCCACGGAGCCTTGCTCACTGCTAGTGCAGCAGTCCAAGATCAAACTGCAAGGCAGCAGCCTGGCTGGGGGAGAGGTGTCTGCCATTGCTGAGGCTTGAGTAGGTAAACAAAGCAGCCCAGAAGCTCCAACTGGGTGGAGCCCACTGTAGCTCAACCAGGCCTGCCTGCCTCTGTAGATTCCACCTCTGGGGGCAGGGCATAGCTGAACAAAAGGCAGCAGAAACTTCTGCAGACTTAAATGTTCCCCGTCTGACAGCTCTGAAGAGAGCAGTGGTTCTCCCAGCACGAAGTTTGAGCTCTGAGAATGGACAGTCTGCCTCCTCAAGTGGGTCCCTGACCCCCATGTAGCCTAACTGGGAGACACTTCCCAGTAGGGGCCGACTGACACCTCATACAGCCGGGTGCCCCTCTGAGACGAAGCTTCCAGAGGAAGGATCAGGCAGCAATATTTGCTGTTCTGCAGCCTCTGCTGGTGATACTCAGGCAAACAGGGTTTGGAGTGGACCTCCAGCAAACTCCAACAGACCTGCAGCTGAGGGACCTGACTGTTAGAAGGAAAACTACAGAAAGGAATAGCATCAACATCAACAGAAAGGACATCAACACCAAAACCCCATCTGTAGGTCACCATCATCAAAGACCAAAGGTAGATAAAACCACAAAGATGGGGAGAAACCAGAGCAGAAAAGCTGAAAATTCTAAAAACCAGAGCACCTCTTCTCCTCCAAAGGATCACAGCTCCTTGCCAGCAACAGAACAAAGCTGGACGGAGAATGACTTTGACGAGTTGACAGAAGCAGGCTTCTGAAGGTCAGTGGTAACAAACTTCTCCAAGCTAAAAGAGGATGTTCAAACCCATTGCAAGGAAGCTAAAAACCTTGAAAAAAGATTAGACAAATGGCTAACTAGAATAAACAGTGTAGAGAAGACCTTAAATGACCTGATGGAGCTGAAAACCATGGCACGAGAACTACATGACACATGCATAAGCTTCAGTAGCCAATTCAATCAAGCAGAAGAAAGTGTATCAGTGATTGAAGATCAAATGAATGAAATGCGGTGAGAAAAGTTTAGAGAAAAAAGAGTAAAAAGAAACGAACAAAGGCTCCAAGAAATATGGGACTATGTGAAAAGACCAAATCTACGTTTGATTGGTGTACCTGAAAGTGACAGAATGGAACCAAGCTGGAAAACACTCTTCAGGATATTATCCAGGAGAACTTCCCCAACCTAGCAAGGCAGGCCAACATTCAAATTCAGGAAATACAGAGAACACCACAAAGATACTCTTCGAGAAGAGCAACCCCAAGACACATAATTGTCAGATTCACCAAGGTTGAAAGGAAGGAAAAAATGTTAAGGGCAGCCAGAGAGAAAGGTCGGGTTACCCACAAAGGGAAGCCCATCAGACTAACAGTGGATCTCTTGGCAGAAACTCTACAAGCCAGAAGAGAGTGGGGGCCAATATTCAACATTCTTAATGAAAAGAATTTTCAACCCAGAATTTCATATCCAGCCAAACTAAGCTTCATAAGTGAAGGAGAAATAAAATCCTCAAATGCTGAGAGATTTGTCACCACCAGGCCTACCTTAAGAGACCTCCTGAAGGAAGCACTAAACATGGAAAGGAACAACCGGTACCAGCCACTGCAAAGACATGCCAAATTGTAAAGACCATTGATGCTAGGAAGAAACTGCATCAACTAACGAGCAAAATAACCAGCAAACATCATAATGATAGGATCAAATTCACACATAACAATATTAACTTTAAATGTAAATGGGCTAAATGCCCCAGTTAAAAGACACAGACTGGCAAATTGGATAAAGAGTCAACACCCATCAGTGTGCTGTATTCAGGAGACCCATCTCACGTGCAGAGACACACAGAAGCTCAAAATAAAGGGATGGAGGAAGACCTGCCAAGCAAATGGAAAGTAAAAAAAAGCAGAGGTTGCAATCCTAGTCGCTATTAAAATAGACTTCAAACCATCAAAGATCAAAGGAGACAAAGAAGGCCATTAGACAATGGTAAAGGAATCAATGCAACAAGAAGAGCTAACTATGCTAAATATATATGCACCCAATACAGGAGCACCCAGATTCATAAAGCAAGTCCTTAGAGACCTACAAAGAGACTTAGACTCCCACACAATAATAATGGGAGACTTTAACACCCCACTGTCAAGATTAGACAGATCAACGAGACAGAAGGTTAGCAAGGATATCCAGGACTTGAACTCAGCTCTGGACCAAGCAGACCTAATAGACATCTACAGAATTCTCCACCCCAAATCAATAGAATACACATTCTTCTCAGCACCACATTGCACTTATTCCAAAATTGACCACGTAGTTGGAAGTAAAGCACTCCTCAGCAAATGTAAAAGAACAGAAATCAAAACAAACTGTCTCTCAGACCACAGTGCAATCAAATTAGAACTCAGGATTAAAAAACTCACTCAAAACCACACAACTACATGAAAACTGAACAACCTGCTCCTGAATGACTACTGGGTAAGTAATGAAATGAAGGCAGAAATAAAGATGTTCTTTGAAACCAAAGAGAACAAAGACACAACGTACCAGAATATCTGGGACACATTTAAAGTAATGTGTAGAGGGATATTTATAGCACTAAATGCCCACAAGAGAAAGCAGGAAATATCTAAAATCAACACCCTAACATCCCAATTAAAAGAAATAGAGAAGCAAGAGCAAACAAATTCAAAAGCTAGCAGAAGGCAAGAATAACTGAGATCAGAGCAGAACTAAAGGAGATAGAGACACAAAAAACCCTTCAAAAAGTCAATGAATTCAGGAGCTGGTTTTTTGAAAAGAGCAACAAAATAGATAGAACACTAGCAAGACTAAGAAAGAAGAAAAGAGAGAAGAATCAAATAGATGCAATAAAAAATGATAAAGGGGATATCACCACTGATCCTACGGAAATACAAACTAGCATCAGAGAATACTCTAAACACCTCTATGCAAATAAACTAGAAAATCTAGAGGAAATGGATAAATTCCTGCACCCATATACCCTCCCAAGACTAAACCAGAAAGAAGTTGAATCCCTGAATAGACCAACAACAGGCTCTGAAATTGAGGCAATAATTAATAGCCTGCCAACCAAAAAAAGTCCAGGACCAGATGGATTCAGAGCTGAATTCTACCAGAGGTACAAAGAGGAGCTGGTACCATTCCTTCTGAAACTATGCCAATCAATAGAAAAAGAGGAAATTCTCCCTCACTCATTTTATGAGGCCAGCATCATCCTGATACCAAAGCCTGGCAGAGACACAACAAAAAAAGAGAATTTTAGACCAATATCCCTGATGAACATCGATGTGAAAATCCTCAATAATATACTGGCAAACAGAATCTAACAGCATATCAAAAAGCTTATCCACCAAGATCAAGTTGGCTTCATCCCTGTGATGCAAGGCTGGTTCAACATATGCAGATCAATAAATGTAATCCATCACATAAACAGAACCAAAGACAAAAACCACATGATTATCTCAATAGATGCAGAAAAGGCATTCGACAAAATTCAACAGCCCCTCATGCTAAAAGCTCTCAGTAAACTAGGTATTGATGGAACGTATCTCAAAATAATAAGAGCTATTTGTGACAAACCCACAGCCAATATCATACTGAATGGGCAAACACTGGAAGCCTTCCCTTTGAAAACTGGCACAAGACTGGGATGCTCTCTCTCACCACTCCTATTCAACATAGTGTTGGAAGTTCTGGCCAGGGCAATCAGGCCAGAGAAAGAAATAAAGGGTATTCAATTAGGAAAAGAGGAAGTCAAATTGTCCCTATTTGCAGATGACATGATTGTATATTTAGAAAACCCCATTGTCTCAGCCCAAAATCTCCTTAAGCTGATAAGCAACTTCAGCAAAGTCTCAGGGTACAATATCAGTGTGCAAAAATCACAAGCATTCCTATACACCAATAACAGACAGAGAGCCAAATCATGAGTGAACTCCCATTCACAATTGCTTCAAAGAGAATAAAATACCTAGGAATCCAACTTACAAGGGATGTGAAGGACCTCTTCAAGGAGAACTATAAACCACTGCTCAACAAATAAAAGAGGACACAAACAAATAGAAGAACATTCCATGCTCAGAGATAGGAAGAATCAACATCGTGAAAATGGCCATACTGCCCAAGGTAATTTATAGATTCAATGCCATCCCCATCAAGCTACCAACGACTTTCTTCACAGAACTGGAAAAAACTAAAGTTCATATGGAACCAAAAAAGAGCCTGCATTGCCAAGACAATCCTAAGCCAAAAGAACAAAGCTGGAGGCATCATGCTACCTGACTTCAAACTATACTACAAGGCTACGGTAACCAAAACAGCATGGTACTGGTACCAAAACCAAAATATAGACCAATGGAACAGAATAGAGCCCTCAGAAATAACACCACACGTCTACAACCATCTGATCTTTGACAAACCTGAACAGAAACAAGAAATGGGGAAAGGATTCCCTATTTAATAAATGGTGCTGGAAAAACTGGCTAGCCATATGTAGAAAGCTGAAACTGGATCCCTTCCTTACACCTTATACAAAAATCAATTCAAGATGGATTAAAGACTTAAATGTTAGACCTAAAATCATAAAAACCCTAGATGAAAACCTAGGCAATACCATTCAGGACATAGGCATGGGCAAGGACTTCATGACTAAAACACCAAAAGTAATGGCAATAAAAGCCAAAATAGACAAATGGGATCTAATTAAACTAAAGAGATTCTGCACAGCAAAAGAAACTACCATCAGAGTGAACAGGCAACCTACAGAGTGGGAGAAAATTTTTGCAAACTACCCATCTGACAAAGGGCTAATATCCAGAATCCACAAAGAACTTAAACAAATTTACAAGAAAAAATCAAACAACCCCATCAAAAAGTGGTTAAAGGATATGAACAAACACTTTTCAAAAGAAGACATTTAGGCAGCCAACAGACACATGAAAAAAATGTTCATCATCACTGGCCATCAGAGAAATGCAAATCAAAACCGCAATGAGATACCATCTCACACCAGTTAGAATGGTGATCATTAAAAAGTCAGGAAACAACAGGTGCTGGAGAGAATGTGGAGAAATAGGAACACTTTTACACTGTTGGTGGGACTGTAAACTAGTTCAACCATTGTGGAAGACAGTGTGGTGATTCCTCAAGGATCTAGAACTAGAAATACCATTTGACCCAGCCATCCCATTACTGGGTATATACCCAAAGGATTATAAATCATGCTACTATAAAGACACATGCACATGTATGTTTATTGCGGCACTATTCACAATAGCAAAGACTTGGAACCAACCCAGATGTCCATCAATGATAGACTGAATTAAGAAAATGTGGCACATACACACCATGGAATACTATGCAGCCATAAAAAAGGATGAGTTCATGTCCTTTGTAGGGACATGGATGAAGCTGGAAACCACCATTCTCAGCAAACTATCACAAGGACAGAAAACCAAACACTGCATGTTCTCACTCATAGGTGGGAATTGAACAATGAGAACACGTGGACACAGGAAGGGGAACATCACACACTGGGGCCTGGCATGGTGTGGGGGGATGGGGGAGGGATAGCATTAGGAGAAATACCTAATGTTAAATGACGAGTTAATGGGTGCAGCATACCAACATGGCACATGTATACATACGTAACAACCCTACACGTTGTGCATGTGTACCCTGGAACTTAAAGTATAATAAAATTCAAACAAACAAAAAAACTTGACAAATGAGGTTCCAAAGGAAATTTTGGAAAACTTGCCAAATAAGTCTCATGTAAGGTTTTAGGTAAGACATTGACTTTTATGAGTGGATTTGTTGTCTTTTTTGGGGGTGGGGTACAGAGTCTCTGTTGCCCAGGCTGGAGTGTAATGGTGTGATCTCGGCTCACTGCAACCTTCGCTTCCTGGGTTCAAGCAGTTCTCCTCCCCTAGCTACCCAAGTAGCTGGGATTATAGGTGCACACCACCACGCGTGGCTAATTTTTTGTATTTTTAGTAGAGACTGTGTTTCACCATGTTGGCCAGGCTGGTCTTGAATTCCTGACCACAGGTGATCCACCTGCCTCGGCCTCCCAAGGTGCTGAGATTACAGACATAAGCCATCATGCCCGGCCATTTGTTGCTGTTTGTATAGCAAATTGAAGATACTTTTAAGTAGAAAGTCACTTTCTTACTAGACATGGTGGCACATACCTGTAGTCCCAGCCTCTTGGGAGGCTGAGGTGGGAGAATCGCTTGAGTCCAGGAATTGGAGACCAGCCTTGGCAACATAGTGGGACTCAATCTCAAAAGAGAAAGTCACTCTCTTTCAAAACTTTCAGGCTTTATTTCTGTCATTTCCCAAGATAGTATTGCTCAGGAATGGTCTCTTCTCTTTTCCTCCACCCATTCCTCCCTCTTTTTTTTCCCCCTCTTTTTTGGGCTTTTCTGTGTAACCTCAGGAGTGGACTAAACCTGAGCCCAGTGAGAGAAAAGCCACATGGAGAGAAGATGTGACAAATGGTCCAGACTAGCTATAAGGAGATGTCAGCTTTGTTTCTGGCTTAGCTCTGGCCCTGTGGGGGCACCAACTTCTCACAGCATTTGATGAGTTCATGATCCTGCTGAGTTTTTTTAATCCACATGGGTACATGTGAGGAATACTTCTTACCCAAATTCTTAGTCTTAGCCCCTGCAGGGTATGCGGCTTGGGCTGGGTTTCTGTTACATTGATACCTGACCAGGGCCTCTAACTCCTGCCAAACCATCCTAGGAAGACACTGGGGAAACAGGCCAGATAGCACAGGTCTGGGGCCCATCTGGGAACTTGGAGGTCCACAGGGACCAAGGGGCTGACCAAAGGGGCCTTTAAAAACCTAAGAGCAATGTGATTGAGGCATCATGCAGACCAGCTCCAACAGCAGAGTGGTATAAAAGTGTTATTTTATGTGCCAATCTTCAGTCAGATGAGGAAGAACATAACAGTCTTAAGGGTTTTTTTTTTTCCCCCTCCAGGCCCAAAGACGAAAGATGCAGACTTCAGAAAGCTTGTAGACAGGGACTTTTCAAAAATCTTAAATCAGTAGAAGCCTGGCTTTTGTACACACTGCTTTGGTGGCTGCTGCTTTTGTTGTTGTCATGACTGGAGGGGCACTTTGAGGGTTGTTCCAGGCTGGAGCTAGGAAGAACTCAATGAAAAGTAATACAGAAGAGAGAGAGAGGTGTCTGTATTACTTATTGAGACTCAAGGTTTCAGAGAGAAAGTAAAGATGTTTAAAGTTGGAACAGACTATTTTTTAGGATCACCTAAACGTGTCGTTACATGGCCCTTTTTCCGTGGGTGAGTGGGGAAAATTCTGCCCATCTCAACTTAACATACGCTGTGGTCTGGTGAACTTTTCCTGCCTTATTGCATCTTGACAGCTTCCTGACTTCCCTTTAGGGACTAACTCCTAATGTAGATAGTCCAGGTTCTAGAGGAGCAAATATTGTCTCCCATCTCCAGAAAGTATTATTCCACCAACATCTGATTCTCCTTAGACTTTGACAGACTTTATCCCTCTGCCTCTTTTGCTGCAACTGAGTCCTGCCTTCTAGTCTCCTTTTGAATTGACCAGACCCTGCAGATTCTTCTGATCCTTCTCTGAGCATCAACTGATGGTGTAGAATGGGGCAGCCTAGAAAGGCTCTGTAGCCTTTGGAAAAGGTAACAGTTGTTCTGCCAAACTCTTTTAGTGTCCTTGTCTTTCTCTTACAGGCAGCCAACTTTGAAGGGTGATGAAAAGCCTGTGGCCAGTGTTCGTCCTGTGCAGTCCACCCCCATCCCCATGATGCCCCGGCATGTCCCATTGGGAGGAAGTGTAAGCTCTGCCTCCAGCACAAATCCATCCATGAACTTTCCCATCAACTACTTGCAGCGTGCAGGAGTCCTTGTGCAGAAGGTGGTCACCACGACAGGTGGGAACTCCTGGGCTCTGTGGCAGAGCTGCTGTCCCTTTTAAAATTACTTTGTTCATTTAGGAAGTATCTATTAAACACCTTTTGTATTTCTGGCCTTACTACATTTGGCACTCTTGGTAAAAAATAGGGAAGACAACAGTCCCTGGTCTTGAGGAATTTGGATTCTAGTGAAATATCTTAAGAATAACAACACATAACTGGGTTTTCTTGGGTTTGGTGGGTGAGATAGACTCTGAGCACTGCAGGAATTGTGGAAATGTCACTGGAATACAGGGTTGGTCTCAGGTTCTTATAGAGGTGTGAATATGCTGAGCCCTGCCTGATTGTAGACCCATCTGGGTATAAAAGACAGCTGTCAACCTTTGTACATAATGAGAAGACCTGAATTGTCACTTGCGTCTACCTTTGCGAGTTTGATATAAATTGAGCATGGTGGGCCAGTCAGCAGTGGTGGCAGGTAGCCAACCCATCCACTCCAGGAGCTGGTTCTGTGATTCAGTGTGATTAGGAAGGAAAACATTTTGTGATCCTGTTTTTTATCTTGTTATTTAGCAATATTTATAATATATAAATTGATTATTATTTTTTTTTTTGGAGACAGAGTCTTGCTTTGTCACTCAGGCTGGAGTGCATGATCTTGGCTCGCTGCACTCCTGGGCTCAAGCGATTCTCCCGCCTCAGCCTCCCGAGTTGCTGGAATTACAGGCGTGTGCCACTATGCCCGGTGAACTTTTTTGTATTTTAATAGAGATGGGGTTTCACCATGTTGCCCAGGCTGGTTTCGAACTCCTGAGCTCAGGCAATCCACCCGCCTTGGCCTCCCACAGTGCTGGGATTACAGGTGTGAGCCATTGCACCCGGCCAATATATAAATTTTAATGAAAATATCTTAATTGATTTTTCTAAGTAAAAAATTTGAAACACATGAAAAGAAAAAGAGAGCGCCATATAATTCTATTATCTACTAATTCTTGAAAATACTGTTTCCCAGGTGTGGGGTAATGCCAGCAAGGAAGAAGATTAGGCCATTTTTGGAGCCTAAAGTGATGTGGCGCAGATGCGTGCAAACAGTTTGGGGAAGAGGAAAAAAATGCATAGAAACAACCATCTAAACTAAAACATTTTTCACACCAAAAACTATGAATTTCTAATTAAATAAAGGGAAATTGATTGCAACGATGACCAGCTCAGATTTCTGACAAAGTTCCTGTTTTCATAGTATTCTTTGTTTAGATAATTGTGAAAGATCCTGCTTGCTTCACCTTCCTTGGTTCTGGACCTCTGCCCCACTGAGAGGCTGTAGGGAAACCAATGAAGAACTGGGGTAGATGTGGGACTTTGCAATTTTCCCCCCTCCTTCAGTCAGGCCCCGTGCAATCTAAATTTAAGATCTGTGTTTTTCCTAGATATTGTTATTCCTGGACTCAACAGCTCCACAGATGTACAGGCAAGAATTAATGCTGGTGAGAGCATCCACATCATCCGTGGGACAAAAGGTAAGAGCCTGACCAAGGACCTGTTCCCTGCCTTTGGTTGAGAGTGCTGGGCTGGGAAGAAGAATAAATACATATGACTTGAGCTAGACGGGTCATAGGAATCATCCCATTAGGATGTCACATTCCGGAACTGAATGAGAAAATAGCATTTGTAGGAGCTTAGGGGAGTTGGGTTGAGCCCATAGGGTATTAGTCAGTGGTTTAAAAGAAGGAAATTAGGGTCCCTACATTTCTCTATCTTGCTGTCTTTTTTTTTTTTTTTTTTTTTTTTTTTGAGATGGAGTCTTGCTCTGTCGCCAGGCTGGAGTGCAGTTGCGTGATCTCGGCTCACTGCAACCTCCACCTCCCAGGTTCAAGCAATTCTTCAGCCTCAGCCTCCCAAGTAGCTGGGACTACAGGCATGCGCCACCACGCACAGCTGATTTTTGTACTTTTTTTTTTTTTAGTAGAGATGGGGTTTCATTATGTTGGCCAGGATGGTCTCGATTTCTTGACCTCATGATCCGCCCACCTGGGCCTCCCAACGTGCCGGGATTACAGGCGTGAGCCACCGTACCCGGCCCTTACTGTCATTTTTATGAGAATCTTGGGATGGGACAAGTAGACACAAGGAGACCAAAATTGGAGGGAAAGAGCGGTGGAATGGGTTATAAGCCTACATACATTTACCCACTTGCTTGGAGCAGGGTGGGGGTCCCCTGATAGGATATGTATTATGTGGATGAATTACACATGGGTTGCATGATAGAATTTTTGCATATGGTAATTTAAAAAGTCCACATCTGCCTCTGTCCTCCTTTCAGAGGGATATGAGATTGGTGGAATAAAAAAGCTGGGCTAAACAGTATTGAGACACAATCTAAGCCTGTTTTTTTCCCCTCTTTTCTGCACCCACGTCTTCTATCCAAGCCTGTTTTACATATTAGCCTTTAAATAAGCCCCATGATTGTGTGAGGCTCTTTGAGACTTTTTGTTCAGTAAGGAGATTTTGCCCTAGCTTCTATTGGGTTAGAGTACCTTTGAGGTTAGGGAAAAAGTGCCATGAAATACCCAGACTCATAGAAAACACCATTCCCAGCCTCCTTACTGGATTCTTCCTAGTCTAGAACCCAGCCCCCTTTACTGCTGTCTTCCTAGTTTATAGCTGGGGTCACCAAACTCTATGCCCCATGGGTCAAATCTAGCCTGCTACCTGTTATAATATCTGCGAGATAAGAATGGGTTTAACATTTTCAATTGGTTGGAAAAAAAAATCAAAAGAGTAATATTTTGTGACGTGAAATTATATGAATTTCACATTTCAGTGTCCATAAAGATTTTTTGGAGTACAGTCATGCCACGCTATTTTTGTGTTACAGCAGCAGAATTGAGGAGTTACAATAGAGACCTTATGGCTTATAAAGCTCTTACAAAAACCATCCGGCTCTTGTTTTTTTTTTTTTTTTTTTTTTTTTGAGGCAGAGTCTCGCTCTGTTGCCCAGGCTGGAGTGCAGTGGTGTGATCTCGGCTCACTGTGAGCTCCACCTCCCGGGTTCATGCCATTCTCCTGCCTCAGCCTCCCGAGTAGCTGGGACTACAGGCGCCCACCACCACGCCCGGCTAATTTTTTGTATTTTTAGTAGAGATGGGGTTTCACCGTGTTAGCCAGGATGGTCTCAATCTCCTGACCTTGTGATCCACCCGCCTCGGCCTCCCAAAATGCTGGGATTACAGGCGTGAGCCACTGTGCCCGGCCCAAAAACTATCTGGCTCTTGTAAAAAAGTTTGCTAACTCCTGGCCTAAAGGCAGCACTGACATTCGAGGAGGTTGATCAAATGACATACCCAAGGCTGAAGAGAAGATAGATTAGTGCCTTGTGGGAATAGAATGCAGGTCTTTCTTGAATTATTCCTACTAGGGGAGAGAGGATATTGAAGCAGTAAGGCTCCTTCCTCGCAGATCAAGAGGAGAACCTGGGCCAGAGTGCCTGGGAACATAGGATTCCAACTTACTCTCTTTTGTAGCACCTTATTTGCTTCTCCATTGCATTGAACCCTTCCTGATATTTTCTGGTATAAGTCTCTGTCTCCCTCTCTAGAGACTAAGCTCCATGAGACAGGGCCTTTTTCTGCCTTGTGCCTTCTAGTGTCTAGAACAGTGCCTGGCACATGGTAGTCATGTAATCAATGCTTGTGAAATAAATGAATAATTATGAGTCCATAGCTCAGTCACCCCACTTCTTATTTCAGGGGTCTTGGGAGATGGTATACCTAATTGTATAGCTATTTACAAGCCCACGGCGCACAGCCTGGAGTTTCCCAGGGTTGGCTGTATTATATGTCTGCCTCTAACTGTCTTCTTCGTGTCTATTCTTAGGGACGTACATCCGTACCAGTGATGGACGGATCTTTGCTGTCCGGGCAACTGGCAAACCAAAGGTTCCTGAAGATGGTCGGATGGCTGCCTCAGGTGTGATGGCTTTTACTTTCCATTTTACTTTTCAAACAACATTTGTTTGCTTTGTTTTGGTTAGGTATTAACTTATTATGTGAATAGATAATATGTACATGGTTCACAATTCAGAGTGTACAGAAAGAGGTAAAGTGAAAAGTAAGTATTTTTGTGTGGTTTTTTTTTTTGTTTCTTTTTGTTTGTTTGTTTGGTTTATTTTTTGTTTGAGACAGGGTCTCGCTCTGTCGCCCAGGCTGGAGTGCAGTGGCTCGATCTTGGCTCACTGCAAGCTCTGCCTCCTGGGTTCATGCCGTTCTCCTGCCTCAGCCTCCCGAGTAGCTGAGACTACAGGCGCCCGCCACCACACCTGGCTAATTTTTTTTTGTATTTTTAGTAGAGACGGCTTTTCACCGTGTTAGCCAGGATGGTCTTGATCTCCTGACCTCGTGATCCGCCCGCCTCAGCCTCCCAAAATGCTGGGATTACAGGCATGAGCCACCGCGCCCAGCCTTTTTGTTTTGTTTTTTTTGTTTTTTTTTGAGACAGAGTCTCGCTCTGTTGCCCAGGCTGGAGTGCAATGGTGCAATCTCGGCTCACTGCAACCTCCTCCTCCCAGGTTCAAGTGATTCTCCCGCCTCAGCCTCCTGAGTAGCTGAGATTACAGAAGCATGCCACCACGCCCAGCTAACTTTTGTATTTTTAGTAGAGATTGGGTTTCACCATGTTGATCAGGCTGGTCTCGAACTCCTGACCTCGGGATCCGCCTGCCTCGGCCTCCCAAAGTGCTGGGATTACAGGTGTGAGCCACCACGCCAGGCCATAAGTTTCTCCTCCACCATGGTCGCAGACATCCATTGCTCCTCCTTTTTTTGAGACAGAGTCTCGTTCTGTCACCCAGGCTGGAGTGCAGCAGTGCAATCTCAGCTCACTGCAACCTCCGCCTCCCGGGTTCAAACGATTCTTCTGACTCAGCCTCCCGATTAGCTGATTAGCTGGGATTACAGGTGCGTGCCACCACGCCCAGCTAATTTTTGCATTTTTTGTAGAGATGGGGTTTCACCATGTTGCCTAGGCTGGTCTCGAACTCCTGACCTCAAGTGATCCACTCACCTCGGTCTTCCAAAGTGCTGGTATTACAGGTGTGAGCCACCATGCCCAGCCAATTTTCTTTGTTTTTTTAAAACAAATGCTAACATACCATAAAATACTATTTACTCCTTTTTTCACTCACCAGTAATAGTTTATTCCTTATCATTTCTTCTAGATATGTCTTCTTGAAGGTTCGCACAGGATGAGCTGTAACACAATGTATTAATTAGTTCCCTGTCAACATACATTTTGATTATTTTACTCCACCATCACTGACAGTGCTTTTTCACAGAGGTGGTTATATCTATAGGATATGTTCCTTAAAGTGGGATTGCCAGGTCAAAGGGTATATGTGTGGCACATGAACAGTGTTAAGAACTCTTGCCAAGTTCCCCTCAGTGGGAGTGGTTCTCATTTATCCTCCCACCCCTGAGCTAGAATGCTAGAGGGCTAGAATGCTCTTGTTCCCTGCTTTGTATTATGGAAATTTCAAATTTTCATACATACAGAAAAGTTGAAAAATAGCACCATGAGCACCCATATACCCTGCACCTAGATTTAATGATGGTTAGTTTTCATAAACCTTCTTCTTTCTCTCCCTCCCTTTCTATTATTTGAGTCATTCGTAAGTCGAAGATATATGTCATGTTTTTCATCATGTCATTTTATCTCTAAGTACTTCAACATGCATCTGCTAAGATTAAAGATATTCTGTTCCTAGCCACAATATCATTATTACACTAAAAAAAGCTAACGATTCCATAAAATTACCTAGTATTCCAAAATTGAGATTTCCCATTTGTCCCAGTTGTCTTCCATAGCTATGGATTTTGTTTTGTTTTCAAATCAGAATGAACTGCTTTTTAGCTTGATTTTCCTCTTTCCCCCACATTGATCACTGACTGTCTCTTACTGCCAGAAAAAGTTTGACTAGTTTTAAGAATGATCTCTTAGTGTTTCATATCCCTTATCTCGTAGGATTCATTTTGGTATAGTTTTACAGTTTGGGGAACTGGGGTGCAGAAAAGTTACATGCCTTGTCATAGATAGACCTATTTCTGGGATCAAAGAATTTCTTTGTGACTGGAAAAGGTTGACTGGGTGATGTTGTTCAGACATCAAACTATTAGAATTTTGGGGACTACAGGACAGGATTTTTTTTAATGGAGTTTTCTCCTCTACCCTTCTTCTCTCCCTGGCCACTCTGATTCTCAGTTAACTACATTTTGTCCCCAGGTTCCCAGGGACCTTCTTGCGAGTCCACAAGCAACGGCAGACACAGTGCCTCATCACCCAAAGCCCCCGACCCTGAGGGGCTGGCCAGGCCCGTCTCTCCTGACAGCCCAGAGATCATCAGTGAGCTTCAGCAGTATGCAGATGTGGCTGCTGCCCGGGAATCCCGTCAGAGCTCCCCAAGCACCAATGCCGCCCTGCCTGGCCCCCCGGCCCAACTTATGGACAGCAGTGCTGTTCCCGGGACAGCTCTCGGAACTGAGCCTCGACTAGGGGGTCATTGCCTCAATAGTTCCCTCTTGGTGACTGGCCAGCCCTGTGGTGACAGGCACCCAGTGCTGGACTTAAGGGGCCACAAGCGAAAGTTGGCCACACCACCTGCTGCCCAGGAGTCATCCCGCCGGCGGTCCAGGAAGGGTCATCTGCCAGCCCCCGTGCAGCCGTATGAACACGGGTATCCAGTCTCTGGCGGGTTTGCCATGCCACCCGTCTCCTTAAACCATAACCTCACCACCCCCTTCACCTCCCAGGCTGGGGAGAACTCCCTGTTTATGGGCAGTACCCCCTCCTACTACCAGCTGTCCAATTTGCTGGCAGATGCCCGCCTGGTGTTTCCAGTGACTACTGACCCTCTGGTGCCAGCAGGCCCCGTCAGTTCCTCTTCCACGGCTACCTCAGTCACTGCCAGCAACCCCTCCTTCATGCTCAACCCTTCTGTGCCAGGGATACTACCCAGCTATTCACTCCCATTCTCACAGCCACTCCTGTCCGAGCCGAGGATGTTTGCGCCTTTTCCTTCCCCTGTCTTGCCCAGCAACCTTTCGCGGGGCATGTCTATCTATCCAGGCTACATGTCCCCACATGCAGGCTACCCAGCTGGTGGCCTCCTACGGTCCCAGGTGCCTCCATTTGACTCTCATGAGGTTGCCGAGGTTGGGTTCAGCTCCAATGATGATGAGGATAAAGACGATGATGTGATAGAGGTCACTGGGAAATAGCTAGGGAGCCCCTCCCCACCTCACTTGGGGCCCCCAGCAGGTTGCCCACCAAGCTGAAAGGCAGTGATTTAGACCTTTTGAGAATAGGACACTTGGCAGGAGGGAAAAGGAAGAGGACAAAGGAGGGTGGTTGGCCAAAGTGGCAGAGCTCTGTTGCTGTTTAACAAAAGAGGCAAAAAAAAAAAAAAAAAAAAAAAAGTCCAACACAGCAGCAATAGCGGGAAATCAGGGACCCAAAACAGGGATGGAGGGGCAGTGCAGCCTCTTTTCCTTCCTGCCTTGCTTATGCTGTCTGCTTGCTTGCTCGCCCATCTGAGTGTAGAAGCGCACATCCCATTTCTGTCTTTGGGAACATTCTTTCCCAAGAGAGCTGCCTTACTAGGTGACTTAGCTTGGCCTGGGGAGGGGAGTGAAGGAAGGGAGAATGAGTGAGAGAAGGAGGGTGGGTAGGGGGAGCAGACTGTGATCCCATGTGAAGTGGGGTCTTTTTAGGGGGTGGGAAGGAAGCTGACCAGGTATGTGTGTTTGTGAGTGTGTGTGTGTATGTTTATTTTGTATGTGTATGTATGGAACAGAGCAGGGGTGAAGGTGGGAGGGGAGGGAGGGAAGAACTAAGAGGGAAACTGAAAAATGAATTTATCTTTCTTTAAATGGAAGTCAGTTTGGTGGTTCATGGCACCTAGTGTGAACATCAGGGTGAGCCCAGAAGAGCCATGGAAATAACAAGTTTCCTTCGGGATGGGTGAAGAGAAGGCCCAGCTAACTCAAGTCCCTGGTATTCAGAGCCACATTTGTGTGAGAATTTGGGGAAATTCATGAGAGAAAATGGGCATTACCAATCTATGTCTCTTAACCCCGGTGGCTATCTCTGAGCAGCTCTCCCTTTCCAGCTTGGAAGGTTGTCTGTGTGCAGAGGCTGGGAGGGAGAAGCACTGCAGTACGTGAATGAAAGGTCGCAGAGTTGTGGCTGGAAAATACATTTTTCACCAGGGTAGAACTGAGCCCCCAGCTGCCTATCCTGGTAGTCTTTTCTGTTCCTTTCCTTCCCCTTTAGAGAGCTCCATGTTAATTTATTTCTTATGGGCAATTATTTATTACTTGGACTTTTCATGTGTCTTGTTTATTTGGGGGTGGGGGGAGGTTAGGGGTAAGGAGGGTAGGTGATAGAAAGGGAAGTTTTAAGATATCCCAGACCCTATAGCCACTGGTGAAAAACAATCCTGGATGGATGGTAAATTGACCAGGGGAAGAGTTAGGTTTGACCAAGGTTTGGATTAAACAACTATATTTTTGAGAGATGGCTTTTCAGGAAGATCAGGGAATCCTGAGACTGGATAGTTAGTGGAGGGTGGGACTCATTCCACAGAAATCGAAAGTTGTGATCATGGAGTTTGCAATTGGGAAGTAAGAGACCCCAGATTTGGAGCTGTGTCCTCCTGGGATGATGTTAGATGTTGGCTCTCTATGCTGAATAGTGAAGCTGTGGATAGGCGGTTGCTGGGTTGAGGGACTGTTGATTTCATGTTCGAAAATATCTTCAGGTGGTCCATGTAGGCCTGGTGTCTGCTGCCTCCATCTTTGAAGGAACATGGAGGAGCCCTTTCTCTGTAGGAGCCCTAAGTCTGGGTTTTATCTTAAAAGAACACACCAGTCATTCTGGGTCTCCCCTTATTGCCATTGCCAGGGGAGGGTCGTCTAGTCCTTAAGCATAAACACTGGCTGTCTTCCTACTGGTGTCCCCGCCCCCTCTGTATCCCCCACCCCAACACTTTGCCAGACAGTTCTTTATGATGAACAAACTTTGGCTTTAGAGCTTTACCACTTACCCATGGCTCCCTCCTTACTGGGCAGGTGGTGTACCTGCCTCTTCCCAGCCCAGAAGGCAGCTTAGTCAGGTCATCCCAGTAGTAGCTCCTACAGCTCTTCTGACCAGCCCATTTCCATCTTTGGAGGGCCTTAGCAGACTCTGGGGTATTGTCCTCAGAGAAGAGACAAGGAGATGATGGATGGGGTGCATGTGTATATGTGTGTTTGTCTGCTGTCCAATAACACCAAAAGTGGAACTTAAGAAGCTTTGTGTTTTCATAAGCACCCTGCCAGACACTTAACTCTTCTACTCATGGAAGCCTTAGATCTACAATTTAGCTATGCAAATTATTTTAATAATTTAAAAATAGCAGTTCCAACCAGTGCTTTCTCTTTCAGATGCATCCCAAGAATGGATGGTGAAGGGACTCAGTTGGAGTGAGCTCTCAGGTTGAGGCTGGTGCAGTAGGAGTGAGCTAGACTGAATCTCCAATTTATGGGACACACTCAGAACCTGGGTTACACTGATGCCTCTCAGGCCCTGGAGCACTGGGATCCCAGAGATGCATGTGTGCATGTGTATGTCTGTGTGTGTGTGTTGTCGGGAGAAGGGGGTAGTATTTCTGTGTTCACTTCTAGGAAATCACTGTACTAGCCTCCAAGAATCCGGAAACCTTCCCAGCCGGGAACTGAAACCATTCCCTGGAGGGATGGGCTTGGCTTTTGAAGTTGACAGAAAGTAAATGGGTATTCTGAGAGGCAGCACATGCCTACTGTCTATCCAGTGTTCCAGGGACTGGGTCTTGCTTCTACTCAGCAGAGGCCATCATTCTGGGAGGCTGACCTGACTAGAGAAGGCTTTCTTTTATATGTGCAGTTTCTATTGTGTAGAGGGGTTGGGGGTGGGATCATGGGAAATTGGAGTGCTACCAGGTCCATGGTTTTTGCTTTTTTTTTTTTTTTTTTTTTTTTTTTTTTTTTTTAAAGAAAATAACCTGAAAACACTTCTGACTTTTCCACTGTCTCTTTATATGTGCTGATAGGCAAATGTGCATGCACACCAAACATAAGCATGTTTGTGAGGGAAGCAGGAAGTATCTCAGAGCCTAAGAACCATGTTTTATAGTTTCTTTGATCATAAACACTTGGTGGTGTCTTCCACCCATTATCCAGGCCTGAGGGGGGCAGGGTGGCTGGTGATAAGAGGGAGGGCAGAAAATCAGGCCTAGGCGTTTTCCCTTACCATTGTCTTCCATGGAATGTTTTCAAGGGCCTCTCAAGCCCCATTCATCTGGTTTAGCCAAGTTCTCAGCCTGGGGAACACAGTACTACTTAATGATTGAGGTTTACCATTTATAGTGATGCTTGATTTCCTTTTCTTAATATATTTGTAGATAAAAATTGAACAGGGACAAAGTAGCTATTTAAGAAAGGAAGTGAACCATGTTGGGTCATATCATTTTCTTTAGATTGGATATCTATGAAGTCCACACCCCTTTGAGTTATGCTTTTTAGGCATCTATCTCATCATCTCCTGATTTAAGGATAATTCTGTCTGGTCCTTGGAGCTCTCTTCCCTAGGAATTAGTGTGTGGAGTCTCTATATGCTTGTGATCCTTGGAGCTCTCTTCCCTAGGAATTAGTGTGTGGAGTCTCTATATGCTTGTGATTCACAACTAAATATGAAATTTCTCAATTCAGGAGCAGGAAGCAAAGTGCTGGGGTACAGTTTTGCAGATTGGTTGAAACACTTAGCCAAACTTAAGTGGCCTGGGTAGGACCATCACTCCCAAAGTTGTCAGCAGAGAAGGGCCCTCTGTGTGAGTCTATTCAAACCTGGCATTGCTCTGAAATTGAGTCCTCATCCCATGGGGAAGGTCTTCTGGGGGCTTTACATTCCTTGTTACTAGTGTTCTGGATATTACCTTCTGCTTCCCACTTCCTTTTTTTTTTTTTTGAGACAGAGTCTTGCTCTGTCACCCAGGCTTGAGTGCAATGGTGTGATCTTGGCTCCGTGCAACCTCCACTCCCGGTTTCAAGCGATCCTCCTGCCTCAGCCTCCCAAGTAGCTGGGATTACAGGTGCACACCACCATGCCCAGCTAATTTGTATATTTTTTAGTAGAGACGGGGTTTCACCACGTTGGCCAGGCTGGCCTTGAACTCCTGACCTCAAGTGATCCACCCTCCTCGGCCTCCCAGTGATGGGATTACAGGCGTGAGCCACTGCTCCTGGCCCCCACTTCCTTTTGATTTCTCAGATCAGTCTTTCCCTTCTGAGCCATGGCCTTCTGTGCACCCAGCTCAGTGGCTCTTCACCCCTAAAACTAAGTGAAGTCATCCTTCCCCAAAAGGACCCCTGGGAGATGTTCTGGCCCTCTGCTGACTACTCCCAGGAATCAGCACCTCAAGGACTATTTGAGAATGTTGTGCTCTCTATTGGTCACCTTGAGACTCCGTTCCCCTGCTGCCAACTCTTCTCTTCTGCCCTGTGTATTCTGCTGTGATCCCCTTAACGGCTTTTCTGTGCTACTAGCTTAGCCCTAGGCCTTTTATGAATACCTGAGTCTTATAACAATGAACTTCTTGAGCAGGCAGTGTCCAACTTCTTTGCTCTTCAGGGACCTGAGTGTGCACCTTTCCCTTTTGCAGGTCTATTTGACATAGTAATCTAGTGTGTTGGGGAGGGGTAGCCAAGCAGGCTGCAGTGTCTGCAATGCAGAGGGCTTGGGGAGGTTTGGGTACTCTCTGCTGCCACTACTGGGATGATATTCAGAAGAGAGAGGACCTCATACTGTGACTGGACCCAGGACCCTCCCTGGAAGAGAGCTCAGCCCAGCTGTGTGTGTGTGTGTGTGTGAGTGTGTGTGTGTGTGTTTGTGTGCTGTGCTCATGTGCACCTGGGTGTAAAATGACTGTTATCTGGTTGTGTTACTCAGGGTGGGCTGGGGACTCACCAGAAGAATCCCCCCCAGCCTGCCCAAGACAGGTTTTTCCCTTGTACCATCTTCAGAGAGGTCAGGGGAAGAGGGTCCAGGTGGGTTAAGGGGGGTCGCTATGGATAACCACTAAGACCAGACTGCTGCCAGGAGGAGTGGGGGATAATGAGGTGGCCCCAGGGTCCTGGCACCTGGCTTTGGTTTTCCGTCTTCTTTCCTCAGGACGCCCCTGAGGCCTGGGACCTGTGCCTGGCTTCGAGGAGCATCTGTGGCTGGGTGATCCAGCTGCTGGTGTGATCATGGGCTTCCCTCCTCTCAGCAGGGCAGGCGCTCCTGCCCCAGAGACTGGGCAACTGGCTGTTTCTATGACGTATTTATTTTTACTTGTGTTTCATGTCACTTTTTTAAAAAAAAGCAAACAGAACAATTGTAAGTCAGTATAACTGCCTATCAGTTTTCTTTATTTCTCTTTTTGTAAAATAAAATTTAAACTCAAGAAGGCAGTGTTGTTTGATCAAGGAATTGTCTGGATAGTTGTTTGGCTGGGTGGTGGTGAAAGGAATAGATCTTAGAACATAGTGGGCTCTGGGATAGCCCTTGGGTGATGAGATAGGCAGGAACAGAAGGAAGACTGATGGCAGGCTCTTTGTTGCAGTGGGGTTCACTGGGCTTTTTCTGCTTTTGTTCACCTGAAGAAGGATGTATTACCAGGCTCCAGGGGAAACAGCAAGCTGACTTCAGAGTGGCTTGAAGCTAGCTGGTCCTCAGCCAAGGCAAGTCCTGCAGGGGCAGCCCTGACTAGACAGTGAGTGGCTGGGGATTGGGCACAATGCCTTCAGAGGGTGGGAGACAGTGTGTCTGTGAGTGGCTGGTGGCAGCGAAAACATTCTTATTGCATGTGTATTCTCTGTCATCCATGTTGGGGAATCTAGCCACTGGCCCACAGAGTTAAACAGAGCTTTGGAGTGTGAGAGGTGGGGGAAAGAAGGGACAGTCTACTCCAGCTTCCTGTTTAATTTCTTCAAGGGGAGGGGCCCTGGGGAAACAATTTTCTGGAAATTTACAAAGAAGGATAGAGAAAGAATCTCTGTAGTGATTCCTTGGACAGAGGAAGGCAAGAGGAGATGAAGGCCAAGTCTGGACTCATGATAGGGGAATCTGTGCTATTGGGAGATAAGATTGGGAGTGGAGGATGGTTGCAGCACATGGCTGGGCGAACAGGTTTCCTCAGACCTGTTACAAGGGGTTGGAATGAAGAAAGTGCCTTGTAGAGTAGGCTGCTGCCTCCTGGTGGCCAGCCGCTGCCTTGCAGGGATCCTGCCAAGGGACCTCACTTGGCACTGTTGGAAGCAGCCTGAGGTGAAGCTGGGCAGGCTGATGTCATGGCCTGCAGCCCCAGTCACCAGCGGACTCTCCTCCCACAAAAGAGGTGCTGAAGCTCCTGAGGCACATGTTGAACTCTGATGTGGGGCTCTAGAGTTCCCCAATCAGGCTAAGGGAAGTGAGCAGAGAGAACAAGATAAAGAATGGGCACTTCCTTATAATGGTTTCCTGGGAAAAGCTCACCACCTTCTGAGAAGCAGGAGAAATGACCACGCAGACCCTGCAGGCAGAGGCTGTCAGTCTCTGAGCCCGGGCCATGGCTGCTCCTTGTGTCAAAGGAAATGCTACCAAGTGTGTAGCCCGCCTGCCTGGGGCACCTAAGCTGAGGGTTTGACCATGTGCTTGATGTTCATAGGTAAAACAACTGCTGCGACCTGCACTGGCCCAGCCCGGAGTGCCTGTGAGGGGCCAGCTGCCTGTTCTGCCAGTTTGCCTAGAGGGCTGGGACAGGCTTGGCCCTGTGGATAAGGTTCAAACTCCCCTGCCTGCGGAAGGAAGAATGTGAAGCAGAGGGAAAGGAAGCTGGGATTTTGACTGTCTCTGTGTGCCCAGCCTGCTCTTTGCTGGTGCAGTAGTGGGATCCACAAGGTGAACCACCCTGTGACTGCTGACTTTTCCCACCACCACCTTCGTGGTGTTCCCATCTGCTGGATCCCCCTCCCAAACATCAGTCCTTGTCAGGATACCAAAGTAGCTCTTGGCCTCGCCGGTCTTGTAGCCAAGCTTATGAGCATAGTTGTCACCTTCCCCACCTCCCACCAAAAGTCCGGGATTTTCACGAGGGGAGCGTTTTATCTTTGGGCCCCTAGAAGAGTGCTTTGTAGTTTGTAGGTCCTCAGAAATTTGAGGTGAAGATTGAACCAATCATCAAGGAGCTTACACTTGACGTGGGAATCACGTAAGTTACCGCTAAACCACAAAGGTAGACCAGCCTCCCACAGCCACAACCTGGGCACTGAGGGAGGAGCCTGGAAGAAGGGCATTCCCATGGAACGTGAACTCCAGGAGGGCAGAACCTTGGTTTTGTTCACTCTATCCCCAGCCCCTAGAACTGTCCTGGCAAGGAGTAATAATAAGTGTTGGATGGATGAATATACTCACGGAAGTGGGAATGGGTGGGTGGAGGCAGGAAGCAGATATTTGCGCTATGCAGAAGTTGGATCCACCAGTTTCTTCCGCGAGCCCAGACTGGGCTTCAGCTTCCTCACCTATGCCTTTCTTGGTTCCCAAGTCTGTTGCGAAGCCACAGTGAGAGAAAGTGGCAGGACTAAAGGTGGTACAAATGCCAGAGGCTGATACTGCTGTGCTGCGCCTCCCTAGGCTGTACAAATTCTCCTCAGCCCCAGCTCCCTGGTCCCCAGCCTGGCCCTCTACTGCGGGCCACTGGGCTGCCTCCCGTACCCGAGCCTGGGCCAGGCTGTCACTGTGGTGCTCCTGCCAACCCAGATGCCCTGGGGTGTTGCTAAATCAACCTCAGCAACCGGATAGTTTGTTGGAGGCGGGAAGGTACGCCGTGGGTTCCGCCGCAGCCAGCGCTGGGGCTAGGCACACGCCCGTTGCCATGGAGACGGGGCGGGGCAGGCCTCCGCCCTCCGGGTCCCGCGCGCACGCGCCCACGGCCACGGCCATGTCCCGCCGCGAGAGGGGGCGGAGCGAGCGTGCGCGGCGGGCGCGCGCAGGCTCCGTAACCGAACCCTGAGCCGCCTGCGCGGATCGGCGTCCGCAGCGGGCGGCTGCTGAGGTGAGGGCCGGGCCAGAGGAGAGGCATACCCACTGGGGCGTAGGTCTGGGACTCCCCCTGTCCGCCCTGGCGCGACCTCAGGACTCTCCGTGTCCCCTCCGTGACCCCCGCGGCCCGGGCCGCTCTTTGCATCTTGTCTTGCCCACAGCTGGCCTCGGCCAGGTCCGAGGGCCTGGATGCGACCTTGGGGCAGCCCCTACTCTTCCGGGCAGCCCACTTCCGCGGCCACCGGTGCAGGGCATGCCCCGGGGCCGTGGAGGTGAGGGAAAGAGGCGCGAGTCGCGTTTTAACTCCGCCCCCGTCCCCCAAGGCCGCGCCTCGCAGCCTGGGCTGCAAACTTTAGCGTCCTTTAAGTTACAGACGTGCGTGGGGCTCCGTGAGGAGGTGGGCGAAGAGAAAGGCTCTGAGTAAATAGGCAAGGCCCGGGGTGAGCAGGGGCTGGAATCCGAAAGTGGGAGGCGGCGGCCCCCCACCCTCCATAGTCCTTCCGCCCTCTGCTAGCACCGAAGTTTAGCCCAGGACGGGGGCCGTTTAAGGGCCCGGCCCTCCGCCGCCGCGCACGTGAGCGGCACCAGGAAGCTGGCTGGGCGCAGCCTTCCCTGAGGCTCGCTGGCACCGGCCGCACGCGTCCATCCCGGGCCTCTGAGCGGAGGGGGAGCCGAGGCTAGAGGGAGGGCGCAGTCTGCCCAAGGTCAGCGGCAGCGGCAGTTTCTGGGCGCCAAGTGTGATTGGAGTACTCCAGGAAGAGGGGCGTGACCAGAGCTCTAGCGAAGAGACCTGACATTGTAAAGCTAGGTTTGGCTTCTGATTTCCACAGGGGGTTTGAGAATGGGACGAGGGTGCTTTAGAGGGACCGGTAGGCTTTCCCTGAGGACGGTAATCAGGGCATGATGGTTGGCTCAGTGGTTATTTCCTGGGCAGGGGTGACTGTTCTTTCAGCTCCCAGCACTGGAGCGCTCGGCCCCTGCCGCACTGGATGCCAGCAGTTACTAAAAGTGAGCCTGGCATTTCAGGTGAGCTCCCAGACCTTCTTCCTTTTCTCTTGAATATAGGGGAAATTCACGTTACCTCTCCACGTGCCGACCAAGGCTCTGAGACCCCCAGGTGGGTTTTCTTCCCCCCCGCCGTTTTCTGAGCAGTTTGGGAAGTGAGAGGAAGAGAAAGGTAGATACTAAGTTTCCTTGAGGAGACAGGAAGTGTTCAGCTGAGATGGCAGATCAGGGTGAGGGCTTGTCATTCCCAAGGCAAGTGGGGGCCTAGATGCTGAGAGTTTTCCAGCTTTGGGCTCAGAGATGTCCAACAAGGATTTAATGCTTCAGGCGTTTTGGAAGCCAGTCACCAGAGAGGAGAGAGAAAGTGGAAATGAGGGGCTGGAATCAGACTGTCTGGGCTTGTGTTGCCTGCATTTTGGTCCACGTGGCTCTGTTTAATACCTGTGTTACCTTGGGCAAGTCTCTTAACCTCTAACTACTTGAACCTTTAGCCTTACCTACCTCTTTGGATTGCTTTGAGGGTGAATGAAGTAGCTGTGTTTCAACATTTAGACAGTGCCTGGCGTATAGTAAGCATTCAGTGGAAGATTTCTCATCATTATCAAAGAAAATTGGAATGAAAGTTACTGGAGACAAGATGAGTAGGACAGGCAGAAAAGAGAGAGATACTGATGGGTAGAAGCACAGATGGGTGAGACTAGTGGGCAACACCTCAATTTCTTGACACCGAAAGTTTAGAAATTTACTTTGCCTCTTTGTGAGCAAATACTGTGTGCTCATTGACTCCAAAGACAATTTTTTTTTAGCGTAAAATCAACACCCAGCACCCACAGGGAAGAAATAATTCCACAGAGCTAAGTATTCCACAAAGTTGCAGCGTGGCCTTTTTAGCTTCAAAACCTTTTAAATGTTAAATATTACTTTTAAATAATTGGGGTGGGAATGTCCCCCCAGTGGGTCACATGGCTCCCTTCCTCTTTAAACAGTCTTCTCTGGGCTGTGATTTTTCCCCCCCGCCAGGCAACTCAGGTCAAGCCCTCTGTGTAAGAGGGTTAGGCCTCTGGCCCCAAGCTGCCTGGAGAACTAGGCAGCCTGCCTTGAATAGCTCACAGACTGGCCTCTGTGTTATGTTCCTGGGACTGCTCTTGAACAGCTTCTTTTCCTCTTAGGGATAATTGTTACTTCCTCCTGCTGTGCGACTCCCCTTTTAGCAGCCTTTTCCTCTTACTACTCACTGTTTCTTCTGTGGGCTGGAAAATTGGGATGAAGCTTGTTAACATTGGTGGTTCAAGTCTGGGAAGCTTAGTGTTGGACTTTGTTCTGCCTGCTCAGGCCGCTTTGCTCTGGTCTTTCCTCTGGTTCTGGATGGGTAAGCTTGCTGGATAGCAAGGTCCCTGCAGGCCAGATGTACTTAGAAAAGGAGAGTTTCTTATGAAATTCTCTTCCTGAGGCACATTTTTCCTCACAAGTTTTTGTTCCTTATGGTTTCCCTGTCGTTAGTAAGTGTTTGGACCCTAGCATTTGCCAGTCCTCCCTCTGGCAGTCGTCCCTGAGGCTTGGGGAGGCTGGGCTGGTGGCGTGGCTCAGCTGTGGGGAGGAAGAGGTAATGTGGAGGAAAGGCAGGCTGGCTGGTATCTGGTACATCTTCGGGGAGACTTGTCAGGGCCCGGAGTATGTCTCTGGCTGAATCACTCCTGTGCCCCTCTGTGACTCAGTTTCCCCAGGTGTGACCAGGGCTGCCAGCTGACAGTTTGAGCTGCTCTGAGATCCTCACCAACTGCGATTAAGAAATAAAGAGGCTTGTGGCTTCAGTCATCCTTGTAGCTCCCTTCCAGGTCACTCTGTGTGTAAACACCTCTGGCCCCTCCCCTTTCTGGGTCAGAGCACCCAAGGCAGGTCTGAGGAGGTTGGGCCAGAACTGGTTGGCGGGCAAGTGGGCACATTGTCAGAGTAGGCTACCAGCCTCCTCTCCCTTCTTTCTCCTTTGCAGCTGCCTTGAGGTGCAGTGTTGGGGATCCAGAGCCATGTCGGACCTGCTACTACTGGGCCTGATTGGGGGCCTGACTCTCTTACTGCTGCTGACGCTGCTGGCCTTTGCCGGGTACTCAGGGCTACTGGCTGGGGTGGAAGTGAGTGCTGGGTCACCCCCCATCCGCAACGTCACTGTGGCCTACAAGTTCCACATGGGGCTCTATGGTGAGACTGGGCGGCTTTTCACTGAGAGCTGCAGCATCTCTCCCAAGCTCCGCTCCATCGCTGTCTACTATGACAACCCCCACATGGTAAGGAGTCTCCATGGGGTTCTGCCCCATGGATGGGCCTGGTGGGCCAGGGCTTCTTTGGGGAGGGTAGTTTTGGTTGCTGAGGAAAGGGTGGGAGAATCTTCAAGCTGGCCCTGCAGACCCCTCCTCTATGAGCTTGAAGCACCTTCCAGATTTAGCCTGGACTTCTGCTCCCGGCATCCATTTGTGGGCTTTCTATTTGCCCAGGTCTGGTTCCCCTTGCCCATGGCTACTTGTGGATTTCCAAATGCAGTGGACTATACCACCAT
Source organism: Homo sapiens (assembly GCF_000001405.40). Taxonomy (NCBI): domain Eukaryota; kingdom Metazoa; phylum Chordata; class Mammalia; order Primates; family Hominidae; genus Homo; species Homo sapiens. The sequence continues at coordinate 51,674,832 of NC_000003.12, forward strand.
GAATCCCTGGCTTCTGCCAGGACTTTGGTCCCCTGCCTCCTCTTCTTGTCATCCCTCCTTCCATCTCCATTTGGGGCCAGTGCTCTAAGGCCAGGCCATTCAGATTCTGCCCACTCTTTGGGGTTACATCTTGCTGTTTCTGTGCTTTCCATCCCTCAGCTCTTCTGCCATAGTTGTAGGCCCTTGAGGGCTGAGAGGGCAGTCCCTGGGGATGGGGCTTGGAATCTTACCTCTTCAGCCATTCTGATGCCCCTCAACCTGGTGATATGGCATTTCCTTAGACCTCAAGCTGGTGCTGGGAGATGGCCAAGGGGGCTAGTGGAGCCAGATGAGTTACTTAGAATGTTCAGAATGCTGAAGTCAAAAACTAATCCAGCATCACTAGCACCCTGTGAGCGTCTGGCTGTTCTTACAACCTATGGTGAGTCAGAGCTTGCTAATGTAACCTACTGCTATGCTATGGGGTGGTGCTGCCCACAGCTGGATGGGCTGGCAGCTCTGTCAAGGGTTCTTCAGCCTCTACTACTAAGCCATGCCAAACCAAGCATTTGGAATCCCCAGCTCTGATTTCCTTGCCTGGAGAGCTCAAGTGCACAAGTCCTGCAGTCTACCCAATGTGTGCTGACCGGCTTACTGGGGCACTAGTTGAAACAGGATGTACTGGTTCCCTCTCTGTGCCAGGTTCTACTCTACACCTACACTCTGGAGATGAATCAGACCTGGCTCTGCCCTCAGGAAGCTCTGTGTGGCTGACATGTCAGCCCCACATAAGTGATTCTCCAACAAGACACTGTGCTTGATGTCCACAGAACTTTGAGCTGTAGGTTCAGGGAGGCTGCCATGAGTCTGCTGGGGAGGCTCAGAGAAGGGGTAGATTTCAGCTGGGCCTTCTCATGTAAGTAGAATTTTGCTTTGTTGGGAAGGGGTACTTGGCTAAGAAAACTGTGACAGCAAGAGCCTGAAGACATGGGATGACCAGAGAATTGTGGTTAGTAGACATGTCTTGGGTGGAGAAAGGTGGAAGGGTTTGCCCAGCCAGGTGGTGGGGAAGTACAGCAGGTTGAGAAGAAGGATGTGGCACAATTTGCCACCTTTGTTTTAGGAAGTTAGCTGAAGGGCAGGTGGAGGAGGGAAGGAGATGAGGCAGGAGGCCGTAGAAGAGATTGGGCTGGGTCCAGGTGAGAGGCGACATGGGTTGGTTGAGGTTTTGCAGTCACATGGCCAGGAGATGGCACTAACTGAAGTTGGGAGCACTGGAGCCTGAGTGGGATGGGACAGACAGTGGGCTATGGGGAGCTCCTAGAGCAGATGTGTGACCCTCACCCCTTCAAGGGCTCCGTTGTGTAAGGCCCTGCCCCCCCTTCCACACCTGGCCCAGTCAGAGCCTTCTGCAAGAAGAGTCCTTGCAGCTGGCTGTCTTCTCATTGGCGTGTCTGCCTGTTCTGGAATCAACAGGTTGCCTCTTGGGTTGGAGGTGCTAATTCCTGGATGGGAAAGGGCTAAGGCAGCAGGGTACCCTGGGGTCAGTGCTGGAGGCTGGTCTAGGGAAGAGTGAGATGGAAGAAGCCTGGCATGGGATATTCTGGCCTGGCCACTGCCTCCTGCAGCTTTCCCAGAGATGTGGTGGACCCCATGGGGTGGGCCCTGGGTCTCCAGGGTTGGTTGGTCATAGTCTGACTAGGGTGCTTGTCTGGGGGACTGTGGCCTGAGAGCACAGCCTTGAGGCTAGCAGTCCCGAGTTCTGATTCTGTCCCATCACTGTCCTGCTGAGTGATCTTAGGCATATCCCATAATGTTTCTGAGCCTCTATTTCCTTGTCTGCAGAGTAATGATAAAATACCTGCTTCATAGTAGACTGAGAAGAGTTAAGTGATATAGGTGAGGCATTTACCCCAGCACTTAGCCCTCAACAGATGCTTAACAACAACAAAGATGGGTGGGAAAACCACTTGTGCTAACATATGCTGAGAGGTCAGACTGAGCAAACCTAGACCCTTGGCCTGGCTGTGGTCATTTGGGTGGCACAGAGGATGATGAACAAGTCAAGGTGGCCCTTCTGACCCTGCCCATCCCAGTCCTGGGTCAGTCCAGAAGACACCTGTGTCCCCATTTAGAGCTAGGTCACACTTGGCACCTGGGATGGCTCAGGGACACTTGGGTCCCCATTTACTCTTGGAGCTGGTCAGTGCATTCTCTGCCTGACAGAGATTGTAACAGGTTCAGGGAACCATGGACCCCCAGGCTTCAGGTGCTCGTGGCTATCACAGACTGGTCCGGAAGGACCTGAGGCCTCCTGGTCCACACTCCATATTATGGAGGGAGAAACAGATTCAGATAGTAGGAGAAAGGCACTGATCTCATATGTTTTTGTTTTCATTTAACAAATATCTGAGCACCTGCTCTGTACCAGGCTCTGTGTTGGGCACTAGGGTACCATGGGGACCAGGACCTGCCAGTGTGTGGGTGTTAGGAGCCTAGAGGAAAGGCCCCATCCTGGTCCTGGAGTGGGCTGAGAACCAAAGGTTTTTGTCCCCTAGGCTGCCTCCACCAGCAGTGTGCAGCGTGGCATGCTCTGGTTCTCAGAGAAAGAGAATAGAGGCTGACCTGTTCAGTGTCCCACCCCCACTGTGTCCTTCCCTAGCCCAGAGTGACAGGAGCCAGAACCTGCTTCTCTGTGAGTGTGGGGAGGCAGTGAGGCTGTGTCAGGCTCTGTGAGTGGGGTGGTGAGTAACCAGGTGAGAGGTGCCACCTGGCTTTAGATGCTGCCCACCCCATGAGGTGTGACGGACAGCTCCCTAGCCATGCCTCGTCCTGTCCTCAGCTGGGCAGGGAGTAGGCTGGTCCCACCTAGGCTGGGTGTGGACCCAGGAAGTAGCACAAGAAAGGGTACCACTAAGATTGGACAGTGGCAGTTGGTGTGGACCTGTTCATAGTAGCTGCTGCTGGAGCTGTTAGCCTTGTGCCCTGGAGTCCTGTATGGGAAGAGGCTGCAGGTCTGGGTGAGTGGTTCTTGTGAGGCAGGAGGAAGGATTCCATTCTCCATCCCTGAAACCCTTGGCATGGTTGGGAATGGGAAGGTGGGGAAGAAGTCTTTTGGGAAGTGGACAGACCCTGGCAGGGGCTCATGGGTGTACTCACCCACCTCAGAGCCCAGCATTCATGGAGTGTGGGCCATTCCTCTTCAAGGTATGCAAGGGATGGGGTATGAGTTCAGAGATAAGGATCACATGTAGGCGGATGTCAGTCACAGATCTCCCTTACACACACTGGTCCATACTGCCCTTGCATGACTGGGGAAGGGTCCTGACTAGAAAAACTGCTCTGCCTTTAGCCCTGCTTCTGCGGTGGGTGCTGGGGGCTTGGAAAGTGACTTCAGGCTCCCTTTTGGGGCCTGGTCCCTCTGGGAGCCTTCAGTGTTGGAGGGGAAGGAAGGAGCTGAGAGGACCCTGAGTGCCTCGCTTGATCCTGGCCAGCTCTGGCCTGTGGACAGGCCCTAGTGGCTGGGCTGCTATCACTGTGCCTGTGGGCCCATCCTGTCTGCCAGGCTGGCTCTCTACCTCCTGCCCCACCCTGTGCCACCATCACCTCTGCTGCTATGTTTGGGGCTTAAGCAACCTGCCTGCTTGCTTATATGGGGAGCCTGGCTGGGGCAAGATGGGTGTGGCAGCTAGTTCAATTTATGTGGCCCAAGTGGGCCTATATTTGCTGCTTACATCTACTACCTAGGAGGTGGTGTTTGCTCCAGGCATGGAGTGGGTTGGGGAACTGGTGGTACTTGCTTCTGCCTTTAGTAAACAAGACTGCCATTGAAGCCCCCTTTCCCTTAGTCCAATGAGAACCAAGGCCCAGGGCCACTAGGTCTGCAGGGGCCTGTGGTCATTTGGCTGGCATGACCACAGCCTCACAGAGGCTGGTGAGAGTTCTGATGTAGGCCTGTGTCACACTCCCTCCTCCCTCAGTGTGTGTGGAGAGAAGGCTCCCTGCCCTCCCTGGAGGCACTTAGTTTGGGTGGAGCCTGGGAAGGGGTGAGGGAGTAGGATTTCCCAGGACTGACCTCCTCAACAAAGGCAATGGGAATGTGGGCTGGGATGTTTCCTGAGGGCTCAGGCCGCCCCCTATCCTGGTTACTCCATGGTTATTTTCTGCCAGGTGGAGTCCAGGCATTTGCTGTGCAGCAGGTTAACTATGTGGGACAGGTCTGGAAGCACGAGCTCCTCTCTGCCCACTAGAACTGTCCTTGAGGTGAGGTGAGACGAGGTGTGAGAGGAAGGGGCTTCGGATTTGCCCTTCTGGGTTTGAATCAAGGCTCCACTGCTAACCAATGTGTGACTTTAGGTGAGTCACTTGGCCTGTCTGAGTATGTCTCCTCATCTGTCACATGAGGATAAAAGAATCCCTACCTCAGGGTTTTTGTTTTGTGGGGGCTAATTGATAATGATATGGCCCAATACCCAGTTCTTTAAATAGGTGGGTGTCACACTTGACATCCAGTCCTGCCTGAGGACCTCATGCCACTGGGACTTTGTACTTTTAGGGACCCTGCCTGCCTCTCTGGTTTAGTCCCAGCCTCCTGCAGGTTGTCTGGGCCATGTGAGGCGGCACAGTGCAGGGAAAAGCCATTGTGCAGCCCGCTTTCACTAGGGCCAATTTCCGGGACTCCTGGATGCCCCTGGGTTGTGTGGCGCAGCTCTGAAGCTGGTCTGCTTGAGTTTGAATCCTGACTTCAGCACTCCCTTGCTGTGTGACCTTGGCTGAATGGCTTGGTTGTCTGGGCCTTGGGAACAGGGTTGAAAACAGTACCAACCACAGAAGGCTGTTTGGATTTAATGAGCTTATGCTTGGAAGGCAGAGTCTGGGGAAAGTGGTGAGTGCCTGGTCAGATATCAGCTGTTTTTAGGATTCTGTTTGAAGGTGTAGGGTTATAGAGGAAGGTTCCTGAAAGGTTTCTAAGTAAACTCACCTTTGAGGGCTGGTATCTTGTTGACTCCTTTCTTTCCTCCCGAGCCTGAAGAATGAGGCTTGTCCTCTGGCCTAGCTGTCTGCATCATCTCGTGTCCTGACTGGTGCCTGTCTCCGTGTGCCTTTGGGCATAAGCTTCCCAGGGAAGTTGGGGGTTGGCGTGTTGACCTGTAGCACCTAGGAGGGCAAACGAGGTCCCGTATCAACCACCTAGTCATGGGCCAGTGCAGCTCGTCTATTCCCTTGGGAGTACAAGTGCAAATGAAGGGCCCTGCCTCTACTTTCCCCCTTAACTTGGGTAGCTCTGGGTCAGTGGGCTGGCATGGGAAGAGTAAGGGCAGCCCTCTGTGCCTGGGTTTGAGAGATGGTGCTGCTGTCCCTGTCAGGTTGTGTAGGTTGTGGGCCTGGGGTTGGCAGTTTGTATTAACCCTGAACCCAATGACTACATTTGGTCTGGGCCGCTGACACCATTTCTCATTCCTGCATCCTGGAAGATTATCAGTCTTGTCCAGTTCCCAGACTCAGCGAGGTCTTGGCTTGGCAGGGGCCCCGAGATGGCTGTCTTCGCTATAGCCTCACACAATAGGGTCGGCAGGGCACTGTGACACCACTCAGGAAGGGGCAGTGGGGCCAGCCTTGGGACTAGCTCGTACCTGGAAGCCTCAGGTTCTAAGCAGACTGCCCTCTCCTCCCAGTAATGGGACTCAGGAGGCTTTTCAGCCCAAAGGAGATGCTCTGGGGCCTGGCATGCCTCTGTTGTTTTCCTGGTACTCTTGCTTTGAGGACACATCCTGGATGGGCTTGTCTTTACCCCGAGTGGTGGTGGGTCTGGCCACTGCCCTGTTTCCCAGATGTGGTTCCTTGTAGGTACTAGTTCTGGTCCAATTCTTGTTCTGGGCAGAGGTACCCAGAGAAATAGCTGATCTGGGGAGGAAGAGGAGCAGGCAGGTAGGGCTGGGAGGCCCAGGCCTATGTCCTAGGGTTCGGCCCAAATACAGATACTCATTGAGCCAAGGTGGATGGGGTCTCTTGCCCATCAGGACATCCCAACCTTCTGGGCACTTGACAGCCTTAGTAGGCCTTTTCCCTGGAGGCGGGTCTGGGCTTTACTGGGAGGCCAGGAAAGCTTTCCTCTGCCACTGGATCAGCCTTGCCACTCCCTAGGTTATTTTAGGGCCTGTCCCATTTCCTCCTTGCTGGTGCCTTGTTCAGCTGCTTCCCAGCTTCAACTTTGCATGGGGCCACTTAGTGGGTGGTAGGCTTGCTGAGAGACCTTCTAGGCTCCTCCTTAGGCCAGGGCAGGGGAGGAGGTAGGAAGTGTTCTTACTTGTGGAATTAGGGAGTTGCTTAGCCAGGAAAGGAGCTGCTGTGCCCCACACACCTCCTGGATCCTGGGAGCCCTGTCTTCTTAGCTCCCTTCTTCCACTTTGACAGGAGCTCTGCCTTTTCTCCAGGTGGAGGGAGAGGAAGTTTGTTATGGTGCAGGGCTTGCTTGTGTGTGCATGCATGTACTGTCACTGAGCATGCCTCAAGAACTTTCTGTGTGCGCAGGATCCTGGACCTTTTTGCCTAGAGGCCTGGAGTGATGGAGAGAGATGGGGAGGCCATCAGTTACAGTGCAGCACAACACCTGCTCCCTGGTGGGTACTTGGGATCAGAGAGGAGGGGCTGCTTGGTGGAGAGCAACAGAAGGCTTTGAAGGGGAAAGTTGAGCTGAGTCTTGCAGGATGGGCAGGAGTTTCCCAGTCAGAAGGGACTCTGGAATAGGGTGAAGAAGGACATTTCAGGCAGAGGAAGTAGCTTACGCAAAGGCAGGAAGCATGGGAGGATGTGGCATGTTTGGGGAGCTGCAAATAGTTTCATGTGGGTGTGTGTGGGGGTGTGGCGGGTGAGGAGGCTGGCAAGGCGGGCTGGGCCAGAGCCTGGATCTGTCCCTCCCTCTGCCATGCAGACACTCAGTTGGTGCCTGCCCACCTGGGCTCTGGCCCCTGCTGGGGCCTGAGGCTGCAGAAAGGGAGTGCAAGGTGAGTGTGTGGGCAAATTCATGCAGTATTATGTGGGCCACTCCAAAAGAGCCTTGCCTATTGGCTTGTGAATTTAGTTTCATCCTAGAGGTAAATTGGGAGCCATTGAGAGGTTCTGAGCAAGATGACCACATGTGTTCTGGTGTCTTTTGGCTACTGAAGAGGATGTTGAGCTGGGAGTCCCATAAGGCCTGCTGAAGCGTTCCCAGGAAAGACCCTGGAACTCAAACCCAGGCAAGCCAGCTGTAGAAAGGAAGAGAATAAGTGACCTTTCATCCGTTTCTCCATATGACTTATGTAGATGTTTCTTTTGCACAGCACAGGTTGGTAGGGTCAGGGACATGAAGATAGGCTTTGTGGCAGGCAGTGTCTCTTGGCTTGTCAGCAGGAGGCCTGCCAGATAACTTCCTGCCTATCTGGTCATTCTCAAGTCTTGGCGTGTGAGTAGGGCAGTTCCACCATCTAGAGACAAGAGATGGTATTGCAGTGATCTCCTGTGCCTCTGGGTGGGGTGGGAGGAGCTTCAGGCCAAAAGAAGTGACTGTGTGCAAGGTAGACTTATGGAGGGCAAGAAAGTTTACAGCAAAATACTGGGGGAGAAGAGAGTGCCACTGAGCCACGCTGAAAGGCTCTTCAAGAGGGTATTTGAACCGGAAGGACAGGCAGGGAGGAGCTGCATATTCAGAGGTTTGGGTGGTCGGGCATTCTAGGCCATGGACAGTTGTTTGGACTGTGTCATAGCTACTAATAACCACAATTATGGGGCATTTGCTGAATGCTGGACCCAGGCTAAGCTCTCGTGAAGTTTCTTGTTTAATATGGCAGTTCTGTAAGTAGATATTGAGGAACTGGGGCTCCCAGAACCCAAGGGACTTGTCTAGAATCACACGACTCAGATTCGCACCGTGGCCTGCCTCTCTCAAGCTGTGTTTCTGACCACTACACCCGGTTGCCTGCTACTAAAGCTCTGAGCCAGGTTTGGATGCCGTAGGCTTCAAGGGGGCTGCAAGGGGACCAGAGCTGCAGACAGTTGAGGGTGACCGTTAGGGTCTGCTTAGAAGTGAGAGCCTGGAATAGGTGCCCAAGTCCCAGGCAAACTGTGACTAAAAGGAAGGCCTGGGTTGGCCTGAGTAGAGGAGGCCATTCAGGGCTGAGAAACCCCCAGGGGATTTCAGAGAGGGCTTGGAAAGGGCTGTAATGGGAGGGAGAGGTGAGAACAGGTAATAATGACTTCACAGTGCTGGGAAGGAGGGCTGGGGAGAGGAGTAAGTGGAGGTAGAGGGAGAAGCCTGTTTAAACTTAGGGGTCATCCCTGTGAAGGTGAACTGCTGGCAAAAAAAATTTTTTTGCGGTGGGTAGGGAGAAAGGAGCCTTTAGAGTTGAGCAAAACCCAGGATTGAGGGTACAAGGTCTGTGCTGAATCTCTTGGATTCAAGATCATATGTCTCTGAGGGCCCAGTCTGAAGGCTGGTACAGACTTAGGCACCTGGAAAGCTGACGTGGGAAACAGGTAGCAGTAGGTGAGACAAAGTGAGGCCTCTTGATGCCAGGAGGAGAAATGAGTACTGGGCCTTGCAGCATTCATTCAGTCCTAGGAAGTGTTGGAGGCTCACATAGGAGCCTTACATGGCTGAGGTTTCTGGGAGCCAGAGGAGGGAAATTAGGTAGGGAGGCAAGCAGAGTGGGAAGTGCAGGCACTAGCAACCTACAGAGATTTGGAGGGGAACCAGTGGTCTTGGCTTTTAGCCAGGAAGGGACTTAGGAAGTGGGATAGGTCCCTGGATGGGCCATGGGTTGCAGAAGAAGTCTAGAGGCTCTGGTGATGGTAGCTGGCCCTGCCAGAGGGGTGGGGAGGATGATCTCTTCACAGAATTTCACCAGCAACCCAGATGTCAGTGATCCCAATCCTATGTCCTGACAGGTGCTTCCTGCAGCCCCTCCTCAGCCACTTGCCAGGTCCTGACCCTGCAAGCATGTGTGTAAACACACACACACGTGTTCTTGCTTTCCTAGGGCATGACCGTGGAGGGCTCTGAGCTCTTTATTACCACTCCTCAGTTTTGCTCCCTTGCCTGCCATAATTTCTCTGCCTGTAAAGCCTGCTCTTCTCCAGGAGATAGGAGGGAAATTAGCTAATAGGATTTTGCTGGACCCAGGCTGCAGGATCAGCCACTGTACAGTTCTGCTGGTGGCCCTGGGGCGTGGGGGCTGACAGAGGGTCTTATGGTGGGGTGGAAGGGCCCCCTCAGTGGAGCCATGTGGAGGGTGATGGTTCAGAGGTCCTCTCCGCCCTTCCCTCTCCTGGCCTCCAGAAGGGCAGAGACCAAGTCTAACCCCTCACTATGATCCCTGGGTTTCCACAGGGCATGGCATGTTTGTTGAAGGAATAGATGAGAGTCCTGTGGTACGATGCCACAGGCAGGGGCCATAGGTGGGTTCCAGTAAGAAAATAGCTAGCTGTGTCCTGGTATCTGGGGCTGCATGGCTTGTCAGAGCTGCTGGTTCTTTTAGGCCTGATCTGGCACAGTCCCAGGAGGAAGGAGGTCTGAGGGCCTCCTTCCTTTGGCCAACTCTCACACCCATGCTTTGCTTCCCCAGGTGCCCCCTGATAAGTGCCGATGTGCCGTGGGCAGCATCCTGAGTGAAGGTGAGGAATCGCCCTCCCCTGAGCTCATCGACCTCTACCAGAAATTTGGCTTCAAGGTGTTCTCCTTCCCGGCACCCAGCCATGTGGTGACAGCCACCTTCCCCTACACCACCATTCTGTCCATCTGGCTGGCTACCCGCCGTGTCCATCCTGCCTTGGACACCTACATCAAGGTGAGGCACAGGCCTGGGGTGTGTGTGTTGGGGACAGCCAGGCCCCTTGGGTGGAGCTGAGGAGGACTGCCTAGAATGGGAGGAAGAAGTGGTTTTGGGAGAGCAGCACCCTGGGGCCCTCATGGAACAGGTACCTGTGGAGCTAGGAAGATGGGCAGAGGTTGTTGGCATCTCTTTCAGATGCCCAAGATCTTTTGGAAGCCGGAGCATATCCCAAGAGCATGGAGAACTTGTTCATAAATCTGATCTGGTTAGTTTGGCTCTGGCTTTGACCAAAGACATCCATAGTGCTTATCCCACACTCCTGGCTCAGATGAATGGACAGGCCACTTTATTCTCATCCTGCTGGAGGCCTGCAAAGCAAGGACCTGAGGCTCCCAGTGTCTGGGCAGGCCCCAGGTAATCATGTATTGCCCGTGGCCCTGCCTGTGCATGGGCTTATACATCTGCTCCCAGAGGCCAGGGCTGGGACAGCAGTGGCAGGCTCTGTTTCCTTTACTTCCTGACTTGGTTACTGGCAATGCTGGCAGCCCAACCTTCCTGGAGGAAGGAGAGCCAGTCACCTGGTCATCTGACGGGTTTCTGTGTCTACAGAAATTTTTTTAAAACTTGCCCTGTTACACATCCCTCCTCCCCTAAACGTTTTGTAAACTTGGTTGCTAGGGAAATGACCCCAGTTTGGGCTTGGACGTGATTGTTCATTCATTTAACTTGTATTTATAGTCTGTGTGCCAGGTGCTATAATGGGCACAATGTGAATGAAACGTTGGTGCATGAAACAGCCATTCACAGTGAGGTGGTGAAGATAGGTAATAAATATCAGACAAAAATAGGACGTGTGCTAGAGAAGGAGAGGGTGAGAAAAGTCAGGGAACCAACTTGGACAGAATGGTCAGGGACAGCCTCTCAGAGGAGATAACCTCAAGGCAGAGTCCTAGAAGAGCCTTTAGAGAGGAGATAAGAACTTCTAGTCAGAGCTTTGGTCTAAATGCAGCAGGAAGTCACTGCAGTGTTCCAACCAGGAAAATAACACAGTTGGAGCCACGTCTGTACAAGATGAGCTGTCCCATCTCTGGGCAGGGTGGGACTGGACCACAGATCTGGGACCAGGTGGAGATGCTTAGGCCTGGGGCTAAGGAATTAGCCTAGGAGGCTGTCATGAATCCCATTGTGAGTGGTGGCAGCTTGGGCAGGCCCAGCGGCTATAGAGCTGTGGACAAGGATGGAGATTTACAATCACTTTTGGGATAGAACTGATAGACTTTGGGTGGATTCACTGTTGTGGAAGGAGAGGCAGTGAGGGAGTCACAGAGGGCTCTGCTCCCCTCTGGCCTGGGCAGGTGGGCAAGTATGTAGTGATGCTTTCACTGACATGTGGGGAACTGAGGGAGGCCCTGGTTTTGGGGGGAAGGTAGCTATTTGGGCTATGTCAGGGGAGCTGCCTGAGATACATCTAAGTTGGGGGGTGTGGAGTCAGCAATGGTATGTGTGGCCTGGAGTTGAGGAAAGGCTGGGCTGGTGGATATATTTGGGGACATCAGCCTGTTGGCAGTATTTGACCTGGGAGGCTGCCCTGTGCCTCCCTGCCTCTGTGGGACCAGGTAGGCAGTGGACAGCCTGTGGCAGCAAAGGCTGCGCAGAGGGCGTGGCCAGTGTGGCAGGGGTCAGGGAACAGGACGAGAGTCAGTGGGAGTGAGAGCCTGGTACACTTGGAGGATCCTTGCAACTTTGTTCACCAAAGCAGCTTGGGGAAAGGGACACAGCGTTGATGATGGAAATGGGAGTTCAGATGTCCCTGGAGTCTGGTGTTGGGGCTGAGGAATGAATAAATGAGGCCCTGGGTCACCAGCTGTGTCCTTGGCGGTCAAAGACAGGTTTGAAGAATCAGGAGTGAGAAGACCTGGAAAGGGGAGGGCTGTCACGGTGATAAGGCAAGGGCACAGGGAGAATAGAGGGGAGTTTCCTTTGTGAGCTGGAGGGTGGTGGCCAAAAGGGGTGTGGGGCAGGATGTGCTTGCCTGGCTGCGGTTGGACTGGAGGTGGGGGCGGGCTGGCTGGTGGTGTGGGCAGGAAGGAAGATACCAGTGCCCTAGGCCTGCTTAGTGTGCTGCCTCTGGGGAGTCCCGCCCCATTTCATTCAAGGAAGGCCTCTCCAGTCCTGTCGGTGCCATCCTCAACCTCATGGGCCCATCTGGAGGGGCACCCCTGGGAAAGAGACTTCTTGGGTTCCAGACCTCAGAACAGGACATGTGGCATGTGGTGTGGTGGTGAGCAACTCAGCCACCAAAGCCTTTTCCTGGCTTCAGGGGTTTATTTTTAGACACCTTTGTCCAAATTTCCCGGCCCCTGACAGCTTCACAAGTTGCCTGGTTTTGACGTCACCTCTTTGATGAAAGCCCTTCCTCCTTCCTCCCCGCTCCCATGGGAGCCTGTCAGCTGTGCTCCTGGAGTGGGGGTTGAGACAAGGAAGCCAGTGATATGGGGGAGAGCAAGGGGCTTCTCCCAGAGACAGGTGTGAGGCATGCTTGTGTGGGCTTGGCCATCAGCGGGGAGAGTAAGATAGAGGCCGGCTGCCCACAGAAGAGGCATGGCCGAAGGTCCTGGGCTTGTTTTGGCAGCAGGGTGTGGGGGTTGCCTCTGCCCCTGTGTTTAGCCTGACCTTGCGTCTTGGGGAACAAAGCCAGGGGAGAGATGAGGAAGGGGCTAGCTCTGTTTGCTGGTCACAGCCTGCAGTGGACAGGGGTGGCCCTGTGCCTCTCTCAGCCCAGGAGACAGCAAGGAGAGAGTATAAGGCTCCCTTCCATCCCTGCCTTCATCTCCCCTGCCCTGAGGTCAGAGAAAGGAGATTACTAATGAGACTAGTTGCGTCTCACTCTTCTAGCACCGACAGCTTTTAACTGTGTGTGCGTGCGCGTGTGTACACCCTTCTTTTTCTCTCTGGATCTGGGACTGCTGTGAAGGCTCTTCAAATGGAATGACAGCAGCCGTCAGCTTTCTGCTTTGGCAGGGGTGAGAGAGGCCAGGAGCCCTGCTGCCAGGAGTTGCGGGGGGAGGACTTGGCAGGCTCACCAGCCTCTCCAGAGGCTAGGTGAGGGGCAGGGGTGAATGGATCTTAGCTTCGGGTTTGGGAGGTGGAGAGCAGCTGCTGTCCCGGGAGTTGCAGATGTGCCTGAGCCTGGAACAGGATTGGTCTCATGGGACAGAGGGACCTGAAGTTCACGGCGAGAGGCCCAAGGAGAAGCACTTGTCAGGACTCTCGGGATTCTGGAAGGGATGGCTGATCTCAGCTTTCCTGGTTTGCATGGCAGCCTCTGGCTCTCTGGCTAGCCTTCCCCAGCTTGGCAGCCTGGCAAACTGCTATAGATGCTGGAACTCTGCCTTTCTCCATATAAACTGCTAAGGGCCCCCAGGCTGAACACTCATTCCCCTGGAATCCATGCGTACTGTGTGACCATCACTCCATATGGAAGATGCCTCAGCTTTGTCAGGCTGCTCCGCTGGAGTCCAAGGAGGTGGCCTCTAGTACAGGAGGAGACCACTCCCCAAGTCCCAGGAAAGGGGTATCTTCTGGAAGCTGCAGGATGGAACAGAGCTTGCTTGAAATTGCAAACCTGCAGAGGGGAGATGGGGCCCAGATGTGAGCCCAGAGCAATGGGCAGAGGCCCCCAAATTCACCAGTCTTAATGAGTGTCCAGGGAAGGCTTCGGACACATGGAACAGACCAGGACTGAGGGATGGGCCTGGGAATTCGATGTGTGGGATTGTGTGTGTAAGGTCTCTAGTGCAGTTTGCTCATATCTGTCTGTAGCACTTGGTGAGGAAGGCCATTGAGAGTGTTTGACACACAGCCAAGCCCCCATGCCTGATTTCTCTCCCAGACCCGTCCAGAATCTTTTTCAAAAGTGCCCTTCCCCATGGTCTCTGATTTCAGGGAGTTTTTAGGGGGAGGGTCTTTGTAAAATGGTTTGAGCCTCCTCTCCCAAGTTTAGGGTGTTACAGGGCATTGTTCATGTAGTGGCTGATTGGCTGGGGAGTGCAGGTGGCCCTGGAGGTCAGACTAATGTCTGACTATCCACCATCAAATTGGAGAAAAGCGTGTAAGTAAGGAGGGGTCACCGAATATAGTGAGCCTGTGAGGGGAACCTTGGTGGCCGAATTCTGGGACAGCTGGGTTGACTGGGACTGTCTTACCAGGGGCTTAAAGGGGATAAGGCCAGGTGTGGTGGCTCATGCCTGTAATCCCAACACTTTGGGAGCCTGAGGTGGGAGGATCACTTGAGCCCAGGAGTTCCAGACCAGCCTGGGCAACATAAGTGAGATCCTGCCTCTAAAAAAAACAGAAAAAAAATTAGCCAGGCATTTGTAGTCCCAGCTACTCAGGAGGCTGAGGTGGGAGGATCGCTTGAGCCTGGGAGGTCAAGGCTGCAGTGAGCCATGATTGTGCCACTGCAGTCTATCCTGGGTGACAGAGTGAGACTCTGTCTCAAAAATAAATAAATAGATAAATGAAGGGGGCATGGTGGCTCACACCTGTAATCCCAGCACTTTGGGAGGCTGAGGCAGGTAGATTACTCCAGCTCAGGAGTTTGAGACCAGCCTGGACAACATGGTGAAACCTCGTCTCTACAGAAAAAAAATACAAAAAAATTAGCTGGGCGTGGTGGCGTGCACCTGTGGTCTCAGCTACTCGGGAGGCTGAGACAGGAGAATTGCTTGAGCTCAGGAGACAGAGGTTGCAGTGAGCCAAGATCACGCCATTGCACATTAGCTTGGGTAACAGGAGTGAAACCCATCTCAAAAAAATAAAAGTAAAAACATTAAAAAAAAAAAAAAAGGGAAGGAAGGAAGTAAAGTAAGAAAGTAAGGCAAGGACCCCAGACCATAGTTCTCAGACTGCCCTGGCTGTGCTGAGGTGCCCTGTGGCTATCAGCCTGTGGTGGGAGCTGTACTCAGACCCTTTCCTGCTTCACCTGGAGTAGTTCTGCCTGTGAGTTTTACAACCCAGGTGTCTTGAGCTTTTGTTTGGAAGGGAGCTTCTAAGGCTCAGCTGGTTTGAAAACCTCTGTCCTAAGAGAGGGGCAAAACTGGGCAGATGCCACCTCCAGTCCCGCCCACTACATGTCTGTTCTCGATCCTGAGGATGCTGTAACTGCAGTATGAGTGGAGCTGGGAGGCACCAGGGCCCAGCCCTTGTGCAGGTAGGGCAGGAGCTCCAAAGAGAGGCACTTGTCTTGAGGGGAGTGTGACTGATTGGAAGCTGGACCTGGAGGGACCCTGGGGAGCTGCAGGTTGGAGTTCTCCTGGGGTGGTGGTGACTGAACTCCTGAGTGGTGGGTGATAGCATTATGGGGCAGCCAGCTTGGAACTAAGGCCTGTGGGCCCCAGCAGATTGCCTGTGGAAATGGGTCAGCCTGTTGAGCAGTGGCTGTGAGGAAGCTCGAAACAGCCTGGCCACAGCCTGTGTTCTGTCCAGTGGGCACAGAACCGCTTGTGTTTGCTTCCCTTTAGTCTGCCTCAGTGACCCTGAGGGAGTCAGTCGGTGGGTCTGAGTCCACACTGGGGCCAAAACACCAGTGCAGAGCAACAAGGCCTCGGCCGGGGAAATACAGGTGAGGACGCCACGTGTGGTGGCTCACGCCTGTAATCCCCACACTTTAGGAGGCTGAGGTGGGTGGATCACCTAAAGTCAGGAGTTTGAGACCAGCCTGGCCAACACAGTGAAACCCCATCTTTACTAAAAGTACAAAAATCAGCTGGGCTTGGTGGCACACACCTCTAATCTCAGCTACTCAGGAGGCTGAGGCACGAGAATTGCTTGAACTCGGGAGGCAGAGGTTGCAGTGAGCTGAGATCACGACACTGCCCAGTGAGCTGAGATCACGACACTGATCTCCAGCCTGGGTGACAGAGCAAGACTCCGTCTCAAAAAAAAAAAAAAAAAAAGCAGGTGAGGGAGCCCCAGCAGGAATGTGAAATCTGTGGTCATTTCCCTCTTCCTGCCTGTCACCTTTGCCAAGCTAACATGGGAAGCTTCCAAACTTTATTTTTAACAAGGGAGGCCCTCTTGGCATCTCAGCTCAGTCACTTATTCAGCAGTTATTTACTGAGGTCTCTTGTGTGTGTCATTGTTCTGCGCATGGAGGAACCAGCTAGGAGGCGTCATAGAGTCCTAATCAAAGCCAGCATCCCCATTGTTTTACAGATGGGGAGGCTGAGGCCTAGGGAAGGAAGGTGCCCCAAGGTCAAGGGATGGAGCGGTAGCTGAGTCCAGACTGGGTCCCTTAGGCCGAGGATCGTTCCGATGGCTATATGCCTTTTGCCACTCCATCCTGTACATAAGTGGGGCTGGAACCAAGAGGCTGAGAACTTGTCATCAATTTGGGATATGCTCGGGATGGTGCCCCAGGGTGGGCTTTCTTTCCTTCTTTCTCCAACCCTGGTAGTCACAGTTGGAGGCTGAGGCTTCAGGTCTAGGAGACTGCTGGGGGAGCCGAGGCAAAGCACAGGAAGAGGCTGTGTACCCGCTTGCCCAGCAGGCACTCATTAAGGCAGGCCTTGGGAACTGCTCTGGGCACAGGAAGCAGCTGCTGCAGGCACCTTATCGGGCCTCTTGTCCACACCCTCAGTGAGGCAGAGGCGGTTCTATTCCCAGGCTTCCCTCCCTGGATCTCAAGGGCTGGCTTACCTGCTGGTACTGCCACCTGC
Source organism: Homo sapiens (assembly GCF_000001405.40). NCBI lineage: Eukaryota > Metazoa > Chordata > Mammalia > Primates > Hominidae > Homo > Homo sapiens. The sequence continues at coordinate 51,691,339 of NC_000003.12, forward strand.
TAAGTGGCCTGCTCTGGCACAGGGAGGAGGGCACTTTTGGCAGCATCAGGACCTGGAGCTGAGTGACAATCCTCCAGCACTCTTTCCTCTTCCACCTCCTCCAGCCACAGAGCCTAGCCATGCCTGGGTGTGGGGAGGGGAGGGATAGATTCGCTGGGAAAGGCAAAACAACCCTTGTGCGGTGGTGGCATTTGGGCTGCACCTATAAGGTAGGCAGTGTTCCCCAGGTGGGAAGGCAGGTCAGGCAGAGATACTGGCTTGGTGGCAGTCATGGCTTGTGTATCCAGTGAGGCTGGAGTACAGGAGAGGAGCAAGAGTTTGGGCCTAAGAGATATAGGCTGGGTCCTGCAGGCACTAGGGAGACACTGATGGCGTCTGAGCAGATGAGTGACAGTATCCAGGCTGGGCTTCAGATCAAGTCTCTTCAGTACCTAGGAGATGGGGAGGAAGAGCCAGAGGCCACAGTCAAATTCTGCACAAAGATAATGCAAGTTAGCTGAAAGTAGCAGTGACTTTTCATTCCCAGATGTCCCCAAGCCAAGAGGCGATCCTCCCACCATACCACGGCTTGGCTTCCCCGGCTCCCCTTAGGGAGCTACCCTTGGGTATTGAGGTGTTGGGAGCCAGGCCTCTCCCCTTTGTTGGCCTAGGCACTGGAACCTGCTCCTTAGCCTCTCTGGCTTTACCCCACCTCCCTCCCTTCCCCCAGGAATGAAAGCACAAAGCCAGCCTTTGCTAGGGCGGCGTGGGAGCCACCACTCTCAAAATACCAGCTCGGATATTGTAGCTTGGCAGCCCTGCAGGACCCTGGGGGCTGAAGCTTGTCTGGATGGTGCTGTGGGGTTGGGCTGTCACCAGTCCAGAGGGAGCCTTCTTCCCCAGGCAGATGGAATTTACTTATCAAAGAAGAATTCTGTTGCTCTTCTCCAGGAAGCTTGAGATTGGAATTAGGGAGGGGAAAGAGATTCCAAGGAGAGAATTTGCAGTGCACCCCCTCTCCCCCAAGCAGAACAACTTCTTCTTCAGCTGAGCCCTCAGATTAGGAGAGGCTAGCTGTCTAGTTATGCAGGTGGGAAGGAAAGGACTTCACTGAGGAGTGGAGCAGAGGTCAGAGGTACCAGTTGGAGATGAGAAATTCAGGGCCTTCTCCTTCTCTCCCTCTCTTCTGTCCCCTGTCTCCTCTCCATTCCCACTTGCCCACTTGTCCTTCCCCTCTGGCAATTCCTGACTCCTCTGGCTCTCAGGTGCTTGGCTTCCCAGCTCCATCTGTACGAGCAGCCTTCCTGCTGCTGGATAATCATCAGCAACCAGTTTGTCAGCTTGTGAGCAGGACAGGGCTCAAGGTCCTTGACTACACAGACAAGCTGCTAAGAATGCTGGATCTTGGAGAGGGGGTGGGCTGTGGAGCCTGCGATGGTAGAGCCATCATCTGGAAGGCTGTGGCTCTCCTCCCAGATTTGCAAGGGAGAGCAATGGGATCAGGGCTGACTCACCCAGTGCTCTAGCTGAGCTCTCCTTGGGGTACTCACTCCTGTACTCCCCAACCCTCTGGTCTGGCCACACAACGGCCCAGGCCCAAGAAGGCCAGAGCAGGGCTGAACCAGGGTTGTATCTTGGCCCTCTGGGCCTAGAGAAAGGTAAGGCTGGGTATGGATGCAGGATTAGGGGCCTCCCAGTCCATCTGGGCACTAAGGTGCTTAAGAGCCTGTGTCCCATGTGCCTGCTTAGAGGGAAACATTGTTTCCCCACCCCTCAATACCCCAGGCTGCCCTGTGCTTGACTGCTGCCTAGGCCCTCCTCCACAGGACACCGAGGAAGCCAGGGCCTGCGTCGTGCCAGGGAGATGAATAGAGGTGTAAATTGTGTGGTGAGCTGCCGGCTCTGAGGTGAAAATGAAAAGTCTTCAGGCAGTGGCGGCAGCAGGCGCAGCAGGCTGGGGTGCCAGGCACAGCACACCGTCTCCCGCCCCATTCTCTCTCACACCTTCCCACTCCTGCAGTCTTCCCCAGGTTCCCACCCAGGCCTGGACCTGCCTCCCTGGCTCCTCTGCCATTCCCTGCCTTTCAGCCGGTGGCTCCCAGGCTGGCCCTGGGCTCGACCTAACCCCAAGAGGGCCATTATATCTCGTTTCCATTATGTTTTTTTTTTTTTTTTTTTTTGAGACAGAGTCTCATTCTGTCACACAGGCTGGAGTGCGGTGGCACGATCGCGGCTCACTGCAACCTCTGCCTCCCGGATTCAAGCAATTCTTCTGCCTCAGCCTCCCAAGTAGCTGGGACTACAAGCATCCGACACCACGCCCAGCTAATTTTTGTATTTTTAGTAGAGATGGGGTTTCACCATGTCAGCCAGGCTGGTCTCGAACTCCTGACCCCAGGTGATCTGCCCACCTTGGCCTCCCAAAGTGCTGGGATGACAGGCGTGAGCCACCACTCCCGGCCTCCATTATGTTTTCTACTTGGCTGATCTGTTGCACAGAAAAATGGGCTGTGCTTGAGTTACCTTTGTGACTTAATGTTTGTGGTAGTCCCTCCATTGATTCTTTTTGGGTTTTCTGAGTATAGTTTTCTTACCGTCACATAATGGTGTTTTTATTCATCCTTTCCAGTTCCTCACTTCTTTTGAGATCATCTATTCTAATCCCTTTCTTTCCTTCCTTCCTTCCTTCCTTCCTTCCTTCCTTCCTTCCTTCCTTCCTTCCTTCCTTCCTCCCTTCCCTTCCCTTCCCTTCCCCTTCCTTCCGTCCGTCCTTCCTTCCTTCCTTCCTTCCTTCCTTCCTTCCTTCCTTCCTTCCTTCCTTCCTTCTTTCCTTCTTTCTTGTTTTGCTCTGTTGCCCGGGCTGGAGTGCAGTGGCGCGATCTCGGCTCACTGCACCTCCATCTCCCGCATTCAAGCAATTCTCCTGCCTCAGCCTCCCGGGTAGCTGGGATTACATGCACCTGTCACCACACCTGGTTAATTTTTGTATTTGTAGTAGAGACAGGGTTTCACTATGTTGGCCAGGCTGGTCTGAAACTTGTGACCTCAAGTAATCCACCCGCCTTGACCTCCCAAAGTGCTAGGATTGCAGGCATGAGCCACCGCGCCTGGCCAAAGAGGGAAAGAGGGAGGGAACGATAGGCCAAAAGCCTACAGCACCCGGTATTCCAGGCAGTCTCCCATCCAAGTACTAACTAGACCCGACCTTGCTTAGCTTCTGAGATCAGACAAGATCAGGTGCATTCAGGGTGGTATGACTGTAGACCCTTTATTTCATACTTGGGCAAATTGAGGGCCAGAGGGAAGCTACCGATTTGTGTAGCCAAGCCAATGCCCTAGGCTCCTGCCTGGGGTGCTCTCTGCCACTTCCTGCTTCCTCTTTTCCCTCCCTGGCCATCCTGTCTTACTCCCTGTCTCCTTTGCCTGCCATTTTCAGAGCTTTGGGCTCTGCTGGTGTGAGGGGAGAGTAGAGAGAGGGGAAGGTGCTCACCAGCCCTTCTGCAGGCTCTCCCTGCTGCTGTGGCAAGGCCCCAGAGCACCAACAGACAGGTCTGGCTTCTGGGCCAGAAGCTTTGGGGCAGCCTGGTGGGGGTGAGAGGAAAGTTTCCGGGCAGAATAATAACGTGCTACCTTCTAGCTGCAGCCTCTTGCTATACCTCCCCAAAGCATGCACGTGCCATGAAGACCAGCTGCCTGAGGGGCCTCCAGGGTTTGAGTCCCCACTTGCAGGGACTGCTGTGTGCAGGCAGGTGCATGTTGGTGTCTGTAATTAAAAATGAGCATGCATCACTTCACCCAGTGAGGAGACGCCACTACCTCGGGTGGGATGCAACAGCTGCTTGCTGGCTGTGCAGCTGCCTGGGTATCCAGCCTGGCACAGAAGGATAGATAGGACTGGGTAGCTCAGGGTGAACAGTAAGGCAAGGCCCAGGGCCCCTCAGCCAGACCTCATCCCTTGCTGGGCCTAGAGCTTATGTAGGAGATGTGACCCGTCCTTGGCCCACACATTGCCTCCTTCTTTTGGGCATTTGCAGCCACCTAGTTCTAAGCAAACCTCCAGCCTCTGGGTAGCCTGGGAGTGGGACCCATCATCAGCCTTCGTCCTGGGCCTGACCTCTTCTGTCTTCTATTTGCTCCCAATCCCTAGCTGAAGCCAGGGCACAGGGTGATGTCCTGAATACAAAGCACTAAATGAGGATAGTTCAGGTCCAGGTCCTCTCTCTTACCTCTTTTCTTCCTCTCCCATAATTCAGAAAGACCTGCTGGGGAGGCACTGTGGGTCCCGTGGGGGAAAGCTTGGCCTGGTGTATCAGTCTTGCCCTGTTGTGGGAGCCCTGAGCTGAATGGGGTAAATGCCTGCACCCTGCCCAGGAGATGAACTCAGGCTGAAGTGAGGTGGGAGTGTGTGGTGTGTCCCCAAGGTAGCTGACGCAGTGGCACTGTGGCAGCCTGTGTGAGGTGGGTGAGCTGCTCCTTCCCTTTTTTGCCAACACTCCTGAGTGAGTAAGCAGGTGTTGGTGCAGGGTGGGGTGGTGGTGGGGAAGTGCTGGTGTCTGGGGTCTCTTAGAAATTCCTGCATCATGGGTGGTGTCCCAAGTCCCCATCTTGTTTCTGCATGTGGAAGACCCAGGTGGGAGGGAAGGCCCGGAGGTGTGTCTGAGGGACTGGAACTCTGAATCCAGTTTCTGGCAGACCCTGGGGGCACCTTGGCATGGTTCACTGACTTTTGCCTGTTAGGTGGAGAGGAATGTGAACATCTGCAACTCTCCCACCTTGGAAAGAGGCTTTATAGTCTCCTTGGGTCTGTGTGTGGGAGTGAGCTGCTCTGGGCTGTGGGTTTGTTAGATGGCCAGTGGTGTCAGTGGCAGAGCACGTTCTCATGTCCTGGCAATGCTTCCACACACTGCTGGCTGTCTGGGCTGTGGAAGGGGATGTGCCAGGGCTAGGAGGACCCCAGGCCCACCCAGGCTCTTCACCAGTGGGACCAGCCCAGTGTGACCTTGAGCTAGTGTCCTTGGCCACTGGCAGTCTGCTCTCCAAGGGCTCCCTGGGGCTAACTGAGGGAGAGGCAGCTGGCCTCGCCTTCCTCCAATGATTTTCCAATATTTACTGGCTCATTGACATATTGCCCGGGCCATGGCTCCTACTGTGCAGCAAGGACCTGAGAGCCAGCCCATGGTCACCCTGTCTTCCCTCCGAGGTTGCACCTGGCTGGGAGGGAAAGGGCTTGTCCTCTCTGCCTGATCACTCAGGGACAGAGCATATAGCTTGTCCTGCCCCTCACCTTCCATCCCCAGCCCCCACTAGAGTCATTCTTGCTCAGTGGGCAGAGCATGCAAGGGAGAGCAGTCTCCCAGGAAGGGCCAGGGGGCAACTACAAGCCCCTTCTCTGCCTGTGGGCCTGGCTTAGAAGTTTGCTCCTTTGCCTTCTTCCTGTCCCTTCTCTGCCCAAGTCTGAATTTTGGTAGGACCTGGTGCATGTGCTATAATGATTTGGGGCTGAACAGTCAATGGCATTTTAATTAGCTCCATGCCTCCCTCCAGTAGGGAGGACCAGGGCCCCCAGGTAACAGCAGGTAGGACCAGGCTAGTTTTGGGCCTGAGGCTGCCCCTCCAGGGGTCTGGGAGCAGGCTCTGGGACCTGGTGCTCCCTGTGTGAGATGCTGTGAGGAGGGAGAGCTGGGCAGAGAAGGAAGGGCTGTGTCGCAGGGCCACAGTTTTCTCTCCATCCTCTGTCTCCCTTGATCCTCTGTTCTCCCTGATGGCTTTGAGATGAAGGCGACGGCAAGGATGGAGGATGCAGTTTCCATGGCAACGGGGCTGTCCACAGCCAGGCAACTTCAGAGCCGGGCTCTCCGGAGGAAGCAGATGCGCAGAACAGCCGCAGAGCTGCCTCCCGCCTGCCAACGAGGGGGCTGGCAGAACAGGTGGCACAGGGTGGCAGCCTGGTGCTGCCCAGCCTAGGGGAGAGGGTGGAAAGAGCAGTACTCCCTCTTATTATCTTGTTATGGCCAAGTTCCTCCAGAAGGGAAGCTAGGGAGGTGGCTTGAGTGTTGAGAGGGGTTGGGCTAGGGTCCCCATTGTCCCTGGAATCTCTGGGTGGACACAGGCTCTGTCCTCTGGGATCTTCCCCCAAAAGCCAAATGTCTGCTGCTCTTGTGATGGCCACTCAGCTACTACCCTTTGGGTCCTTTGTCCAGAGTGTGAGGATGTTGGTGAAGGCCATGCCCTGACTAGATTCAGGGATCCTTTTCTTTCATCTAGCTACTGGGGAAGGACCTGGACCTTCTTCAGGGGCCTCCCTGCCCCTGGCCTCAGTGACCTGGACCAGTTTGCTGAGTTGGGTTCAGGTTTGGCAGATGCCTGCCTCTAAGTGCTGGCATTGGAGGGGCCCCAGAGCCTGACAGCTCCTGCTTCCTGACACTGTGATCTTGTTTAGCCTCCTCCTGGAGACCAAGGCTGGAGTGGGTATGTGAGTGGGTAGAGAAGCAAAGACAGCCATCTGTGTGTTTAGAAATGGGACGTGTCAGGGGCATGGACTCTTGAGATGGAGGAAGCCCCGAGGGCACCCAGGTTGGCAAAGAAGATTTGACTCCAACTATTAAAAAATAATGACTTTCCTTCACCGACCTTGGAAGCATCAGGGCTAGGGTGTTCTACTTTGCTGTTGAGCACATGGAGACTTAGGATGGAAGGCTTTGCCTGGATCACCCATGGAGTCAGAGGCTGAGCCACAGCCAGACCTGGGACAGGCCATCCACCTCCCGCGTGGCCTCCTAGATGCACCCTCCCTTCAGCTGGCTGCTGAGGGTCCTAGCTAGGTAAACCTTTCAGGCTCACTCCTCTTTCCCTTTATCATCCGTGGGCTTGCTTTTAACCCTTCTTTGCTAGCTTGCTTTAGTTGAAGGAGGTTCCTCAACCCTAGGGTTGGCCAGGCAGGTGGACAAGTGGAGTCTTGGAGTGGCTTCTCCTTGCCAGGCAATAAGTCTCTCATTACTGCTAAGTGGAAGGCTCATTTCAGAGCTCATGGTGAGAGCGGGGCGAATGCTATAAATAGTCGTGTTGTGAAGATTGGCGGGTGAGCAGTGACAGGGCAGGGGCCTTGCAGTCATCATAGTGGGTATTTGTGCTCCTTCGCAGGAAAGGTGGCGGGGCAGGCTCTGAGTAAGAGGCAACTTGACCCCTGTTCTGGCTGTCCCTGCCTGCCTCAGGGTGGCTCTGGCATGTCTGTGCCCCTCCATACTCATTGGGGGATGGGGAGCACTGGATTCTGTGTCTAGGCAGAGGGAGGTGGAGTGCCTTTTGGAACTTGGGGCCCAAAAGGTGGTACATCAGCCCACTGGGTAATGTCCTGTGCTAGATCTACTTGTCCTACCTGACCTTCCAGTCCAGGGTCTCCCTCTTCCCCATCAGCTAAAACCTGAGTTTACATGTGAGGAGGTATGGGAACCATACCTGATAGTCTCAGAGGTTGACATAGCTCTAAACTAGCAGGGGAATGAATGGGAGTGGAAGTGGTGTTTAGCTGGCCTTGATCCTTGTTCAGGGTCTATAGTAGCATGTCTGCAAGAGCAGGGGCTGGAGGCCTAAGGACTGGGGGTGCTGGTCTTCTGATATCTGTGGGTCAGTCAGCGTTGTCCAGGGTGGAGAGGAGGTCAGGGCCAGGGGGTCCTGGGATGGAAAGTCTGGTAGGTGAGACCTTGGCTTAGGCACATGGGGTCCCTATCCTGGGGTGGTCCAGGGGTGCCAAGCTTCATGGCTCTGTGAGACCAGTGCCTTCTGGAACAGCTTTTTGGTCTCAGATGTACACATAGGAGAGCAGTGCCAGGCTCCTGGGTTCTTTTACCACCTGCCCTAGGGTGTCGTCCTGGGTCTTCAGACTATTATTGCACTCTGGACTATGGGGCCCTGCTGTTAGGGTGATCTATGTGTGCCTCCCTCAGCAGGGCTTTGGAACTTGGAAGAGGTTGAGAGGCAGAGCCAGCCCCTGGGACAGAATAGGTAATAGACAGTTCTGGGGGTCACCCAGGGACAAGTGAGTCAGGGGCCCTGTAGGGCTCATTCTACCTTTTGCCACTCTCTGACTAGGAGCGGAAGCTGTGTGCCTATCCTCGGCTGGAGATCTACCAGGAAGACCAGATCCATTTCATGTGCCCACTGGCACGGCAGGGAGACTTCTATGTGCCTGAGATGAAGGAGACAGAGTGGAAATGGCGGGGGCTTGTGGAGGCCATTGACACCCAGGTGGATGGCACAGGTACAGAAGGTGGGGTATGAGGATGGGGCCCTCCTGGAGCTCCTCTCTTCTGGACTCCAGGGGCTTGGTTGAGGAGGCTCCTCCCTCTCTGGGTTGGCACTGTGGGTGTCAGGCTATGCTTGGCAGAGGGAGGAAGGAGACCCACCTACCTGAGGACCCACATGTGGAGTTGCCTGTTCCCAGACACATGGATCTACATAGATGTGGATTCACACACATTACCTCCTGGCAACACAGATACAAAGACCCTGCCTGGATTCCCTCCAGATGCAGCAGGAGTACCCTTGGAAACAAAGATCACAGACAGCTCGATGTTCATGGGAGGGGGCTGAGGCTGCTCAGGAAAGGAGTCCCTTGGGTGGGGCTCAGCAGGAAGTAAGATTGGCATAGATCTGGAAGGTAAGGAGGGGAGCAAAGTGTTCTCTTGTCCCTCAGTACGGGCCCCACCCAGAGCCAGCTGCTTTCTCCCTGCCAGGGAACAACCAGGGAGCATGCAGAGGGGAGCCAGGAGATCAGTCACCTGTGCCTTTCTCCAGGGCCAGCCCACACTCCTGCTGGCAGCCTCAAGGCCCCAGGTCCAGGCTGGAAGGCTGCTTGCCTGCCCACCCCTCTGCAATGATCTGTGACCCCGGGCTGTCTCAGGCACAAGGGGGTCTGCTGGGTTACATCCCAGATGGTCCCAGGGGGCCTTATCCTTGGCCAACCTGGTGGAGTTTGTGACTTCTAGGAGTGGTACAGGGCTGTGGGGAGAGGAACTGTCCCTCCTCTCCTCCTTCTTTAGCAGATGCTCTGCCCATCCAGTCTTCAACAGCCAAGGTCACCCTAGGGAGACGTGTCAGCTAGGGCTGGGTAGGAGGGTATTGGGAGCAGTCTCTACTCCCTAGGGGCCTGTGTCCAACACAGTTAACTTCATCTGCCACTTAATTACCTCCATGGGGTACAGCTCCCTTCTGCCTGGTAGTGCCCGGCAGACACTCTTCAGTGCCCCTACTGTGGGCACAGGACATGGCACAAGGTCAGCAGGCCCAGGCAGCCTCCAGGGCAGGAAGACAGAGTGCCTTCACTTTACTGTGACCTCCCTCTGCTGCCTGCCTCCCCCTCCTTGACCCACCCACCCAGCTTCCTTCCCTCCCAAACACTGCCTGTCAGGGTCATTGAAGGACTGCTTGGCACCCACTACAGCTGGCTGTAGTGGCAGCTCCCACATTCCCCAGCTCCTCAGCCTGTTTTCCTCCCCTCCAGCCCGCCCACCCACTCCCTGGTGTTGGGGCCAAGGGGTCTGCCCACCTCTCACAGGGCCTGTCCTGACACCCCAGCGGGACTCGGTGTTTGCCCACCAGGTGCATGCCACTGACACAGCAGTTGGTGGTGGGTGCATGCAGGATGTCTGACTGCCCAAGGCTTGGCCTGTCCCTGCCCGCCTCCCTGCTGTGGCCCTAGCTTAGGCCGGGAGGTGAAAGGGGGTGATTAGCTGCCTTGTGCCTGTTATTACATTGATGTATTATTTAGCTTCAGAGAGGCGATGAATATTTGATCGTCTTGCACTGGCTGTGGGCAGAGCGAGAGGGAGGGATTTGGGTGAAGGGGGTGGGCTTCAAGTCCCCTGCCCCAGTAGTCGTGGGGATTTAGGTAGGGCCCTGCCTTGCCTGGTATCTTCTGCCCAGGGATGCAGGCATGGGACTCTGGGACCTCCTCCTGTGTAGATCTTGGTGGGGGTATAGGGATGCTACTTCCCCGTATTGCATTCCTTTTTTTTTTTTCTTCTGCGGCAAGGTCTGGCTCTATCGCCCAGGCTGGAGTGGTGCAGTGGCAAGATCTCGGCTCACTGTAACCTTTCCCTCCCAGGCTTAAGCTGTCCTCCCACCTCAGCCTCCTGAGTAGCTGTGACAAGAGGCGTGTACCACCATGCTTGGCTAGTTTTTGTATTTTTTATAGAGATGGTGTTTCGCCATATTGCCCAGGCTGGCCTTGAACTTGTTAGCTCAAGTGATCCTGCCTCAGCCTCCCAAAGTGTTGGGATTCTAGGGATGAGCCACCATGCCCAGCTGGATTCCTTTTTTTTGTTTGTTTGTTTTTAAAGACAGTTTTCCTTTTTTGCCCAGGCTGGAGTGAAATGGCATGATCTTGGCTCACTGCAACCTCCACCTCGTGGGTTCAAGCGATTCTCCTGCCTCAGCTTCCTGAGTAGCTGGGATTACAGGTGCCTGCCACCATGCCCGGCTAATTTTTGTATTTTTAGTAGAGATGGGGTTTTGCCATGTTGGCCAGGCTGGTCTGGAACTCCTGACCTCATGTGATCCACCTGCCTCAGCTTCCCAAAGTGCTGGGATTACAGGCGTGAGCCACCGTGCCTGGCCTCCAGCTGAATTCCTTTGCTTGAAGTGTATATATGTCTCCAGGGGCTGTCTTCATTTCAGCAGGCTGTCCTGGCCTGAAGGAGGCACCCCTAGGCTCCTTCCTCTGAACATTCCTAGCCTAGGAGCTGGGTGGTAGGAGGTAGCATGCTGGGAAGCAGGCACATTCCTATACCTGGGGTCCCAAGAGAGCCATTGGGTGGGTGGGCAGACAGAACATACAGTTTAATAGGGCCAGGGAGAAACTGTCTCCCTCCTTTGCTCTTTTCAGGCCTGCGGTCCCTGGGGCACTGATCATTATTTAAGGAGCAGTGAGGGCCTGGCATCCTGTCCCCTGGTCAGAAGAAACTACCCAAAACTTAAAGCTCCCCCAGCTCCCTGACCACCTCATTCACAGGCTTCTGTCCTGGGAGCCACACCTGGGGCCTCAGCAAGAGGAGGGCCCTGGGCCAGCAGCCTGGGCTTCTAGGGCTCACCTCACCTCTGCCAGTAGCGCCCAGAGGGCATATTCTGGGGGCTGAGTGGGTGGTGGGGGTAGGGAGAGACCCCAAATTCCCCCCTCTCCTAATTCTCCCACCCCCAACCTAGGCCCCATTTGAGGCTCAAGGAAAGCCCCAGGCTGAGTCCAGGCGCCAAGCAGACCCCAGCTGCACCTGGCTTGGCTCCAACACCATGGAGACAGTGGCTGGGGAAGCTGGCTAACCCCTCACCTTCTGTGATGTTTGACAGCTGACCCTCTCCCCATCATACAGGAAGGGTAGCAGATCCACTTTCTCCCAGTCTGGATTCCTGCACACAGCGAGCCTGAGCCATGTGTTCCTCCTTGCCACCCCAGCCTGCATTCAGTGCCTCTGATCCAGGGAGATGAACCCAGGGGTTGCTCCTGGACAGGGCAGATGAAGGGGCTGCTTGCTTGGAGGATGTATTGGGGGTGGAAGGAGCAGGTTAGAAGGAGTTTGGGCCATCAACCTGGCTCAGCACTGGTTTGGGGCACCCCAACCACCAGCAGAGTGCTCTCATCATCCCCTTTTGCTATCTTGTGGCTCAGGAAGCACCAGTCATTGGGGGTGGGGTGGGTAAGGGTTTCTCAGGGTCGACCCAGGCATAGGGAGAGAAAACCCTTAACATGTTTCATCCCAGCACCCTCCTCCTTGCAGCTGGTTGAGTATTTCTCAGGCCTTCTCCATCCTCCTCGTACTTCAGCTCCCTCCTCAACTGGGACTTGGTGTGTACCAGAGGCAGGGGCCTGCTGACTCCCTGGATGCTGCTCCTGGGAGCCCTGCACGGGGGAGGGCTGCAGAGGGGCCTCCTGCTGCATTCTGCAGTCCTCGTGCCCTGTGGGTGATGTTCTGTAGCTGGCCCTGGACACATCTCTTTCCAAGCTTGAAGTGGGGGTGGGGGAAGGTGGAGAGGACACTACTTGTGTCTCTTTGTTCTACCTCAGCTCCTCACCTCAGGGCTGAGTGGCCCTTAATAAATGTGGGGGGAGGGCAGCAGGCTTTGTGGAAGTGCAGGGAGCTGAGGCTAATTTAGAGTGGGGAGAAGAGTGCACAGCTGCCTCCTCCCACCCTCTCTCCCTCCCTCCCTCCTTCCCTCCCTCCCTTCCTCCCAGCTCTTTCCCTCTGCCCTGTCTGTGCAGCCCCAGTCAGGGTAGAGGGCAGAGGGCAGCTGGAGCAAGCCCCCTGAGCCCGGGAGGCTGCATTATTCATGAGTGCACTGCGTGCTGAGTTGCCTCTCCCTGGAGGAGGGGGTGGGGTGGTCCTAGCTAACCTGTGCTCCCTTTTCCTGGTCATAGGAGCTGACACAATGAGTGACACGAGTTCTGTAAGCTTGGAAGTGAGCCCTGGCAGCCGGGAGACTTCAGCTGCCACACTGTCACCTGGGGCGAGCAGCCGTGGCTGGGATGACGGTGACACCCGCAGCGAGCACAGCTACAGCGAGTCAGGTGCCAGCGGCTCCTCTTTTGAGGAGCTGGACTTGGAGGGCGAGGGGCCCTTAGGGGAGTCACGGCTGGACCCTGGGACTGAGCCCCTGGGGACTACCAAGTGGCTCTGGGAGCCCACTGCCCCTGAGAAGGGCAAGGAGTAACCCATGGCCTGCACCCTCCTGCAGTGCAGTTGCTGAGGAACTGAGCAGACTCTCCAGCAGACTCTCCAGCCCTCTTCCTCCTTCCTCTGGGGGAGGAGGGGTTCCTGAGGGACCTGACTTCCCCTGCTCCAGGCCTCTTGCTAAGCCTTCTCCTCACTGCCCTTTAGGCTCCCAGGGCCAGAGGAGCCAGGGACTATTTTCTGCACCAGCCCCCAGGGCTGCCACCCCTGTTGTGTCTTTTTTTCAGACTCACAGTGGAGCTTCCAGGACCCAGAATAAAGCCAATGATTTACTTGTTTCACCTGGATTTGGGTTGTGTATTTGTTTGTTCTGCCTTGGTTGGGGGCGGTGGGGGGATGGCTGTACAGATAGGCTGGGAGTGGGAAGGAGCCTCCCCTCCCCAGGACAAAGAATGGAAGGAACATGGCAGGTACCCTGGGGTTGGGGGAGGAGGGGAGTTAGAGATCCTCCACGTCCTGCTCTGTGACCCCAGTGGCCAGCTGCCCCTCCATTGCAGCTGCCAGAGAGCAAGCAGAGCCTGGCTTGGGTGAGAGCTGAGTATGGGGTGCCCTTCAGGGCTCAGGAATGGGGAGCTCACAGCCTGTCTTCATCTGCCTCCAAGGGATGCCTTTGTGTCTGTGACTAGTGTGCCTGCACGCTGGTACTTCCCCAGTAGGCGAGGCTCCCCCACTGTGCCTGCCAGTGGCTGTGTACCTGTGTGTGTGCATGTGCACCCACGCTCATGCATTTGGCTCTGTGTAACCACGGATGGATGGGGCTGCTTGGGTAAAGCTGTGCCCAGGTGAGCATCAGGGTATGATTGTACCTGAGCATGGCTGAGTCTGTGTGGATGGCTGTGTGCCTGTGTGAGTGTGTGTGTGTGTGTGTGTGTGTGTGTGTATTGCTGTGCTTTGTGTCTGTGTATGGTTGTATTATAGGAGCATGTGAGGCTGGCTAACAGCATCTCTATGGGGGCTTTGTTCATGTACAACTGTGTGTGGCTGTGTCTGTACAACTGTGTGTATGGTGATGTTCATGACGTTCATGTATAAAGCTATGTGTTTTGCTATGTGTCCACATATAAAAACACACATTTGCTATGTGTCCTGCAGCCGTATATCCATAATTATGGCCATGTATGTGTGGACATGTCTTGGTGGACAGCTATTTGTGGCATGTCCTTGTGTGAGCAGCTGTATATATGTGGCTGTGTCCACATGTGCAGCCGTGTGTAGACATGGTCACATGTTCTTAGGGGCAGGGGTGTGCCCATGTGTATTATGGCTGTCTACAAGTATAGCTGTGTGTGGTTGCATGTTTATGTGTACTATGCATGTGGCCATGTCCACATTTACAACTGTGTAAGGCTAAGTGTATGTCCTCATCCGTGTGCACACAGCTGGGAGTGGTGGCTGCCTAGCTGTGTGTAACTGTGTGTCCATGTGCTGCGACTGTGCAGCTTGTTTGCTGCAGGCCACATCATGGGCTTTTCTGGCTGATGCTGTACACAGCCATATCTGTGTTTACAGCCCTGTGCCTTTTGTGAGGCTGACTTGTTGAGCAGGTTGGGAGTGTGGCTAGAAGGAGTGTGTGACTCCTCACCTCAGCACCCTCCTGCTGTCAACCCCTCTGCTCCAGAGGCCTGGCCCATTGCTCACCTACCCCAGGGAGCTGTTGCTCTGAGGCAGCCAGAGAGGGTGAGAGCAGCCGGTGGCAGAGTTGGAGGTGGAAGACAGCATGTCTGTCTCCCACTGCCACCTTGTCTCCTGTTAGTGATGGGGCTTGTGTTTGTTTGGGTTTTATGTGTCTGTTTCGTTTCAAAGCTGTATTCTTTCCACAGCAGCAGGACATCAGGTTTCTGTGTCCAGGGAAAAAGCTCGTCCTTGGTGATCACCCCCGCACCCCTACGGACTGCCACACGCACATGTGGGTGTGTGTGCCTGAGGGGTCTGGGCTTGGCATGTTCATTAGCATGTATCTGAGCTGGCCTTGCTTCCACTGACACCTGTGGAAGAAAGGGCAGTGTCGGGAATGTGTGTAGGGATGCCATGCCCCTTGGCACTTGTTAGTGTGTGCACATGTTAGGGGCAGATAGCACAGGCTCTCTAATCCCCATTCCTTCAGCACAGTCTGGCACTACAGCTTATCCACTACCCTCTACCCAGGGGCGTCCTTCCCCATCCTGCTGTGGGAGGGAAGAGTCAAGAGAATCTTCTCAGAGCTGTCCTCCCTCTGCTTGGGCTCCAGCTCTCACTCCCTCCTACGCAGCAGCCAGTTCCAGAAGCCTTTCCCTAGGCCCCTCCCCTCCCAGATGCCCCTGCCATCCCTAACACTCCCTCAGGGTTGACCCTAGTACTTGGTTCTGCAGCCCTTCCTGCAGGTTGCTCTCTCCTTGCTTAAATACCCTTTTTACATGGGAGTGGGTGGCAGGTTTAAAGGGCATCTGCAGGAAGGAAGGGGAGGCCCCATTCTCCTCTGACCTCTCCCTTCCCCCAATCTTTTCCTCATAGTGACTCTGGCTCCAGGTCTCAAAAGTGGCAGAGGACACATGCCTCCAACTCAGGCCTGGGATGTGGACCCAGCTGAAATCGCTGAGTGGGGAGAATAGACTCCACCCGTCTCCCACGCGCCCCTTTACCTATCCCCCAGAGGCACCCCTTGCACTAAGGCCAGCTCCTCCACTCTGCAGTAGCACTATGGGCACCTGTCGGGGCGCAGTGACCTTCCCCACCCCGTGCCCCGTGGCATCCCCCCGCCCCCCACCTATGCTCTCTAGGTGGTAGTCTGACTATGGGGCGGAGTGGGCCACGAAGCACCCGCTCCAGCGCAGAGCGAGAGCGCTCGGGGATTCAGCACCACGAGGCGGACAGCTCCAGGCCCTGAGGTCCCCAGAAAAGCTGGAGCGCGGAGTGTCCAGAGGAGGCGGAGGCTGGGTTGGGAGCAGGAGACCTGGCGTCTGGAGGAACGGAGGAGGGGCTGGGGGCGGGCCGGGGCCGGGGGCGGGGCGGGGCGGGCCGCGATTGAAAGCGGCGGGGCGAGCGGGCGGGCGGAGAGCGCAGAGCCAGCGAGCCAGCGAGCGAGCGAGCGGGAGCCGGAGCCTCGCGCCCCCCGCTCCACTCCGATTCTCTCCGCGCCAGAGCCAGCGCGCCAGGTAGGGTGAGCCGGTGGTGGTGGTGCCGCTGCCGCTGCCGACCTTTTTGGCCCTTACCTCACGTCCCAGGGTCCTGCGGGCCCTCAAGTTGTGGGGCGCCCGCGCTGCTGTGTCCAGACAGCGTTCCCTGAGAGCTCCGGGAAGCGGGAAGACAGCCCCGGGCGTCCCGCCTTTCTTCTCCAGAAAACGCACGCCCCACATCGCACTCCCCCGTTCCTCCTGCTCCAGCGTCCTCTGGTCCTTCTTTCTGTCTGTGCCTCCGTCTTTGTCTCAACCTCTCAGGCTTGCTCGCTCCCTGCCCAGATTTTGTGGCCCAGGCTCCTGGCTGTCTGACTCCGGGTTTCTGTCCCCTTCCTGCCTCTGAGCTTCCGTCTGGGCCTCCCCTCTGGGAGACTTGCGACTTGACCAGTTTTGGCTTCAGCCCCCATCTGGGTCCCTGTCTCCATCTGTGCTGGTCTTCCTCCCTGCTTCTCCCTCGCTTGCCTGGGTAAGCTGCTGCTTTCCTGATCCCCAGAGGAGCCCAGTGCCCCTGCCCTGGGGAGCTGAGGGGGCAAAATGAAGAGGCTCAGCCTCCGTGGCCAGCACATGGGGTCCTTGAGTTAGTTGCTGCCCTTCTTCAAACTCAGTTTCCTTTCCTGTTCTGAGGAAAGAGGTATGTCCCTCTCCCAGCCTTTCCAAGCCTGTGTGATTGTGAGAGCCTTTGTGGGGTGTGTGTTTGGGAAGGCAACTGGGGTACAAATGATTGGACGCAGTGGGGAAGAGACAGGGAGGGGGTCTCTGAGGGCCATGGCTAGGGTGGGCAGGGCCCTGAAGCTGAGGATGGGGAGATTGGAAATGGTGACTTTCTCTGCTGGGTCGGGAGTGAAGAGAAAACAGAGGCACAAAATCTCAAGCAGTGTTCTACACAGAGCTAGAGAGTCCCGCACTCTCACCCTCAGCACTGTTTGGAGACTCTAGCCCCCAACCCTGACACACACATACGTGAACATCTGCTTGCCCTGTTGACTTAGGACCTTGAGCCACTTGGGTACCCTCCCTGAGGCCAGCCATTCCACCTTGCTGTCTCATTCCCAGGGCTTAGTGTCTCTATTCCTTCCTCAGTCAGCAAACTGTGGGGATGGCTTTTTAAGAACCAAAGGTTAGAACCCTTGGGTGTTCACATGGGCTCCAGTCTCCCCACGGGTTGGAGACTGTCCCTTAGAGATGCTTCCCTTCCTCTTCCCTGGTGGGTCCTGAGACAGCAGTTCCTTCTCTCTGGAAATCCAAGGCTCAGGATGGGGACCTCTGAGTTTGTGACTGTGACATAGTCTGTTCCAAAGGTATTGACCTCGGGGTCCTGGGAGGTTTGTGCTGTTCTTGGACACCCTTTGAATTACAGAGGGGTCAGCATTGGCTGGGGTCTCCTGTCCTCTGCCTGGGACTTCACTGCTTGCATCTCTCCCCACTGCTGAGTTTGGTAGGGGAATATGGCCCATCTCTCACCAAGCTGAGGCCAGGGCTGAGAGACAGGTCCAGGGGAGTCCCAGGAGCTTCTCAACCTACTTAATGACACCATCCTGTCCCTCCCTGGCTTTTGAGTACCTAGGAAAGGGGCTCGTGGGGAGGCAGAGTCAGAAGGGGCAGCTGCTCTCAGGTTCCACTTTTCCTGGTCTGTTTTTCTGTCTTTCTATCTCTCTGCAGGAGCTGGGTCCCTTCGCATCTCTCTTCTTGTCTGTCCTTTCCTGGTCCCTGTTTCCTCCTCTCTTTGCCTTCGCTGCTTCTAATCTCATCCCCTGGAGACCCAGGTCTGCGGGACCCATCCATCCCCTTTGGGGCCATGGGATCGCTGCTTGCGCTCCTGGCACTGCTGCTGCTGTGGGGTGCTGTGGCTGAGGGCCCAGCCAAGAAGGTGCTGACCCTGGAGGGAGACTTGGTGCTGGGTGGGCTGTTCCCAGTGCACCAGAAGGGCGGCCCAGCAGAGGACTGTGGTCCTGTCAATGAGCACCGTGGCATCCAGCGCCTGGAGGCCATGCTTTTTGCACTGGACCGCATCAACCGTGACCCGCACCTGCTGCCTGGCGTGCGCCTGGGTGCACACATCCTCGACAGTTGCTCCAAGGACACACATGCGCTGGAGCAGGCACTGGACTTTGTGCGTGCCTCACTCAGCCGTGGTGCTGATGGCTCACGCCACATCTGCCCCGACGGCTCTTATGCGACCCATGGTGATGCTCCCACTGCCATCACTGGTGTTATTGGCGGTTCCTACAGTGATGTCTCCATCCAGGTACGTGGAAGCCACCCAAATGGGGGCTAGGGAGGGAGGCCGGAGGTGGTGACCCAGAATTCCTGCTGAAAAGGGGCTCATGGGCTGCTGTGAATTGGAAGGGAAACTAGAAGCTTCCTTGCAGTAGCTTTTACAGAAGCTAAGAAAGTGCCCTGGTCACATAATGGTGGTCGATTTTTAGAGACTGTGCAAGAGAACATCTTACTCTCATTACTCCCACACACACACACACCCTCACACACACACACACACCCCACACACCCTCACACACACACACAGCCCCCCACACACCCACACACACCCGACACACCCACACACACCCAACACACCCACACACACGCACCCCACACACCCACACACACCCCACACCCACCCCCACACCCACACACACACCCAGACACACACACCCTCACACACACACACACCCTCACCCTTGATGTTAACCCTGAGGGGCTTAATAGTCAGGTCTCCCACTTACTAACTGCATGACCATGGCACGTTATTTCTCTTTTCTGTGTCACAGCTTCTTCCTTATAAAATTGGATTCACAACACTTTTTTTTTTTTTCTTTTTTGAGACAGGATATCGCTCTGTCTCCCAGGCTGGAGTGCAGTGGTGAGATCTCAGCCCACTGCAATCTCTGCCTCCCGGGTTTAAGTGATTCTCCTGCCTCAGCCTCCCAAGTAGCTGGGATTACAGGCGCCTGCCACCATGCCCGGCTAATTTTTGTATTTTTAGTAGAGACGAGCCTGACCTCACCACGTTGGTCAGGCTGGTCTCAAACTCCCGACTTCAGGTGATCCACCCGCCTCGGCCTCCCAAAGTGCTGGGATTATAGGCATGAGCCACTGTGCCCGGCCCACAACACTTTCTACTTTGAGGTTTGCCATGGAAATTTAATGAGTTGATAGATGCATAGTATGTATCAGGGGCCCGGCAAGTCATAAGGGCACCGTTGATATTAGCTGCTATTATTTTTAACCCATTTTATAGATGAGGAAACGAAGGCTCAGAGAGAGGTGGGCCACATTCAAGGCAGTGGTGGAGGGGAACTGTGAAATCGGCTCTCGGCCAAGGGGCTCCTGACTTGTCAGATCATCTCTGCCTGGATTGGAGAGGGGTGGCCAGATAGAAGCCAGGAGTGGCCAGAGGAGAGAATCAGGGTAGGGGAGTCAGAAGGAAGATAAACAGAATATGTGTCGGGGGAGGGCACCAGAGAGTCTTCAGGGGGCACAGGATTTGAGGGGGTGGGAAGGGTGGGGAGGCAGCTCCCCTGCCCTCAGCCTCCTACTCTCCCACAGGGACCAGCAGAGGGTGCTCTGTGGCTCAGCTTCAGCAGAGGCTGCTGGCCCTGCTGACACCCCTCTGCTGCTCCCAGGGCTGTGCCCAGCTGCGATCCTCCCATCTCTGACTGGGTCCTACCTCTCACCCAGATTCCCGCTTGCCAAGTGCCCAGCACAGGCTGCTGGAAGATGCGGCTGGAGCTAGAATCAGGGCTGGGGGACATAAGGTAGGCCTTGGCTTGGCCTCAGCTTCCTTTCGGAGAGTGGCTGAGGGCATTGCCGAGATGGAGAGGGCCAGGCCCCCTGTCCTAGAACAGTTGTTCAGGAGAAATGGAGCAGAAGCAGAAATCAGAGAACCCTGGAGTCAGCTACCGGCCTGAAGTCGGGGAGGCCTGGCCACTCCATCCACTGCTGGGAGTGGATTATCTGTCCTGCTAATCCCAGACACTGGAGGTGGCTAGGCAGCTGTCATGCTAGTCTCAGTCACTGGAGGTGGCTAGGCAGCTGTCCTGCTAGTCCCAGTCACTGGAGGTGGCTAGGCAGCAGCCTGGGAAGATGTGGCTGTGCTAGCATCTATTTCTGCAGCCCCGGGTTGGGGCAGGGATGAGTGGGCGGCCTCCTACCTGCTGCTGTCTTCCAGGGCCTCTGCTGAAGTTTTCTCCACAGTCCTCCTTAGGGCTCATGCATTTATCTCCAGAAGTCCAGTTACCTCCTTGCCATCCCAAGCTGCCTGCCTCCTGGATCAGGGCCCACGCCTCAGCAGTGGTCTGCTTCTCCCTCGTCCTGATCAACACGAGGCTAGCCTGTCATCCGTAGGCTGCACCTGCCTGTTAATATTCCCCCTCATGGCTGCTCCTTCTCTCTTGCCCATGTCCCTATCATCTTCCCTTTGCCAGGCACTGTGGCCTCCCATGCATTATCGTTTTTATCCTCTCAGCAGCCTTGTAGGGCAGGAATGTGAAACTGAGGCTCAGGGAGATTTGCCAACTCCAGGGGCCCAAAGGTAAAATGTGTGGGAGGGGAGGAGACATTGAGCCCTAGACTGTCAGAGCCATAGCCTGTATCCAGTTGCAACACAAGACTCACCCCTCTGCTGTAGAATCTGGGCCATGCTCTGCTTTCACCTACCCACCCTCTACCTGGCCCTTGGCCGGATCCCACTCCTGTGGGACCTGAGGGTGGGAGATGGGGTGCCAGGCAGCCAGTGGTAGAACGTTTAAGACTCAGGCATTCAATGGAGACCAAGCCTTGGCCTATTAGGGCCACCGGACCCTGGGATCTGTGTCTTTCTTCCTAGGGGAAACTTTTCCTTCTTTCTGTATCATTCCATCAGATTGATTCAGGGGAAGGGCCACCTACCCTCAAATAAGTAGAGAGCCGAAGAGCCCTGAGTAGCCAGATGCCATCTCATGCCTCCCTCTGCCCCAGTGTAGCCAGGTGCCAACCTCCCTCCACCCAGGCCTTCCTTGGCCCCCCTGCCATGTGTCTAAAAGGGGATGGCAGAGGGGATCAGGTGTGGCTCATGACCCTGGTGTCTCCACCCTGGGTCTTCTCTCTCTCAGCCCTTGGAAAGAGATAAAAAAACTCCCTAGCCCAGAGGGAAGACTGTCAAGTCAGGATGCAGGGCTTTAGAGAGGGAGCCTTTAGGCCTGACCTTGTGGACACTTGACACCAAGACCTGCTAGCTGTGGGGGATGCACCTGTCTCTAGTGTTTGATCTGACCGCTGATCTTTGCCTTCTCTACTCCTCCCCCAGGTGGCCAACCTCTTGAGGCTATTTCAGATCCCACAGATTAGCTACGCCTCTACCAGTGCCAAGCTGAGTGACAAGTCCCGCTATGACTACTTTGCCCGCACAGTGCCTCCTGACTTCTTCCAAGCCAAGGCCATGGCTGAGATTCTCCGCTTCTTCAACTGGACCTATGTGTCCACTGTGGCGTCTGAGGGCGACTATGGCGAGACAGGCATTGAGGCCTTTGAGCTAGAGGCTCGTGCCCGCAACATCTGTGTGGCCACCTCGGAGAAAGTGGGCCGTGCCATGAGCCGCGCGGCCTTTGAGGGTGTGGTGCGAGCCCTGCTGCAGAAGCCCAGTGCCCGCGTGGCTGTCCTGTTCACCCGTTCTGAGGATGCCCGGGAGCTGCTTGCTGCCAGCCAGCGCCTCAATGCCAGCTTCACCTGGGTGGCCAGTGATGGTTGGGGGGCCCTGGAGAGTGTGGTGGCAGGCAGTGAGGGGGCTGCTGAGGGTGCTATCACCATCGAGCTGGCCTCCTACCCCATCAGTGACTTTGCCTCCTACTTCCAGAGCCTGGACCCTTGGAACAACAGCCGGAACCCCTGGTTCCGTGAATTCTGGGAGCAGAGGTTCCGCTGCAGCTTCCGGCAGCGAGACTGCGCAGCCCACTCTCTCCGGGCTGTGCCCTTTGAGCAGGAGTCCAAGATCATGTTTGTGGTCAATGCAGTGTACGCCATGGCCCATGCGCTCCACAACATGCACCGTGCCCTCTGCCCCAACACCACCCGGCTCTGTGACGCGATGCGGCCAGTTAACGGGCGCCGCCTCTACAAGGACTTTGTGCTCAACGTCAAGTTTGATGGTAATGGTGTTGGCCAGTGTCCATTGGCCTGCTGGCTGTCAGAGGATGAGGGGAAGCAGAACTTCAGCTTCCATTCCTTTGCTAAGGAAACAGTAGAGTGAAAGTAAAGGACTCACCTGGGGTGGCGTCAGAGCAAGGGCAAGGATGCTAGGCAGAGAGGACTCCAACTGAAGCTACGGCTGAGGTTCCACTTTCTTCCAGAGAGTAGACCTCTGGCCTGGTCCCGCCATTTTGAGGGTCTCTGGCTCCTCCTTGGGCCTTGCCCACTGTCTTCTGTCTCCTTATCTTGCCAAAGGTGGAGACCAGGAGACCTCAAGCCCATTCTCAGGCAGCACCAAGAGTTAGAATCAGTCTGGCTTGAGGGTGAGCATCAGGATGACGCTCTATATTCACGGAAAATGTCTTTCTGTCTTTCTTTTTTCTTTTCTTTCTTTTTTCTTTCTTTCTTTCTTTCTTTCTTTTCTTAGATGGGGTCTCACTATATTTTGTAGGCTGGAGTGCAGTGGTTATTCACAGGCACAATACAGCCTCCAACTCCTGGGCTCAAGCGATCCTTCTGCCTCAGTCTCCAGAGTAGCTAGGATGACAGGCATGTGGCACTGCTCCTAGCTTCAGGGAAAATTTCTATTCCTAATCTTGATTTTCCACTCAAGGTGACCTGAAAGTCTCCTGAAATCAAAAGTTATTTTAATAAGAGTGCCAGCTTTAAGAGAAATGACTGCTGCAGATCATCACTATGCTTCAGGAAGAATCACCGTGGGAACAGTGGGAGACAAAGCTTGGAAGC
This sequence comes from Homo sapiens, assembly GCF_000001405.40. Taxonomy (NCBI): domain Eukaryota; kingdom Metazoa; phylum Chordata; class Mammalia; order Primates; family Hominidae; genus Homo; species Homo sapiens. The sequence continues at coordinate 51,714,098 of NC_000003.12, forward strand.
CCTGGCCCAGGGTTAAGATGAAGAGTACTTCCAATAGAACTGACATTCAGAGTTAGCTACAATCAGTGTAGGGGTTAGGGTTGGAATCTGGGGTCCGATTTGGTTGATGTTAGAGCAAGGCTAAATTCAGCATGTTTGGCTTGGGTGGAATTTATGGTAGGGCTAGAGTTGGATTTTGAGAACTTTTAGGCTGAGTAGAAAGAGTAGGTGCTTGAGGGGACCTGGGTTTGAATCTAGGCTGCACTATTCACTCATGGGGCCTTAAGCATGTCTTCTGCTTTCTTGAACCCTGATTTCTCACTGGGGCCAGGGATGGCTGTAAATCCTGGCTAGAGCCTGGCTGGGAGATGTGAGGTTTACAGGGGATGAAGTGGGGGTGGAGAGAGGAAGTGATTTTCCAGCCACTGACCACATTCTGGTGAATGGCAGTGGTTGCAGGTGACCAGTGAGGTTGGGATTCAGTTTGCACCAGGATGACTGTTAGGACTAGGGGTGCTGGAGCTGGGGTTGTTGTTAGGATTAGTGGGGACAGGATTGGAGCTGAGACTGGGTTTAGCCTTAGCATTGAGTTTGGGGAGAGGGCTGTAGTGTATGTTTCGATGAAGTTGGGATTTGGAGCCTGGGTTGGAAAGTGTTGGATAGTACTAAAGTTGAATTTGGGGAGTCATGGTTGGGGATTGATGTGGGCATTAGGTTTTTGGAGATGTCTGGGCTTTAAGGCTGGGATTACATTTGGCATTTAGGGTTGGGGTTTGATGTTGGAGTTTAGGAGTAAGACTTTGTTGTCATCTCTCATTTAGAAAAATGATTGGGGTCAAGGCAGGATTTAGTATTGGGTTAAGGATTGGAAGGGCTAATGGTGGTCTTAGCTCTGGCATTTGGGTTCCATGTTAGGGTGAATGTTGAGGTCACATCAGGGTAACACACTAGTCCAACCTTCTCTTCCTTCCCTCCCCCATCCTAGCCCCCTTTCGCCCAGCTGACACCCACAATGAGGTCCGCTTTGACCGCTTTGGTGATGGTATTGGCCGCTACAACATCTTCACCTATCTGCGTGCAGGCAGTGGGCGCTATCGCTACCAGAAGGTGGGCTACTGGGCAGAAGGCTTGACTCTGGACACCAGCCTCATCCCATGGGCCTCACCCTCAGCCGGCCCCCTGCCCGCCTCTCGCTGCAGTGAGCCCTGCCTCCAGAATGAGGTGAAGAGTGTGCAGCCGGGCGAAGTCTGCTGCTGGCTCTGCATTCCGTGCCAGCCCTATGAGTACCGATTGGACGAATTCACTTGCGCTGATTGTGGCCTGGGCTACTGGCCCAATGCCAGCCTGACTGGCTGCTTCGAACTGCCCCAGGAGTACATCCGCTGGGGCGATGCCTGGGCTGTGGGACCTGTCACCATCGCCTGCCTCGGTGCCCTGGCCACCCTCTTTGTGCTGGGTGTCTTTGTGCGGCACAATGCCACACCAGTGGTCAAGGCCTCAGGTCGGGAGCTCTGCTACATCCTGCTGGGTGGTGTCTTCCTCTGCTACTGCATGACCTTCATCTTCATTGCCAAGCCATCCACGGCAGTGTGTACCTTACGGCGTCTTGGTTTGGGCACTGCCTTCTCTGTCTGCTACTCAGCCCTGCTCACCAAGACCAACCGCATTGCACGCATCTTCGGTGGGGCCCGGGAGGGTGCCCAGCGGCCACGCTTCATCAGTCCTGCCTCACAGGTGGCCATCTGCCTGGCACTTATCTCGGGCCAGCTGCTCATCGTGGTCGCCTGGCTGGTGGTGGAGGCACCGGGCACAGGCAAGGAGACAGCCCCCGAACGGCGGGAGGTGGTGACACTGCGCTGCAACCACCGCGATGCAAGTATGTTGGGCTCGCTGGCCTACAATGTGCTCCTCATCGCGCTCTGCACGCTTTATGCCTTCAAGACTCGCAAGTGCCCCGAAAACTTCAACGAGGCCAAGTTCATTGGCTTCACCATGTACACCACCTGCATCATCTGGCTGGCATTCCTGCCCATCTTCTATGTCACCTCCAGTGACTACCGGGTGAGCTACCTGCCACAGAGGTCGGGGGAGATGGGACACCAGACCCTCTGTTTCCTGGTATCTTATTTAATCTACTGGTAGCTCTGGGGTTCCAAGAGGATAATGCCCACTCAGGGGACCACAGCTTGTGTGGATCCCAAGGGGAAGGTGGGAGGGCTGAATAGGACCTAGGGAAATGGCCAGGGAGGTGGGGAACTCGAGTTAGAGAGAGCTGAGATTTCAGGACTTGAATGTCATCCCCTATCCTGGAAGGTGATGGGGGTGCAGAAATATGTTCAAATGGACAGGGTTCTGCCCTGCTCCACTGAGGGGTCATCTGCAGAAGGGGTTGAGAGATGAAGCCAGGGAAGGCAGGAAAGATGAAGCAAGGTGGGTAGGGGAGGAGATCCAGGGTATAGAGTTGAGAAAAGCTAAAGCAGGTGAAAATTGTTCCCCAGTTGGTGGCTTCTGAGCAAATTTGGTTCCAACTGGCACTGTGTCTCAATGGGTCTCCCCAGCTCCAAGGGGCAATGGCTGCTTCAGATAGGGTGGTCAGGGAAGCCCTCTCTGAGGAGGTGACAGATGAGCTATGTTCTGAGTAAGAAGATTATCTTGGTTAATCTTCATAACTTGAGTAAGCTCCATGGCTCTCCCGTTTTACAGATGAAGAAACAGAGACTCAGGGAGGTTCAATCCCTTGCCCAAGGTCACTCAGCTTGGGAGTGCAGAGCAGGGTCTGAACTGCAGAAAAATTGAGGCGAAAGCCCCGGCAAAGGCCCCTTCCCCAGGACAGAGGTGTGGTGGCACAGTGCTGGGGGCCAGGGACCGCTGGGCTTGGCTGCTCTGCTTGCACCTGCTGGGCCACCTGCTTGGGTGGTAGAGGCCAGGGCTGGGGAGGGATTCTGCTCTGACTCAGCCTGCATTTGCATATGATTTGCATTTGCATGCCAATCACAGGCAGCTAAGGACTCACCTGAGACACACACCGTACCCACACATGCATGCACACACACACACACACTTGTACACACAGACATAGCCACATGCATGCATGCACACACACATATCCCACATACACACACTCGCTGGCACACACACATATATCTTCCTGACAAATGAATCCATACCCATGCACCCTACACTCACGCACACATACACTCACGCAGACACCTGCAGAAATTCACCACCCCACATACATGCACTTACACAGATATACACACACACCTACATGCACGCACTCCATTCCTGCAGCCCCCAGATGCACACACCCCTGTGTATACATGCCCCCCTGCATGTTCTCCCCTTCAGCTGGAACTCTTGTCACCCTGGGAAAATGGTCTGGGTCTGATGCTGGGACTGTGCCCAATTTTCCTAGCAATGCTTTGGGATCCGGCAAATGGACCACAGCCCAGTGTTGGATGCTTAGTCTCCCCCACTCCCTCCCCCACAGATCAGGCAGGGGGTCCTGGGGTCAGGCCCAGGTCTTGACCTGTGCTTGTTCACCCACTCACCCACCGCAGGTACAGACCACCACCATGTGCGTGTCAGTCAGCCTCAGCGGCTCCGTGGTGCTTGGCTGCCTCTTTGCGCCCAAGCTGCACATCATCCTCTTCCAGCCGCAGAAGAACGTGGTTAGCCACCGGGCACCCACCAGCCGCTTTGGCAGTGCTGCTGCCAGGGCCAGCTCCAGCCTTGGCCAAGGTCAGTGTCCTAAGCAGCCCTCTCTGCCTGTTCCCCTCTCCCTGTCCAGCTCCTTGGGTTGCTGAGATCTCTTGTCTGGGGGTGAGGTGCCCCCCAAATGACACTGGCAGGAGAGGACAGGAGAGGGGAGGGGAGGCTTCCCTCACAGCCCTGCTTCCCCACTGCCTGCCCTCCATGGAGGACCTCGGGATTGGCCCCAACCTCTGGCTTCCTTTTCTTAGGGTCTGGCTCCCAGTTTGTCCCCACTGTTTGCAATGGCCGTGAGGTGGTGGACTCGACAACGTCATCGCTTTGAAGACCCCATACTCCCGCCCTGACACAGCTGCTCCTGGGAACCTAGTGCAGACCCACGTCCAGGGCCAGGAGGAAGTTGGCTGGAGCACTGCAATAATTTATTACCCACCCTATGTCTGCCCCCAAAGTCACTTACCCACCTCCTTACCCCAGCTCTTCAGACTCAGAAGTCAGGAGCCTTGGCCAGGAGCCTCTGCAGTGGCCACTAACTGCCCTTGTAGCTGTGTTTCCTCCTGGCCAGGCCCAGGGCTCAGAGAGGAGCAAGCCAGGGTTCACTCTGCCCTGGACCCGGGTGGCTGAGGACGGCAGGCCCCAGTCCTAACCAGCAAAGGTGCTTCCAGCCCAGCCCCTCCCCCCAACTAGGGCCTTTTTTATTTTTTATATAAGTTACTCTGGGATGGGGAGGGTGGTTATTGTGGGGGCTGCCCCTCCCCCTGCACAGTAGTTTGTCCTGTGGTTTATTTTGTATTACCTGTAAATAAAGTGGCTTTATTTTAAAAAATCACTCTTTGCCTTTGACCCAGCAAGGCCCCTCACGCCCTCCACAGCCTCCCAGCTGTCATTCTGCTAGCGTTTAAATATCGACTCTGCTCTGTGCCTGATGTTAGGACCTGTCTGCCACCGAGACAGACCCAGCCCTGCCTGGTGGGGAGATGGAAAATGAATGAGCCATCCTCCCTTAAAAGGAGCCACTGCAGACTGGCCCAGGCATCCTGGGGTCGGGTGGGGGCTTTAAATGGATAGAGATGAATGAACAGGCTCATCTGGCAGTCCAGGGGTTTCCCTGGGGTCCCGGCCCCCAGGATGGTGTGGGTGATGGAGCAGGAGTGACCTCCGGGAATGGTGGGCTTTCCCACAGCTGGCCAGCCTGGCACTGGATCCTCCAAATGCATGGAGCCACACTGAGCATTTGGTGCAGGGGGAACCAAGAGGAGGCATGGACTGAATGTCACCTGTTCACTGGCACTTACAAAGGCAGAAGGAGCTTATGGGGAGAGGGGGTGGGTGAAGCAGGGAGGGCAGAGGCGGAGCAGCTGGAGACACCATCTGCTGTCAAGCCCAGCGAGAAGTCAGAAAAGGGAGCGTTTCTCCAGTCCCCGGAGGAGCTCTGGCCTGATGGGCCAGTTGAGGAGCCCAGAGCCCTTGGGCATCTCTGGAGTTTGCTGTCAGGGCTCACCAGCAGAGGGCACTAAGGTACATGGCTGTGGCCAGGCGACCGCTGCCCTCCTGTGGCCTAGAAGGCAGCGGGCACCGAACCGGAAAACAGCAGCTTCTGGGGAGTCCCCAGACTGTGAGGAGCAGAGGGACAAAGTCCTGCATTAGCCGGCAGCCCAGGGCATCTGTTATTTTTAAGTGAGCTCATTTGCATCCACAGGCTAGCAAGGTTGTGGAAATTCAGGTAAACAATTTAAAAAACAAAAACAAAAATAAACAAAGAAAATTGCAGGAATGGCTTCTTCTCTCCCGTCAACATCTGGGATGTATGGATGACAAATGAAATACAGACTGCGCAGTTAAATTTGAATGTCATAAACAATGAATACTCTTTTTTAGTATAAATATGTCCCACACAATATTTGGGACATACTTATACTAAAAATTTTTGTTATTTATCTGACAGTCAACTTTAACTGGACATCCTGTATTTTCATCTGCTCATTTTGGCAACCCTTTTGGGCCAGCCTCTATTCTAGATCCCCCAATAACTCAGGCCTGGGTGCTGCCCCCAGTGGCTGGTCACCAGGGAAATGCAACCCATGGTACCCACAGTCCCAGCCCCCACTTCCAGTATGGCCTTTTCTGGGTCTTCCTGCCAAACTGGACTCTGAGGACATTTGCCCACCAACCCCAGCACCCGGACAAAAGAAGACGGGGCTCTAAGCCCCTTGTACCCAAAAAGCAACCCTTCTTCACATGGCTCAGGAATATTTTCCTTAAAATGTAAAACAACAACAGCAACAACAAAACAAGTAGTTACGAACATGGTTTGCAGCTAAAAAGGTACAAAGGGCATCCAGTGAAGGATCTCCTTCTATCCCTGCCACCCATCTAGCAGGGAGAGCCAAAGGCCTGGGGGCCAGGGAAGAAGTCCAGGAAGAATTCCTAAGGACCAGTCCTCACGTCTGCCTGCCACACCTCTTTTCTTCCTCCTGCCCCCCTCATTTCCCCTTCCTGCTTTTGTGAGAGCGGCCTCCTTATTTTTTGTGCTGTTGTCTCAATGGCTCCTCCCCTCAGTCATGACCCACACCCCTGTATTACATGATCCCTCCCACCCATCCTTATGGTGTTGTGGGCAGCAAATCTTGGCCTTCACGCCTCAGCTCTCAGTCCTTAGCGCACATTACTAAGACCCGCCAGCTTCCCCATCCCAAGGCTGGGAGTCCTGGGATACGGAGTGGCCTGGCTTTACGTCTCTGGATCTCCTCTTCTCCAATACCATAGTCCGTGTCCTACAAACACTGACCCCTCTGCTTGTGTTAGACTTGGAGTCCTCAAAGGAGAGCTCTTCCCCTTCTGGGGACTGAGGACCAGAGGTGCCCAGCATTTTGTGTTCTCTTCCACCCTAGGGAGCCACTCATCATGGTGAATTCACCGTCCGTAAGTGGAACTACCAGGTTGCTTTGCTTGCGTAGCCAGACCTTACACTGGGACACAGGTGTTTCTCCCATGGCTGTGTTTGAAGGCTCTCCCAGATCCACTTCTATCCTTTCCCCTGTCCCTTGCATTGGTCCTGTAAGACTGCAGGGTAGCCCTTGCCCTGTCTGGGTGGGCCTGGCTCTCTCTTACTGAACCATAAGCTCCTGCGGCTTGGGAAAGGGTGGTTCAGGCCATGCTGCTCTTGCCTCCCCGAGTCCTGACATGGGAAAGGGGGAGGGGAAGAGTCACATTACAATGGCAGCTCTGATGATGGCCACCTTCCCACATTTGAGCCCTGTCTAGCAGCAGACCCTTGAGATAGAACACCAAGATCCAAGAGGAAGTGGTTACATTGGGCAAAGGGGCTGGGAACAAAAAGTGGAGCCGAGGGATGACATGGAGCTGGGAATGAGATTCAGAATCCGCCATACCCCAAACCCCTGTGGGCGGACATTGCCTAGAGTTTCATCAGGCCAGCGCTGTCCCTTGTTCTCCCAGTCCAGCCTGGCTGCTCACCCTCCTCTCCTGGGCTGGGGGGTTATGGGAGGCAGAGGGGAAAGGAGAGACCACTGAGGGTCTCAAAACCCCCTCAAGATGTCTCCGCCTCAAGTTCCAGCAGAAAAAGGATTGGAGCCCACTGCATCTACCCCCATGAGCCAGTGGGGAGTTGAGCACTGAGAGATGGGACTTCTCAGCCTGTGGAAGAGAGGCTAGATGTGGGGAAAGCGGGGGAAGGAGAAAAGGGTGTGTGTGCACGTGTGTGTGTGCATGTGTGTATGTGTGTGTGCACATGTGTGAAAAAACAGGAAGAGGGAAATGGAGGGGACTGAGGGTGAGGGGACAGGAAGTGAGGAGCAGCAGGAGGAAAGTAAAATAGGCACGTGTTAAACCCTGAGGCCTCTTGCCAGGGGGTCAGTTTTTTCTTTTAAAAAAAATTACTTTATTCTTTCTGTGAAAACAGTATATGCTCCCTACAAACAGTTTAAGCATTGCAGAAAAGTACAAAAAGAAAATAAAAGTATTACCTCAAGTTTTATCATTCAAATATAACCGTCATTAACATTTCTGGTACAGCATCCTCAACATATTTCTATGCATTTTTACAGATAGGAGAGATAGAAATACTTTCATAAAAATGGGATCATACCATATGTCTATTTTTTTTAGCGAAGATTTAATTTTACTTGACTCTAATTGAAGAAAATGAATCAGAAGTAAAACAAGAAATTCTTGAACTCCACATTTATGCACCATGAGATATTTTTCCTCCTTGAAAGATCCTTCTAAGTTTAAGAAAAGGGATGGAGTGACATTCACAGGTAAACATTCCATCAATCAGGGTATCTGAGGAGAGTTAGACCTGTGTTGTCAACCTTCTTGCAATGTGAATGGAAGGAATCATCTCCTGGGAAAAGCAGGGGTCTGCTGACCCAAGTGGGTCCAATGCACACTGCTCCTGGTCCTGGGATTGTGGACTGAATGCCTGTCATTGGTGCACGGCAGCCGCACTCAACAATGGGAAGGAGGCAGGCACCATGCTTAAGCATGCCTGGGGAGGGATGGGTCCTTGAACCTGCCTACTCTGTCACTGTCACAGATGTTACTTCTTTCCTGATTCTTTCTCTTCCTCCCCTCCCGTCCTCTCTCCTTCCCTTTCCTTTCCTTCCTTCCTTCCTCCCTCCCTTCCTCCCTCCCTTCCTCCCTCCCTTCCTTCCTTCCCTCCTTCCTTTCTTTCTTTCTTTTAATATAGAGACAAGGTCTTGCTCTGTCCCCCAGGTGGCGATGAAGCGGCACTATCATGACTCACTACAGCCTCAAACTCCTGGCCTCAAGTGATCCTCCCTCCTTGGCCTCCTGAAGTGTTGATATTACAGCCAGGAGCCACCACGTCTGGCCCTGATTTTTTCTAGAAACATTATAGTTTTTAGACTTAGGTCTTTGGTCCTTCTCAAATTAATTTTTGTGGGTGAGATAGGGGTCAACATTATTTTTTACCCATATAGATATTCAGTTGTTCCAGCATTGTTTGTTGAAAAGACTCTTTCCTCCCACTGCATTATATTGGCACCCTTGCTTTAAATCAGTGGACCATAAATGGGTGGGTCTGTTTCTGGATTCTGTTGTGTTTTGTTGATCTATTTGTTTATCTTAATAAATACTACATTGTCTTAATTACTGTAGCTTTATGGTAAAATTTTTTTTTGAGACGGAGTCTCGCTCTGTCGCCCAGGCTGGAGTGCAGTACCATGATCTCAGCTCACTGCAACATCTGCCTCTTGGGTTCAAGCGATTCTCCTGCCTCAGCCTCCCGAGCAGCTGGGATTACAGGCGCCTGCCACCACACCTGGCTAATTTTTGTATTTTTAGTAGAGACAGGGTTTCACCATGTTGGCGAGGCTGGTCTCTTGACTTCAAGTGATCCGCCCACCTCGCCCTCTGGAAATAATTTTCTTTTTCTTTTTCTTTTTTTTTTTTTTTTGAGACCGAGTCTTGCTCTGTTGCCCAGGCTGGAGTACAGTGGTGCGATCTCAGCTCACTGCAACCTCCGCCTCTTGGGTTCACGCCATTCTCCTGCCTCAGCCTCCCAAGCAGCTGGGACTACAGGCGCCCGCCACCATGCCTGGCTAATTTTTTGTATTTTTAGTAGAGATGGGGTTTCACTGTGTTAGCCAGGATTGTCTCGATCTCCTGACCTCGTGATCCACCCGCCTCAGCCTCCCAAAGTGCTGGGATTACAGGCGTAAGTCACTGCACCTGGCCTGGAAATAATTTTTTAAATTATCTTTTCGTTTTCTAGTTGTTTGTTGCTAGTGTATAAAAATATCATTGATTTTTAAAATTATGTCAAATTATATATGACATAAAATTTACCTTTTTAACCATTTTTAAAATCACCTCATGTAGGTTTAGAATTTTTTTTTTTTTGGTAGTGGGAACATTTAAGATCTCTCTTAGCAATTTTCAAGTATATGTTATTATTAACTATAGTCACCATGCTATACAGTAGATCTCCAGGACTAATTCTGTCTGATGGAAACTTTGTACCTTTTGATCGACATCCCCCATTCCCCTATTCCCCCCAGGCCCTGGCAACCACTATTCTACTCTTGGTTTTTATGAGTTTTGACTTTTTTAGACCTCTCATATATGTGAGATCATGCAGTATTTGTCTTTTTCTGCCTGGCTTATTTCCCTTAGCATAATGTCCTCCAGGTTCATTTATGTTGTGGCAAATGAGAATTTCTTTCCTTTTTAAGGCTGAATAATATTTGATTGTATGTATATACTACATTTAAAAAGTCCATTCATTTGTCAGTAGACACTTGGGTTGATTCCATATTTTTGCTATTGCAAATAATGTTGCAATGAACATGGAGGTGCAGATATCTCTTCAAAATACTGACTTCATTTCCTTTGGTTATACAGGAAGGAGTAGGATTGCTGGGTTATATATATAATCGTTCTATTTTAAATTTTTTGAGGAACCTCTATACTGTTTTCTATAATGGCTGCACAGTTTACATCCCTACCAACAGTGTGTGAGGGTTCTCCCTTTTTTTTTTTTTTTTTTTTTTTTTTTGGACAGAGTCTCACTCTGTCACCCAGGCTGGAGTGCAGTGGCTCGATCTCGGCTCACTGCAGCCTCTGCCTCCTGGGTTCAAGTGATTCTCCTGCCTCAGCTTCCCAGGTAGCTGGGATTACAGCATGCACCACCACGTCCTGCTAATTTTTGTATTTTTAGTAGAGATGGGGTTTCACCGTATTGGCCAGGCTGGTCTCCAACTCCTGACCTCCGGTAACCCGTCCGCCTCAGCCTCCCAAAGTGCTGGGATTACAGGTGTAAGCACGGCACCTGGCTGAGAGTTCTCTTTTTCTTACATCCTTGCCAACACTTGCTATCTTTTATCTTTTTTGATAATAGCCATTCTAACAGATGTGAGGCGATATCTCATAGTGGTGTTCATTTGTATTCCCCCGATAATTCGTGATGTTGAACACCTTTTCATATCCTGTTGGCCATTTGTATGTCTTCATTTGAAAAATGTCTATTTGACCCAGTGCAGTAGCTCATGCTTGTAATCTCAGCACTTTGGGAGGCCAAGGCGGGCAGATCACTTGAGGTCAGGAGTTTGAGACCAGTCTGGCCAACATGGTGAAACCCTGTCTCTACTAAAAATAAAAAATTAGCTGGACATGGTGGCGCACACCTGTAATCCTAGCTACTGGAGAGGCTGAGGCACGAGAATCGCTTGAACTTGGGAGGTGGAGGTTGCAGTGAGCCGAGATCACACCACTGCACTCTAGCCTGGGCAACAAAGCAAGACCCTGTCTCAATAAAGAGAAAGAGAAGAAAAGAAAAAAGAAAAAGAAAGCCGTCTATTCATGTTCTTTGCCCGTTTTTAAATCAGGTTTTTTTGTTATTAAGTTGTATGAGTTTATTACCTATTTTGGATATGAACTCCTTATCAGACATGGTTTGCAAAGTTTTTCTCCCATTCTACAGGTTGTCTCTTCACTCTGCTGATTTTGTGCTTTGCTGTACAGGAGCTTTATAGTTTGATGCAACCCTATTTGTCTAGTTTTGCTCTTGTTGCCTGTGCTTTAGGTGTCATATTCAAAATGTCTGCCTAGACCAACGTCAAGAAGCTTTCCCTGTGTTTTCTTCTAGTCATTTTACAGTTTCAGGCCTTATGTTAAAGTTTCGAAGCCACTTTGAGTTGACCCACAGTGTGACATGGGATCCAATTTCATTCTTCTTCATGTGGATACCCAATTTTCCCAACATCATGTATTGAAGAACTGTTCTTTCTCCATTGTGTGTTCTTGGGCACTTTGTTTTGACTTAAAGTATGCGGGTGAATATACACAGGTTATATGCAAATACCATGCAGTTTTTCATATAAGGGACTTGAGGATTCTCAAGAGTTTGGTATCCTTGGGCAGTCCTGGAACCAATCCCTCATAGGTATCAAGGGACAGCTGTATATTTTGAAATCAGGTAGTGTGAGGCCTCCAGCTTTGTTATTTTTGCTCAAGATTGCTTTGGTTATTTGGGTTCTTTTGTGGTTCCTGTGAATTTTAGAATTTTTTTTTCTATTTCTGTGAGAAAAATGCCACTGGAATTGTGATTGCATTGAATTTGTAGATCACTTTGGGTAGTATAGAAATTTTTAACAATATTAATTATTCTAATCCATGAACATGGATTATCTTTCCATTTATCTGTGTCTTCAATTTCTTTCATTAATGTTTTATAGTTTTCAACGTACATATCTTTCATTTCCTTGATTAAATTATTCCTCAATATTTTTGTTTTACACATAGGATTAAATTTTTTTGGCATAGTTCATTGTTAGTACAGTCATGAACCTCATAATGATGTTTCATTTGACAGATCACATATACGTGGGCGTTCCCATAAGATTCTAATGGAGCCGAAAAATTCCTATCACTGTGACATTGAGGCCATTACAAGGTGATAGTGCAATGCATTACTCACGTTTGTGGTGATGCTGGTGTAAAAAAACCTACCGTGCTTCCAGTTGTATAAAAGTATAACACATCCAATTATGTACAGTATATATTACTTGATAATGATAATAAACAACTATTACTGTTTTATATATTTACTATAATTTACTTTTAATTGTTATTTTAAAGTGTACTCTTTTTACTTATTAAAAAAGTTAATTGTAAAACAGCCTTAGGTGGGTCCTTCAAGAGGAGGTATTTCAGAAGAAAGCATTGTTATCATAGGAGATGACAGCTCCATGTGTGTTATTGCCCCTGACGACCTTCCAGTGGGACAGGATATAGAGGTGGAAGACAGTGATATTGATGATCCTGACCCTGTGTAGGCCTAGGCTAATGTGTGTGTGTGTGTGTGTGTGTGTGTGTGTGTGTGTTTCACAAAAGCCTTAAAAACAAAAAAGTTTAAATACAAAAAAAGCTTGTAGAATAAGGATATAAAGGAAATATTTTTGTACAGCTATACAATGTGTTTGTGTTTTTCTTTCTTTAGAGATGAGATCTTGCTATGTTGCCCAGGCTAGATTCAAACTCCTGGGTCAAGCAATCAGCCTCCTGAGTAGCTGGGACTACAGGCACACACTACCATGCCCAGTGTACGTTTTTGTTTGGAGCTGTTATTACAAAAGAGTCAAAAAGTTTAAAAAAATTAAAACACTTATAGAGGAAAAATTGTAGTAAGCTGAGGTTAACTTATTATTAAAGAAATAAAAATATTTACCAAATAAATTTAGCATAGCCTAAATGTACAGGGTTTATAAAGTCTACAGCAGTGTACGATAATATCCTAAGCATTCACACTGACTCACCCAGAGCAACTTCCAGTCCTGCACACTCCATTCATAGTAAGTGCCCTACACAGGTGTTCCATCTTTTATCTTTTTTAAAAAATCATATTTTATTGTACCTTTTCCATGTTTAGTCACGTAAATACTAACCATTGTGTTACAAGTACCTATAGTATTCAGCACAGTAACATGCTGTACAAATTTGCAGCCTAGAAGCAATAGGCTATACCATATAGCCTAGATGTGTCGTAGGCTATACCATCTAGGTTTGTGTAAGAACACTCCATTATGTTCACATAATTAAGAAATTGTCTAATGACACATTTCTCAGAGTGTATCCCCGTTGTTAAGTGATGCATGGCTGTATATTAGAAGTGCTACTGACTTTTATATGTTGATATTGTATCCTACAGCTGTACTGCATTTGCATATTAACTCTAACAGTTTTTTGGTGGAGTCTTTTGGGATTCTATGTATAAGATGAAGTCATCTGCAAACAGAGACAATTTTACTTCTTCCTTTTAAATTTAGATGACTTCAATTTTTTTCTTCTTGCCTGATTGCTCTGTTTAGGACCTTTAAGTAGTATGTTTAATACAAGCTGTGAGACTGGGTATCATTTTCTTATTCCTGATCTTAGGGGACAAGGTTTCAGGTTTAATCATTGAGTAGATGTTAGCTGTGGTCTTGTCATACATGACCTTTATTATGTTGAAGTATCTGCCTTGTATAGCTAATTTGATGAGAGTTTTTAATCACAAAAAAATGCTGAATTTTGTCAAATGTCTTTTCTGTATCTGTTGAGATGATCATGATTTTTATCTTTCATTCTGTTAATGTGGTGTATTGCATTTATTGATTTGTGTATGTTGAACTCTTCTCACATCCCAGGGATAAATCCCACTTGGTCATGGTGTTTGAGTCTTTTAATGTGCTGTTGAAATTTGTTTTCTAGTATTTTGTTGAAGACGTTTGCATCTGTGTTCATCAGGGATATTGGCCTGTGTCTTAGGTCCATTTTGTGTGGCTATAAAAGAATTCCTGAGACTGGGTGATTTATTCAGAAAAGATGTTTATTTGGCTCATGGTTCTGCAGGCTGTACAAAAGCATGGCATCAGCACCTGATTCTGGTGAGGGCCTCAGGAAGTTTTTAATCATGGCGGAAGGCAAAGAGGGAGCAAGTGTGTCACATGGTGAGAGAGGGAGCAGAAAAGAGAGGAGGGTGCTGCCAGGCTCTTTGTAACAATCAGATCTCAAGGGAACTAACAGAGCGAGAACTCACTACCACAAAAATGGCACCAAGCCATTCATGAGGGATCTGCTCCCATGATCCAATACCTCCCAGTAGGCTCCACCTCCAATATTGGGTATCAAATTTCAACATGAGATTTGGAGGGCATAAATATCCAAACTATATCAGCCTATAATTTTCTTTTCTTGTAGTGTTCTTATCTGGCTTTGGCTTCTGGTTAATGCTTGCCTCATAGAATGAGCTTGGAAGTGTTTCACCGTCTTCAGTTTTTTGAAAGCATTTTGGAGAATACTGGCACTAATTCTTCTTTAAGCTTTTGGTAGAATTCACCCATGAAGACATCAGTTCCTGAGCTTTTCTTTGTTGGGCAAGTTTTGATCACTGACTCAATCTTTTTACTTGTTATTGGTCTGTTCAGATTTTCTTTTTCTTCATGATTCAGTCTTGGTAGATTGTAAATTTCTAGGAATTTATTTATTTCTTTTAGGTTATCCAATTTGCTGGTGTATAATTGTTCATAGCAGTCTCTTATGACACTTTGTATTTCCGCAGTGTCAGTTGTAATGTCTCTTTTGTTTATAATTTTATTTATTAGAATCTGCTTTTATTTCATACTCTAGCTAAAGGTTGCTCAATTATGTTTATCTTTTCAGAAAATCAACTCTCAGTTTCACTGATCTTTTCTATTGGTTTTCTAGTCTTTATTCATTTCTGCTCTGATCTTAATTGTTTTCTTCCTTCTGCTGATTTTAGGCTTAGTTTTTTCTTAGTTTTTCTAGTTCTTTGAGGTGTAATGTTGGGTTGTTTATTTGAGATCTTTCCCTTTCTTAATATAGACATTTACTACTTAAACTTCCCCCTTAGAACTGCTTGTGATACATCCCATGAGTTTTGGTATGTTGTATTTCCATTCTCATTTACCTCAAGAGAGTTTTTGATTTCCCTTTTGATTTGTTCTGTGACTCATTAGTTGCTCATGTGTTGATTAATTTCCACATATTTGTGAATCTTCCAATTTTCCTCCTGTTACTGATTTCTAGTTTCATACCATTGTGGTCAGAAGAGATACTTGATAGGATTTCAATCTTCTTAAATTTGTTAAGACCTGCTTTGTGGCCTGACATGTGCTCTATCTTGGAGACTGTTCTGTGTGTGCTTGAAAAGAATGTGTATTCTGCTGCTGATTAAAAAAAAAATAGAGATGGGGATCTCACTCTGTCTAGATGACAGAGTGAAACAAAATGAACTTAAGACACAGCTACATAAGCTCACTGCAGCCTTAAACTCTTGGGCTGAAGCAATCTTCCCTCTTCAGCCTCCTAAGCAGCTGGGACTATAGGCACACACCATCATGCCCAGCTAATTAAAAAAAATTTTTAAGAGATGGGGTCTTACTATGTTGCTGTGATTAGTTTCAACTTCCTGGACTCAAGAGATCCTCCTACCTTAGCTTCCCAAGTAGCTGGGATTACAGGTATGAGCCACCATGCCCAACTCTGCTGCTGATTATTTAATATGATTATTTTGGATGCTTTGTCAGGCATTTTACAGATCTTCATTTCTTTAGAGTTGGTTAGTGGTGCTTTATTTTGTTCCTTTGGTGGTATCTTGTTTCCCTGATTATTCATGATCTTTGTGACCTTGCATTGGTTTCTGTGCATCTGAAGAAGCAGGCACTTCTTTCAGTCTTAATAGATTGGCTTTAGCAGAGAAAGCCCTTCACCAGTTAGCCTGTCCAGAGATGCTGGGCAGGCAATTGGACTTGCTGCTGGATTTCTCTGTCAGGCTGGCCTGCTGCCTGGGTCAACAGGTGGGTGGGCTTGATGCCTAGCTCTGTGGGGTTGGACCTGGAGCCTAAATCCACTGGGGCAAACCTGGAACTAGGTCTGCTGGGTGGGGCTGGGTTCTTTTTTTTTTTTTTTTTTTTTCATTTACTTAGGATTTAATGTGCTCTTCTTTTTCTAGTTTCCCAAGATAGAAGCTTAGATTATTGATTTTCTTTTTCGATATTTGCATTCAATGCTATAAATTTCCCTCTAAGCACCACTTTTATTGCATCCAAAAAATTCATGTGTTGTATTTTCGTTTTCATTTACTTCAAAATATTTTTAAGTTTCTCTCAAGATTTCTTCTTTGACCCAAGTGTTATTTAAAAGCTTGCTTTTTAACCAGTCTCCAGGTACTTTTGGGTTTTCCAGTTATCTTCCTGTAATTTATTTCTAGTTTAGTTCCATTGTGGTTTGAGAGTAGACATTATATGATTTCTAGTCTTTTAAATTTATTGAGTGTGTCTTAAGGAGCAGAGTGTGGTCTATCGTGGACAATGACCTGTGAGCTTGAGGAAAATGTATATTGTGCTGTTACTGGATGAAGTCATCTATAAATGTCAATTATATCCAGTTGATATTTGGTGCTGTTTTCAGCTATGCCCTTACTGACTTGCTGCCTGCTGGTTTTGTCCATTTCAGACAGAGGGGTGTTAAGGCCACCAATTATAATAGTGGATTTATCTCCTTTCCATGGAGTTTCCTCAGTTTTTGCTTCATGTGTTTCCTGCTCTGTTGTTAGGTACATGCACATTAAGAATTATTATGTCTTCCTGAAGTATTGACCTGTTTATCATTATGTAGTGCCCCTCTTTATCTGTAATAATTATGCTTGCGGCCGGGCGCGGTGGCTCACGCCTGTAATCCCAGCACTTTGGGAGGCCGAGGCGAGCGGATCACAAGGTCAGGAGATCGAGACCATCCAGGCTAATACGGTGAAACCCCGTCTCTACTAAAAATACAAAAAAAATTAGCCAGGCGTAGTGGCGGGCACCTATAGTCCTAGCTACTCGGGAGGCTGAGGCAGGAGAATGGAGTGAACCCGGGAGGCGGAGCTTGCAGTGAGCCGAGATCGCGCCACTGCACTCCAGCCTGGGCGACAGAGCAAGACTCTGTCTCGAAAAAGATAAATAAATAATTATGCTTGCTCAGAATTCTGCTTTCTGAAAGTATATAGCTACTCCATCTCTTTTTTTGATTAGTGTTAGCATGTATCTTTCTTCATCCCTGTTTATAAATTTTAATTTTAATTTTTTAAAAATAGAGATGAGGACTCTCCGTGTTGCCCAGGTTGGTCTCAAACTCCTGACCTCAAGCAGTCCTCCTGCCTTAGCAACCCAAAGTGCCGTGATTACAGGTATGAGCCATTATGCCTGGCCTCTTCATCTTTTTTCAATTTATGTATGTCTTTATATTTAAAGTGGGTTTCTTGTAGACAACATACAGTTATGTCTTGTGTGATTCACTTTAACCACCTCTGTCTTTTAGTTGGTGTATTTAATCCATTGAAATTTATTGATATAGATAACTATTAGGTTGGTGCAAAGGTGATTGCAGTTTTTGCCATTGAAAGTGATATCTGTCAGATTCATCATTGCTTTCTATTTGTTGTCCTTTTTCTTTGTTTCTGTCTTCCACTCTTTTTCTGCCTTTTGTTGTTTAACTGATCACCTTATATGATTCCATTTCTCCCTTTCCATATCAGTAAGACTTAGCATATCAGTAATACTTCTATTTTTTTAGTAATTGCCCTAGAGTTTGCAAAATACATTTACAACTAGTCCAAGTTCACTTTTAAGTAAAACTATGCCACTTCATGGGTAATGCAAGTATCTTATAATAAAGTATTCTTAATTCCTCCCTCCTATCCCTTGTATTATTGCTGTCATTCTTTCACTTCTACATAAGCTGTAATCACTAAATACATTGTAGCTATTGCTATTATTTTGAATAAACTGTTATCTGTTAGATCAATTAGAAATTAATTTTTAAAGTTCTTATTTTACCTTCACTTAATTATTTCTAATGTTTTTCTTTTCTTTCTGTAATCTGAATTTCTGATTATATCATTTTTCTTCTCTCTGAAGAATTTATATTTATTTATTTATTTTTGAGACAGAATCTTGCTCTGTCACCAGGCTGGAGTGCAGTGGCGTGATCTCGGCTCACTGCAACCTCTGCCTCCTGGGTTCAAGTGATTCTCCCGCCTCAGCCTCCCGAGTAGCTGGGATTACAGGCGTGCGCCACCATGCCCAGCTAATTTTTTGTATTTTAGTAGAGACGGGGTTTCACCATGTTGGCCAGGATGGTCTCGATCTCCTGACCTTGTGATCCACCCGCCTCCGCCTCCCAAAGTGCTGGGATTACAGGCGTGAGCCACCATGCCTGGCCTCTCTCTGAAGAATTTCTTTTAACATTTCTTGCAAGTCAGGCCTACTGGCAAAAAATTCCCTCAATTTTTGTTTGTCTGAGAAAGTTGTTATTTCTCCTTCACTTTTGAAGAATAACCTCAAAAGGTACAGAATTCTGAGTCAATGACTTTTTTCTCTCAACTCTTTAAATATTTCACACCATTCCTTTCTTGCTTGCATGGTTTCTGAGAAGTTAGATGTAATGCTTATCTTTGCTCTTCTATAGGTAAGGTGTTTTTCCCTCTGGCTTTTTTCAAGATTTTCTCCAATTTTCTGTAGTTTCTTTCTTTCTTTCTTTCTTTCTCTTTTTTTTGGCTCGGAGTTTTGCTCTTGTTGCCTAGGCTGAAGTGCAACAGTGCAATCTCTTGGCTCACTGCAACCTCTGCCTCCCAGATTCAAGTGATTCTCCTGCCTCAGCCTCCTGAGTAGCTGGGATTACAGGCGCCCACCACCATGCCCGGCTAATTTTTGTATTTTTAGTAGAGATAGGGCTTCACCATGTTGGCCAGGCTGGTCTCGAACTCCGAACTTCAGGTGATCCACCTGCCTTGGCCTCTCAAAGTGTGGGATTACAGGCATGAGCCATCATGCCAGGCCTGCAGTTTCAATATGATATGCCTAGTTATAGTTTTTGTTTGTTTTGTTTTGTTTGTTTTTGTTTTCTTGGCATTTATCATGCTGGGTGCTCTCTGAGAGTCCTGGATCCATCGTCAGTGTCTGAAACTAAATTGGGAAAATACTCGGTCATTATTGCTTCAAATATTACTTCTGTCTTGTTCTCCTTTTCTTCTCCCTCTGGTATTCCCATTATGTATATGTTTCTTACACTTTTTGTAGTTGTTTTGCAGTTCTTGGATATTCTGTCCCATTTAAAAACCTCATTGCTTTTCATTTTAGAAGTTTCTATTGATATATACTCAGGCTCAGAGATTCTTTCCTCAGCCATGTCCAGGTTACTAATGAGCGCATCAAAGTCACTCTTAATTGTGTTACAGTGTTTTGGGTCTCTAACATTTTCTTTTTATTCTTTTTTAGAATTTTCATCTCTCTGCTTACATTATCCATCTGTTCTTATATGTTATCTACAATTTCTATTAGAGCCCTTAGCATATTAATTACAATATTTTAAATTCCTGGTCTGATAACTTAAATTTTTTTTTAAATTTTATTTTAAGGTCCAGGATACATGTGCAGGAAGTACAGGTTTGTTACATAGGTTTAAACATGTGCCATGGTGGTTTGCTGCAACCTATCAACCCATCACCTAGGTAATTAAGCCCCACATGCATTAGCTATTTTTCCTGATGCTCTGCCTCCCGCTGCGCCCCTCAAGAGGCCCCAGTGTGTGTTGTTTCCCTCCATGTGTCCATGTGTTCTCATTGTTCAGCTCCCACTTATAAGTTAGAACATGTGGTGTTTGGTTTTCTGTTCCTGTGTTAGTTTGCTGAGGATAAAGGCTTCCATCTCTAACCATGTCCCTGCAAAGGACATGATCTCATTCCTTTTGATGGCTGCATAGTATTCCACAGTGTATATGTACCACATCTTCCTTATCCAGACTATCACTGATGGACATTTGGGTTGATTCAATGTCTTTGGTATTGTGAGTAGTGCTGCAGTGAACATACATGTGCATGTATCTTTATAATAGAATGATTTATATGGTCTGATAACCCTTGCAACAAAAAATTACAAGGCATAATAAAAGACAAAATACACAGTTTGAGGAGAATGAACAAGCATCAGAATCAGGGTTAGATATGGCAGGAATGTTACAGAAACTGTGGTATATAGGCCTTTAGTAATGGAGTGGTAATGTGTATGGGGAGGGAAAGCATTCTCTAGTTCTGTGATTAGGTTTCAGTCTTTCAGGGAGCCTGTGCTCCCGGACTGTGAACTTCACCGGTGCTTCTGTTTTCTTCTTCCTTAGGTGGAACAGGATGGGTAGAAGGGTCTAGAGTTAAGTATTTCCCTAGCCCCCAGTTGGTTAGTTT
This sequence comes from Homo sapiens, assembly GCF_000001405.40. NCBI lineage: Eukaryota > Metazoa > Chordata > Mammalia > Primates > Hominidae > Homo > Homo sapiens. The sequence goes on from NC_000003.12 coordinate 51,734,550, forward strand.
CAGATAAAACCTGAATAGGTTAAGCTCTGGTTAAAACAGTTTCCCTTGAGGGAAGGTCTTATGAAGACCACAGTGCCCTGCTGTGTTTCAAAACAGTTGCTCTTCCCCTCCCCCGTCAGAAGCAAAAGGGATTTTTTTTTTCTCTGATCTTTGCTCTGATTCCTGGTAGAGCTACTGGAGGTAAAACCCACAGAGTGTGGGCAATCCTTCACCCAAGACTGGCCCCCTGGAGTTTTAACCTATCGGAAATGTCCATGCAGAGGCTCTAGCATTTTAGGTTTTTCTACCCCCGTTTTGGTTTCTGTGGAGGTTTCCATTCACAGGTTTCTGCCATGGTAAGTTGTAATTTTCTGTATCTGCTTGTCTCTCTTCAGTTTGAGGGGCAGCAGCTTGCCATGTGAGCTCAATTCACTGATGGATCTATAAAGAATTGTGGATTTCCAGTTTGTTCAGCTTCTTACTTTGTTAGGGCAGAGTAATGACTGTCAAGCTCTTTACATGCCTGATTAGAAACTGGAAATCCTTGTCTTTCACGTTCGCCCTCCACTTTTAAAAACTGTGGTAAAATACATGTATCATAAAATTTACCTTCCTAAGCTTTTTAATATGTACAGTTTAGTGGTATTTAGTACTTATATATGGTGCAACAATCACCACCATTCATATTAGAACTCTTCATTGTGCAATACTGAACCTCTGTACCCATTAAATAGTAACTCCTAATTCTCCTTCTTCTCAACCCCTGACAAACACCATTCTACTTACTGTCTCTGAGTAGCTTATATAAATGGAAACATTTGTCTTTTGTAAAGCACTATTTCACGTAGTGTAATGACTACAAAGTTCATCCATGTTGTAGCATGTGTTAGGATTTCCTTCTTTTCTTTTTTTTTTTTTTTTCTTGAGAGAAGTTTCCCTCTTGTTGCCCAGGCTGGAGTGCAACGGCATGATCTCAGCTCACTGCAACCTCCACCTCCCGGGTTCAAGTGATTCTCCTGCCTCAGCCTCCAGAGTAGCTGGGATTACAGGCCCCTGCCACCACGCCTGGCTAATTTTATATTTTTTTGTAGTAGAGATGGGTTTTCTCCATGTTGGTCAGGCTGGTCTCAAACTCCTGACCTCATGTGATCTGCCTGCCTCGGCCTCCCAAAGTGCTGGGATTACAGGCATGAGCCACCGCTCCTGGCCAGAATTTCCTTCTTTTTAAAGGCTGAATAATATTCCTTTGTGTGTATATATATATATATATATATATATATATATATATATATATATATTTATACACCAAATTTTGCTTAAGCATTCATCAGTTGATGGACATGGGTTGCTTCCACCTTTTAGCTATTGTGACTAATAATACTATAAACAAGGGTGTACAAAATCTCCTCAAGATCCTGTATTCAATCCTTTCGGGTATATAGCCAGAAGTAGAGTTTGTGAATCATATGGTAATTCTATTTTTAAGTTTTTGAGGAACTGTCATACTGTTTTCCACAGCAGGTGTGCCATTTTGCACCTGCACCAGAAATGCACAAGTGTTCCAATTTTTTCACATCCTCGCTGACACTTGTTATTTGCAGTAATTTTGATAGTAGTCATTCTAATGGGTGTGAAGTGGTATTTCATTGTGGTTTTGATGTGCATTTCCCTACTGACTAGTGATGTTGAACCTCTTTTCATGTGCTTATCAGCTATTAATATATCTTCTTTGGTGAAATGTTTATTCAAGACTTCACCTATTTTTGAATCAGATTTTGGTTGTTGTGAGTTTTAGGAGTTTCCTATATATCTGGATATTAATCCCTTATGTAATTTGCAAATATTTTTTCCTATTCCATGGATTGTTTTCTCTGTTGATAGTGACGTTTGATGCACAAAAGTTTTTTAATTTTCACGAGGTCCAATTTTTCTGTTTTTCTTTTGTTACCTGTCTTTCATGTGAGATGAAAGAAATCATTGCCAAATCCAGTGTTATGAAGCTTTCCTCTTATGTGTTCTTCTAAGAGTCTTAGAGTTTTGGCACTTACATTTAGATCTTTGACCCATTTTGAGTTAATTTTTGTATGTGGTGTTAAGTAAGGGTCCAGCTTCATTCTTTGGCATGTGGACATACAGTCTTTCCAGCATTATTTGGTGAAAAGATTATTGTTTCCTCATTGAATGGTCTCCACACCCTTGTTGGAAGTTAATTGACTGTAAATGCAAAGGTTTATTTCTGGGCTCTCTATTTTATTCCATTTGTTTGTATGTGTGTCTTATTGCTAGTCCCATGTTTTTTGTTTTGTTTTGTTTTGTTTTGAGACAGGGTCTTACTATGTTGCCCAGGCTGGAATGCAGTGGTACAATCTCAGCTTACTACAACCTCTGCCTTCCGGGTTCAAGTGATTCTTCTGCCTCAGCCTCCCGAGTGCTGGGACTACAGGCATGCACCACCATGCCTGGCTAATTTTTGTATTTTTTGGTAGAGATGGGGTTTCAACCATGTTGGCCAGGCTGGTCTTGAACTCCTCACCTCAAGTGATCCACCAGCGTCAGCCTCCCAAAGTGCTGTGATTACAGCCATGAGCCATCATGTCAGGCCTCCCATGTGTTTTGATTACTGTAGCTTTAGAGTAAGTTTTTTTCTTTAATTCTCTTATTTTACTTTAAGTTCTGGGATACATTTGCAGAACGTGCAGATTTGTTACTTAGGTATACATGTGCCATGGTGGTTTGCTGCACCTATCAACCTGTCATCTAGGTCTTAAGCCCTGCATGCATGAGGTATTTGTCCTAATCCTCTCCCTCCCCTTCCCCCCTGCCCCTGACAGGCCCTGGTGTGTGATGTTCCCCTCCCTGTGTCCGTGTGTTCTCATTGTTCAACTCCCACTTACGAGTGAGAACATGCGGTATTTGGTTTTCTGTTCCTGTGTTAGTTTGCTGAGAATGATGGCTTCCAGCTTCATCCATGTCCCTGCAAAGGACACGAACTCATTCTTTTTTTTGGTTGTATAGTATTCCATGGTGTATATGTGCCACATTTTCTTTATCTAGTCTATCATTGATGGGCATTTGGGTTAGTTCCAAGTCTTTGCTATTGTGAATAGTACTGCAATAAACATACAAGTGCATGTGTCTTTATAGTAGAATGATTTATAATCCTTTGGGTATATACCCAGTAATGGGATTGCTGGGTCAAATGGTATTCCTGGTTCTAGATCCTTGAGGAATCACCACACTGTCTTCCACAATGGTTGAACTAATTTACACTCCCACCAACAGTCTAAAAGTGTTCCTATTTCTCCACATCCCCTCCAGGTACCCCTAACTTTCCTCAAGCAGCCACCCCAGACCCTTCCCCTACTCATGTTGTGTGCCCCCTCCTTATAATCCTGGCTCTTGGGGCCATCCCCAGCCTGAATGCCCTCCCCCAAGAAGGCTTCAACATGAGAGAGAAAAATGTAAAAAGGATATTCAAAATTTCCCTTTCCTCTCCTCCTCAAAAGAGTCTGCCCCAACTCTTTATCCCTTAAGGAAAGTGCCTCTAGGAAGAGGGGGAATTGGCTTTGTAAATGCCCCCTTAACTAGTTCAGAGGTCAGAAACTTAAGGAAAGAACTTAAACCACTATTAGATGATCATTTTTGGGTCACGGATCAAATGGACCAATTTTTAAGACCACAGGTAAACACTTGGAGTGAGCTACTGTCCATCTTAAGTATTCTCTTTTCGGGAGAGGAAAGAACCATAATCCACAGGGCTCCTATGGTAGTCTCGGAGTGCAAACATCCTCTCATTCAAAATATCCCTGCAGCAAAACAAAAATTTCTTGCCCAAGATCCCCAGTGGGATAATAACTATGCAGCCCACCGAGAAAACATGAAAGACCTTAGGGAAATGATAGTTAAAAGGATTTGGGAATCAGTGCCTCAAACCCAAAATACTTCCCAAGCATTTAATATACAGCAGGGAAATGACGAGGGGCCCATGGAGTTTTTAAACAGACTCAAGGAACAGATAAGAAAACATGCAGGATTAAACGTAAAGGATCCCCTTGGGCAGGAGATGTTAAACCTCCATTTTGTTACTAATAGTTGGCCAGATATCACAAAGAAATTACAGAAAATAGAAAACTGAAAAGATTGGCCTATAGAAGAAACAAGAGGGCAGGGAGAGGAGACAGAAAAACTGACAAAGGGAACAAAGGGAGTCAGGGAGAGAGAGAGATGGCGCAGCAGAGAGAGAGAGAGAGGGAGAGACAGAGAGGCAAAGACAGATGGAGAGGCAGAGAAAGAAAGACAGAGAGCCAGAGAGAGAGGGAGAGAAAGACAGAGAGGCAAAGACAGATGGAGAGGCAGAGAAAGAAAGACAGAGAGCCAGAGAGAGAGGGAGAGAAAGACAGAGAGCCAGAGAGAGAGGGAGAGAAAGACAGAGAGCCAGAGAGAGAGGGAGAGAAAGACAGAGAGCCAGAGAGAGAGGGAGAGAAAGACAGAGAGCCAGAGAGAGAGGGAGAGAGAGGCAGAGGGAGAGAAAGAAGACAAAACAAATGTTTCAAATGTGAAAGAATAGGTCACTTCGAAAGAGAATGCCCCAAATGGGAGAAAGAAACAAAAGTCATATATAAAAGCAGATCAGCTAATATTAAATTTGTGTTAATTCCAGAGGCAGGAACAAACCTATTAGGGAGAGATTTAATGCTAAAATTTGGCTTAGGCCTCTATATTAATTAGGGAAAATGTCTCACTTCCCTAAACTTACTCACCACCACAGACGAAGAGTATATTCATCCTGACACATGGTCAAAAGAAGGAAATTGGGGAAAATTACAAGTTCCTCTAATCAAGGTCAAATTAAAAACTCGCAGGGAGGTAGTAAAAAGAAAACAAAATCTCTCTTTTGAAAGCCAAGGAAATAACTTCACAGACCAAATAGCCAAACAAGCCGCCATTTCCTCTGAAACACCCGTTTTTTACCTCACCCTTTGCCTTTCTCCCCCAACCACCATTCCCATCTTCTCCCCTGCTGAAAAGGAAAAGTTAATAAGAATAGGAGCCAAGGAAAACTCAAAAGGGGAAATGAGTGTTGCCAGATCAAAGAGAAATGCTATCCAAACTTCGCATGAGTGAGGTTTTATTTCAGCTGCATCAAGGAACCCATTAGGGACCTCAAGCTATGTGTGATGCAGTTCTTAGAGTCTGTGGTTGTATAGGAATTTATACTCTAGCAAAACAAGTTACAAATAGTTGTTTAATGTGTGAAAAAACTAATAAGCAAACCCTAAGAAAACCACCTCTCAGAGAAAGAAACCCAGGATTAAGGCCATTCCAAATCATCCAAATAAATTACACTGAAATGCCCCCAGTAGGTTGCCTAAAGTATCTACTAGTAATAGTTAATCACCTTCGTCACTGGGTAGAAGCTATTCCCTTTTCAAGTGCAGCTGCCAATAATGTAGTTAAGGCATTAATTGAAAATATACCTAGGTTTGGACCAATGGGAAATATTGACTCAGATAATGGGACCCATTTCACTGCACATGTCATTAAAAAGCTAGCCCAAGTATTAGAAATTAGATGGGAATACCATACCCCCTGGCACCCACCTTCATCAGGAAGAGTAAAAAGAATGAACCAAACCCTAAAAAGCCACCTGTCCAAATTAGTTTTAAAGACTTGTCTACCATGGACCAAATGCCTTCCAGTTGCCTTACTGAGGGTCTAAACAGCCCCTTGGAAAGATATTGGCTTATCTCCTTATGAAATGCTATATGGGTTGCCTATTTACACTCCACTGCTGATACTCCTACATTTGAAACTGAAGATCAATTTCTCAAGAGCTATATACTTGGTCTGTCTTCCACTTTCCCTTCTCTCACAACTAAAGGCCTTTTAGCACAGATGCCATCCTTGGAGTTCCCAGCACATCAGCATCAGCCTGGGAATCAAGTTCTTATCAAAAGCTGGAAAGAAGGAAAACTTGAACCAGCTTGGGAAGGACTCTATCTGGTGCTTCTAACTACAGAAACCACTGTCCGCACAGCCAATAGGGGATGAACACACCACATGCAAGTGAAGGGAGTGACTTCCACAGCCAGAGAAAAATGGGCCATCACCCTAGGGCCCATTCCTACCAAATTAACTCTAAAAGGGCTTAATAATCACTTGTTTATTTTCCCTTTTCTTTCCAAAAGAACGTCATCTCATCATCAATGTGACTCAAACTAATCATCCTTTAACCCTCCAGTTTGATGCTCGTTCAGTCATCCCATGTGAAGACGAACGAGCTCAGAGGCAGCTATCAAATGTAGATAAGTATCTATGTCCATACCGTAGTGGCTCAACCAAGTATAAGTATGGAGTCTTAAAAAGTCCCTGTGGTAACTGGACGGATGTTGGTGGACCACCAAATGTGGAGGGTGGACAGTCAGGCCCCCTTCTTCAAACAAGTTGCAAAAACTGAAACAGGAACTCCAACTTGATTTGTGGTCCCACCCCACCAAATTGTAAGTCATTGCAGTGTAACCCCTTTTTGCTAATTATAGATATTCCCCAAACAACGGCCCAATGGCCAATGACCATATTCGAATGGTATGGGTTTGGAGCAGATGTTACAGAATGGGACCCCATAGGAATCTTCTCTCTGAGGTTGGCTAGACCATCGGCTAAGAACAATAAAAATCCATACCCAGAGTCCGGGAATGTATGGGAACCAACACTCTCTGCAAACATATCAGGCTCAGTGTTCTCCTCCAATCTCCAGAATGACCCAACTAAGGTAACAGTTGTGGAGGTAAAAGATTTAAAGCAAACTATAGCTCTAGAGATGGGGTACAAAAGTGCAAATGCCTGGCTGGAATGGATTAAATATTCCATCTACACTCTAAACAAAAGCGATTGTTACACTTGTGCGCATGGCAGGCCAGAGGCCCAGATTGTCCCCTTTCCACTCGGATGGTTCTCCAGCCAACCAAGCATGAACTGTATGGTAGCTCTCTTCCAACACCCCACAGCCTGGGGTAATGAATTGTGCCAAGCTCTCTCTCTGCTATTCCCCAAAGTCCGGCACTCTGCAGGTCATTCCCCGAGGGCCATCCAGCTTCCATCTCCTGAAGCCAATTTTATCTCATGTCTCTCACAACAAGGGGAAAACTTAGCATTTCTTGGAGACCTAAAGGGATGCAGTGAGCTTAAGCCATTCTGAGAGCTAACCAATCAGTCTGCCCTGACCCATCCCCGAGTGGATGTATGGTGGTATTGTGGCGGACCATTAGTGGACACTCTCCAAGTAACTGGAGAGACACTTGCACTCTAATCCAATTGACCATCCCTTTCACCCTGGCATTCCATCAACCAAAAAGGATAAAGACAAAGCATCGTAAAACAAGAGAGGCCCCTCCTGGGTCTTTTGACCCTCATGTTTATATAGATGCCATTGGAATCCCGAGAGGAGTGCCAGATGAATTTAAGGCCCCAAATCAGATAGTTGAGGGTTTGAGTCTGTACTATTCTGGTGGTTAACTGTAAATAAAAATGTAGATTGGACAAATTGCATCTATTACAAGCAGCAATGATTCATTAACTATACTAGAGATGCTATTAAAGGGATAGCTAAACAATTAGGACCCACCAGCCAAATGACTTAGGAAAATAGAATAGTATTAGACATGATACTAGCAGAGAAAAGTAGAGTCTATCTCAAAATTGGAACTCAATGTTGTACTTTTATACCTAATAATAAGAGGTGAAAACAGCTGGACTTCTGGGTCAAGTGGGGACTTGGAGAACTTTTCTGTCTTACAAGAGGAAATGCACCAATCAGCACTCTGTAGCTAGGATTGTAAAATGCACCAATCAGTGCTCTGTAGCTAGCTAGAGATTTATAAAATGCACCAATCAGTGCTCTGTAAAAACGCACCAGTCAGTGCTCTGTGGCTAGCTAGAGGTTTGTAAAATGCACCAATCGGTGCTCTGTAAAATGGACCAATCAGCACCCTGTAAAATGGACCAATCAGCAGGACATGGGACAAATAAGGGAATAAAAGCTGGCAACCCCAGCCAGCAGCAGCAAACTACTTGGGTCCCCTTTCACACTGTGGAAGCTTTGTTCTTTCACTCTCCACAATAAATCTTGCTGCTGCTCATTCTCTGGGTCCACACCACCTTTAAGAGCCATAACACTCTCTGCAAAGTTCCGCGGCTTGATTCCTGAAGTCGGTGAGACCACAAACCCACCTATAGGAACCAACTCCAGACAAATCTTGGCAACCCGGATGGAACTTTCGCCAAGTGGTGAGTACAACTGGACCCCTTTCACTTGCTATTCTGCCTATTTTTTCTTAGAATTTGGGGGCTAAACAGTGGGCACCTGTCAGCCAGTTAAAAGCGACTAGCGCAGCCACCAGACTAAAGATATGGGTGTCAGGCTTTCTGGGAAAGGGCTCTCTAACAACCCCCAACTCTTTGGAGTTGGGAACGTTGGTTTACCTGGATCCAGCTTCCACTTTTCCTGTACTGGGCTGAGCCAAGGGTGACAGAGAGGAAAGCCATTCAGCTCCAGGGTCCTGATAAAAAGTTGGTTGACCCTGCAGCCATAAGCAGAACTCTCAAAGTTACATCACCCAAGCGAGACTCGCCCATCTATCCTGTCTATCCTGACCCTTGACTCCTGGGTCCTAACGCCTGTCAGATGAACTTCCTCCTGCCTCTCTTCTCCAAAGCTAGTTCTGCTTCTAAAAACCACTCCCTGTCTCTGGTGCTTTTCTAGTTTCTCCTATAAGAATGATTTCTAGTATAAATTTCAGGACTCTGTTCCTTTCTTTAGGCACCCAGCCTCACCAATCAGAAAGACATAATTTTTGCCCAAAGCCCCACCTAGTGGGGGAGACTATCTGCAATTTTAGGATCCCTCCTCAGTCTAGCAGGCCTAACAAAGGCTATTACCAAAGCTAGGATATGGGGAGCCTCATAAATGATATCCTTCCTATTCATATGATGAGAAGTGAGGACAAAATGTATCACTCTTCCAACCCTGGAGATCCCTTCCCTCCCTCAGTGTATGGCCTTCCACTCCATTTTTGGGTCATATCATCTTTACAGGACAGGGATAAGGTCCCAATACTAACAGGAGAAAATGCTTAGGACTCTAACAGGTTTTCAAGAATGTGTCAGTAAGGGCCACTAAATCCAACCTTCCTCGGTCCTCTTTGTGGTCTAAGAGGAAAGGCAAGGGTGCAGGTTTTCAAGAATGTGTCAGTAAGGGCTACTAAATCTGACCTTCCTCGGTCCTCCTTGTGGTCTAGGAGGAAAACTAGTGTTTCTGCTGCTGCTTTGGTGAGCGCAACTATTCCGATCAGCAGGGTCCAGGGACCGTTGCTGGTTCTTGGGCAAGAGGGAGATCTGCTGCTGCGTCAGTGAGCACAACTATTCTGATCAGCAGGGTCCAGGGACTGTTGTGGGTTCTTGGGTGGGGGAGATAAACAAACAAGCCAAAACCGTGGATGGTTTTTTCTTTCAGATGGGAAACACTCAGGCATCAAGAGCCTCGCTCTTGAAATGCATCCTAAGCCATTGGGACCAATTTGACCCACAAATCCTGAAAAAGAAGCAGCTTATTTTTTTCTGCACTATGGCCTGGCCCCAATATTCTCTCTCTGATGGGGAAAAATGGCCACCCAAGGGAAGTATAAATTACAACACTATCCTGCAGCTTGACATTTTCTGTAAGAGGGAAGGCAAATGGAGTGAAATACCTTATGTCCAAGCTTTCTTTTCATTGAAGGAGAATCCACAACTATGCAAAGCTTGCAATTTACATCCCACAAGAGGACCTCTCAGCTTACCCCCATATCCTAGCCTCCCTATAGCTCCCCTTCCTATTAATGATAAGCCTCCTCTAATCTTCCCTACCCAGAAGGAAACAAGCAAAGAAATCTCCAAAGGACCACAAAAACTCCTGGGCTATTGGTTATGTCCCTTTCAAGCCTTTCAAGCTGTAGGGGGAGGGGAATTTGGCCCAACCTGGCTACATTTTCCCTTCTCCCTCTCTGATTTAAAGCAGATCAAGGTAGACCTGGGAAAGTTTTCAGATGATCCCAATAGATACATAGATGTCCTACAGGGTCTAGGGCAAACCTCCAACCTCACTTGCAGAGATGTCATGCTATTGTTAGATCAAACCCTGGCCTTTAATGAAAAGAATGTGGCTTTAGCTGCAGCCCAAGAGTTTGGAGATACATGGTATCTTAGTCAAGTAAATGATAGAATGACAGCCGAAGCAAGAGACAAATTCCTACCAGTCAGCAAGCCATCCCCAGTATGGATCCCCACTGGGACCTCAACTCAGATCATGGGGACTGGAGTCACAAACATTTGTTGACCTTTGTTCTAGAAGGACTAAGGAGAATTAGGAAAAAGCCCATGAATTATTCAATGATGTCTACCATAACTCAGGGAAAGGAAGAAAATCCTTCTGCCTTTCTCGAGCGGCTATGGGAGGCCTTAAGAAAATATACTCCCCTGTCACCTGACTCACTCGAGGGATAGTTGATTCTAAAAGATAAGTTTATTACCCAGTCAGCTGCAGATATCAGGAGAAAGCTCCAAAAGTGAGCCCTGGGCCCTGAACAAAATCTGGAGGCATTATTAAGCCTGGCAACCTTGGTGTTCTATAATAGAGACCAAGAGGAACAGGCCAAAAAGGAAAAACGAGATCAGAGAAAGGTTGCAGCCTTAGTCATGGCCCTCAGACAAACAAACCTTGGTGGTTCAGAGAGGACAGCAAATGGAGCAGGCCAGTCACCCAGTAGGGTTTGTTACCAGTGTGGTTTGCAAGGGCACCTTAAAAAAGATTGTCTGACGAGAAACAAGCTGCCCCATCGTCCGTGTCCACTATGCTGAGGCAGTCACTGGAAGGCACACTGCCCCAGAGGACAAAGGTTCTCTGGGCCGGAAGCCCCCAACCAGATGATCCAACAACAGGACTGAGGGTGCCCAGGGGAAGCACCAGCTCATGTCATCACCCTCACTGAGCCCCAGGTAAGTTTAACCACTGAGGGCCAGGAAATTGACTTCCTCCTGGACAGTGGCATGGCCTTCTCAGTGTCAATCTCCTGCCCCAGAAGGCTGTCCTCAAGGTCCGTTACCATCCGAGGAATCCTGGGACAGCCTGTAACCTGTTACTTCTCCCACCTCCTCAGTTGTAATTGGGAGACTTTGCTCTTTTCACATGCCTTTCTTGTTATGCCCGAAAGTCCCACATCCTTATTAGGGAGGGACATATTAGCCAAAGCTGGAGCTATTATCTATATGAATATGGGGAACAAGTTACCCATTTGTTGTCCCCTACTTGAGGAGGGAATCAACCCTGAAGTCTGGGCATTGGAAGGGCAATTTGGAAAGGCAAAACATGCCTGCCCAGTCCAAATCAGGCTAAAAGACCCCACCACTTTTCCTTATCAAAGGCAATATCCCTTAAGGCCTGAAGCTCATAAAGGATTACAGGATACCGTTAGACATTTAAAAGCTCAAGTCTTAGTAAGAAAATGCAGCAGTCCCTGCAACACCACAATTGTAGGAGTACAAAAACCGAATTGTCAGTGGAGACTAGTGCAAGATCTTAGACTCATCAATGAGGGAGTAATTCCTCTATATCCGGTTGTACCCAATCCCTATACCCTGCTCTCTCAAATACCATGGGAGGCAGAAGGGTTCATGGTTCTGGACCTCAAGGATGCCTCCTTCTGTATTCCTCTGCACTCTGACTCCCAGTTTCTCTTTGCCTTCAAGGATCCCACAGACCACACGTCCCAACTTACATGGATGGTCTTGCCCCAAGGGTTTAGGGATAGCCCTCATCTGTTTGGTCAAACACTGGCCCAAGATCTAGGCCACTTCTCAAGTCCAGGCACTCTGGTCCTTCAGTATATGAATGATTTAATTTTGGCTACAAGTTCAGAAGACTCATGCCAGCAGACTACTCTAGATCTCTTGAACTTTCTAGCTAACCAAGGTTACAAGGCATCTAAATCGAAGGCCCAGCTCTGCCTACAACAAGTTAAATATCTAGGCCTAATCTTAGCCAGAGGAAACAGGGCCCTCAGCAAGGAATGAATACAGCCTATACTGGCTTATCCTCACCCTAAGACATTAAAACAATTGTGGGGGTTCCTTGGAATCACTGGCTTTTTCCAACTATGGATCCCCAGATACAGCAAGATAGCCAGGCCCCTCCATACTCTAATCAAGGAGACCCAGAGGGCAAATACTCATCTAGTAGAATGGGAACTAGAAGCAGAAACAGCCTTCAAAACCTTAAAACAGGCCCTAGTACAAGATTCAGTCTTAAGCCTTCCCACAGGACAAAACTTCTCTTTATACATCACAGAGAGAGCAGGAATAGTTCTTGGGAATACTCAGACTGGTGGGACAACCCCACAACCAGTGGCATACCTAAGTAAGGAAACTGATATAGTAGCAAAAGGCTGGCCTCACTGTTTACATGTAGTTGCGGCGGTGGCCATCTTAGTATCAGAGGAATACAAGGAAAGGGTCTCATTGTCTGGACTACTCATGATGTAAATGGCATACTAGGTGCCAAAGGAAGTTTATGGCTATCAGACAACTGCCTGCTTAGATACCAGGTGCTACTCCTTGAGGGACCGGTGCTTCAAATATGCATATATGTGGCCCTTAACCCTGCCACTGCTCTCTCAGAGGATGGAGAACCAATTGAGCATGACTGCCAACAAATTATAGTCCAGACTTAGACTGCCCAAGAGGATCTCTTGGAAGTCACCTTAGCTAATCCTGACCTTAACCTATATACCAATGGAAGTTCATTTGTGGAGAATGGGATACGAAGGGCAGGTTATGCCATAGTTAGTGATGTAACAGTACTTGAAAGTAAGCCTCTTTCTCCAGGGACCAGCACCCAGTTAGCAGAACTAGTGGCACTTACCCGAGCCTTAGAACTGGGAAAGGGAAAAAGAATAAATGTGTACACAGATAGCAAGTATGCTTATCTAATCCTACATGCCCATGCTGCAAAATGGAAAGAAAGGGAGTTCCTAACCTCTGGGGGAACCCCCATTAAATACCACAAGGAAATAATGGAGTTATTGAATGCAGTGCAAAAACCCAAGGAGGTGGCTGTCTTACACTGCCAAAGCCATCAGAAAGGTGAAGGAGAAAAGGCAGAAGGAAACCGTTGGACAGATGCTGAGGCCAAAATTGCTGCCAGGTGGAACCTCCCATTAGAAATACATACAGAAGGACCCTTGGTATGGAACAACCCTCTCCAAGAGATTAAGCCCCAGTATTCCCTGACTGAAACAGAATGGGGACTTTCACAGGGGCACAGTTTTCTCCCCTGGGTGGTTAATGACAGAAGAGGGAAAGGTACTCATAACCAAAGCCAGCCAGTGGAAAATACTTAAAACCCTCCACCAAAATTTTAATCTTGACCACAAGATACAACTTCCATAAGCCTTTCATAACCTATATTTAGGAGGTGGTTAATGAGTCAAGAAAACCTTGTTAATCTGACATGGGCCCATATGCTTGTGCCTTTGACATTAATGATTAATTTATAGAGAAACAGAACTTATTTTATCTCTCAAAATCAGCCCTTACAATTTCATATGCCCATCTCTTCTGCAATAGTCCCTGGGCCTTGAGGAGCTAAATAGTTTTAATTTCTGGCCCTGTGTTTCAGGAATGCAGTTTATTTTGATTGGCATCTTCTACCAGGCCTGAAGATGGGGATTTAATTGCTGTCAGTGTTTAAAATTTAGCAGGACTTGGTGTCCTTTTTAGACCCAGGAGTCAAAGCCCTATAACTCAATGTCATAAGTCCTTCAAAAACACATACAGAAAGATACATGGAAGTAATAACCTTAATAAAAAAAAATTTTCAATCTTCGTTTTTTTCCTAAGCAAACCAAAACTTTATAACAATGTGACAACTTGATTATATAAAAGTTTTGTTTTTAAAAAAATTTTATTACACAGACCATTCATGACATGCTTGGAGTTTCTGGTTTATCCTGAACATCCCTCCTTCTTAAACAGCCAGTTATTTTAATGTAGGACTGAATTTACCATATGAGATTCTTTCTAAAATGAAATTATTTTTCTTTAAGCTTTCTCATAAAAAAAATCTCTATTTTTATAACTTTCTTTACATCTCTTGTATGTCCTCATTCTTTTTACCTTGTTTTATACATGACCTTTAAATAAGCTTTGAATTAGACAAAAATTGTTCATCTTTTTTTTAAAGGACACACTTTTTTTTAGAAAGAATGTTTTCCTACAAATATATTTTTATTGGAAAATACCCAAATAGTGAAATATCTGTTATTTAATTTAATATAACTTTAGATTCTAAATTATGATGAATTTGTCTACAAGTATTTATCCTATTACATTTACCTAATTATTTTATTTTAATTGTTTACCTAGATTATTTACAAAAGCTGTGATAGTCATCAGTTTTCTGTTTGCTGGGTTTTTTTTTTTTTTTTTTTTTAGACAGAGTTTCACTCTTGTCACCCAGGCTGGAGTGTAATGGGGCAATCTCAGCTCACTGCAACCTCTGCTTCCCAGTTTTAAGTGATTCTCCCACCTCAGCCTCCTGAGTAGCTGGAATTACAGGCATGCACCACCACACCTGGCTAATTTTGTATTTTTAGTAGAGATGGGGTTTCGCTATGTTGGCCAGTCTGGTCTAGAATTCCTGACCTCAGGTGATCTGCCCACCTTGGCCTCCCAAAGTGCTGGGATTACAGGCATGAGCCACCGCACTTGGCTGATAGTCATCACTTAAAGTTATGGAACTGCCATTGCAAAATTATAACTGAGACTGTAAAAAAGATTTGACTCAACTGACTCCATCTTGCTGTTAACCTTTGGGCTGTTCTTGTTCATTCCTGAGTGTAGGCTGAGCTAACTTTGGAAAGAACTTAGTTTATAGTTTATTTTTGAAACAAAGATAATAATAAACCTTACAGACCGTGGACTAGCCCACCTAAAACCACAAGATTAAAAATTATGGTAATCTTACTAAATTCAAGATGTAGCAATTTTTATTAAACCAATATCAATGTCTTATTTATTAAAGATGACACAAGCAAGGATCATTCGGTTTTGGGCTGGGTTTGTAGTTTTACAACCCCTATGCCAAATTTTGACACCTTATAGTATTTGGCAGTGATAAGTATGAAATTGCTTAATAAATGCAAGCAAAAATGTATGCTGGCAAAGTCTTAAGACATTTCTAATATTATTTTGCCAATAATTTAAGAGCCAGCTTATTTACTAAAGATTTTACTTAAGTCATGTGAAACTGAAATAGCATTTGGCTAGTCTTTTTTCTTTAGTATGTGATTTAAGTGCGTTTATTTATTTATTTAGAGAGAGTCTCACTCTGCCGCCCAGGCTGGAGTGCAATGGTGAGATCTCAGCTCACTGCAACTTGTACCTCCTGGGTCCAGGTGATTCTCCTGCCTCAGCCTCCCAAGTAGCTGGGATTACAGGTGTGCACTACCATGCCTGGCTAATTTTTGTATTTTTAGTAGAGATGGGGTTTCACCATGTTGGCCAGGCTAGTCTTGAACTCCTGACCTAAGGTGATCTGCCCACCTCAGCCTCCCAAAGTGATGGGATTACAGGTGTGAGCCACTGCACCCTGCCTTATTTATTTATTTGTAAGCCAATTAATTAGAGCTCTTTTGTATATTTTTAGTAGTGAAATATTGTGTACACAACACATACATATATAGATGTATTAGGCATGTCAATAGAAGTACATCTTATAAATTCATAAAGACCTTCTTTTTTTTCTTTTCTTTAAATCTTACCCTAGGCAGTCATCAGCTAAATAGCCTTAAATGTGCATATTAAAGGAAACAACTCAGGTGAAAATCAGATAACAAAATTTACATCATAAGATATGAAGAAAAAGTCTGGTGAGCTAGAGGGAAATTAAAGTGAATTTAATTGCCAATAGAACATAAAGTTATAGGAGTCTATTATAAAGGCCTTCAAATATATATACACACACTTATACATATACATACACACATACACACACAGAAAGATTCTATAGTTTTTACTTCAGTACTTTAGATACTGATAAATACAAGTTCACCAGCTTGCAAAAACAAACAAACAAACAAACAAACAAACAAACCTGTTAGAGCCAAACAGTGGTTTTTATCTTAGTAGAAAAGTAACAGCAGATTTGCCTGGAAATGATGGCTCATGCCTGTAATCCCAACACTTTGGGGGGCCGAGGCATGTGGATCACGAAGTCAGGAGTTCCAGACCAGCCTGGCCAATATGGTGAAAGCTCATCTCTACTAAAATTACAAAAATTAGCTGGGTGTGGTGGTGTGCAGCTATAGTCTCAGCTAGTTGGGAGGCTGAGGCAGAAAAATTGCTTCAACCCGGGAGGTGGAGGTTGCAGTGAGCCAAGATTGTGATGTGCCCACTGCAATCCAGCCTGGGCAACAGAGTGAGACTCTGTCTCAAAAAATAAATAAATAAATAAATAAATAAATAAATAAATAAATAGAAAAGAAACAGCAAATTTCAAGATGGCAGAAAAGAAAATAGAGAAAAAGAGGACCTAGGAATGCTATAGTTTGCAGGTTGGCCTTAGGGCTCTTTTTCCTTAATGTCAATGTGCACAAAGACCATATTGTCTCCATTTTATTCTGGCAAGTAGAGGTTCCATAAAACCTACAGAGTGCTTGAAAGGGGGTCATTCTCCTTGTTTTCTCCTAATTCTTATATTATTTGTGTCCCACTTTTTTTTTTTATTATTAAAAGGAGGAACTGAGCTGTGGCCTAGGGTTTTTTGTGTGGTGGATCGATGTGTGCTGCTTGTGGGCAAGACTCCACAGTGTGTCACCACTGAGTTGTTTCCACCTTCTTACATGTCTCAGTTTCTCTCTCCAGAGGTCTATGACCTCTGAGAGGGCTGCCAGGTGATCAGTCCTTATATGCATTTTCTGGATAAGCCATTTTTAAAATTAATTTTTGTTGGGGATTTCCCTGCAGGGCCACTGCATGGGGGATCAACTCCCCAGACACTGCCACAAGGCCCCCAGCCATCCAGGAGCACCTTTCGGCTGGGAGGAGCACATCCCCTTTCTCTTTGGATCTGAGAAAAACTCAGTCTCTCATTAACCTATGAAAACACCAGTTCAGTTCCTCACACAAATGTGCACAGAGAAACTGAATTAAGATTAATTTTGGGAGAAAAAGCAATAGAGAAGACCCTGTAGAATGCATCTCTGAACTAGAATTAGGATCCTTAACCAACACCTTCCTAGGAGAGAAAAGAAAAAAAAAAAGAAAAACAGCCAATACTACTTCCTGTAAACTGTGTTCAGCCACCTGTAACTTTGTAGCTCTCACCCAACATTATACATGCTAAGGTCAAATCCTCTCATAGTGCAAATTCATCTCTGGTACCCCCAAAGCCAAAGAGGTCAGGTCATGCAATACAGGAAAACAGAGCTTTAGACCTAAAAGGAATCTACCCATGACTCTTGAAACTCCACAAAGAAAACAAAACACCCCAAAAGGGGGTGAGTAGCACCTTTGTTCTGAATTCTTTAAAGGGGTTCAAGTCATTAGAAGCCTTCTCTAGGTTTTTTGGTACTGCAGATGGCAAAGGGGGAAGAAGGTATAGGGCAGAAGAAAAGTAATCAAAGGAACAATTTTTTTTTAAGACAGGAAGCAAACACAGAAACCAAACACATGTTTTTTTGTTTTCTCTCTTTTTTTTAAATTTTGCAGCTGCAAGGAATTTTAGCCAAATTAGAGAGACCTTGTTACCCATAATTTGGAATTCTCACTCAGATTTGACCAAGGCAGGTAGAGTTGTCAAATCCAATGGGAGAAAGCCTGGAACAAAACAACAATGAAAACCCCCAACAATATGATAATTGAGTGCTCTAATGGTAAGGAGAAATTAAGACCAGGTGGTTGTTAAACTTTAGCCAGGGCAAAACCGCAATTCAGCTTCTTACCTAGGGTTGGGTCTCAGGCTGAAGACTGTTTTCTACCACCCTAGAAGCAGGAAAAACTTGAACTCATCTTCCCCGCTGGGAGCAGGCTCAAACTCTAGCAAAGAGTTACCTGCCTTCCATCATCATGGAAACAAAAAATCTTGCCTTCCTTTTTGAAAGCAAGTAAAACTCAAACAAAACAAAACAAAACAAAACAAAACAAAACAAAAACGGAAATGTACAGCAAAATAAACTTTAGCTCTCCACCAAATTTTGGGTGACCTTCTGGAGGGGTGCTCCCAGACCTCAGCAAATTGTCCTATTGGTTTGAGCTATAAAGTTAGCTCATGTTGGCATCAAGCACCAATAGGAAATTTGTCAAAGGTCAGGGACATCTCCACTCAGAAGCCATCCATGGTTACCAAATGTGAATCCTGAAAATTTGAGACATGTCTCAGTTAATTTAGAAAGTTTATTTTGCTAAGTTTGAGGATGTGCACCCATGACACGGCCTCAGGAGGTCCTGATGACACGTGCCCAAGGTGGTCATAGCACAGCTTGGCATTATACATTTTAGGGAGACATGAGACATCAATCAATGTATGTAAAATAAACATTGATTCAGTTTGAAAAGGAAAGGTGGGACAACTTGAAGTGGGGAGAAGTCTTCCAGGTCACAGGTAGGTGAGAGACAAATGGTTGCATTCTTTTGAGTTTCTGATTAGCCTCTCCAAAGGAGGCAATCAGATATGCATTTATTTCAGTGAGCAGAGAGGTGACTGAACAGAATGGGAGGCAGGTTTGCCCTAAGTAGATCCCAGCTTGACTTTTCCCTTTAGCTTAGTGATTTTGGGGGCCCAAGATATCTTCTTTTCACACTAGGCATATGATGAATAAGGTAGTAACTCTGGAAACTAGATTCTCCCCTTTTCCCAGAGTTTGCTGGGTTTTTTTTCTTTCTTTTTAAAATTTAAGTTGTTGTGGGTTGTCTCTGTGCCAGGATCAGCCTGAAGTGTAAACTTAAGGTCTCTCAGATCTTTTCTAGACCTGTCCTTTTTCCTGGGTATGTGCAGTGGCTTTATAATTTGGTTGCTTGGAATATCCTAGCTTTTAAATCCCTGGCTCCCAAAAGAGGAAAAAGAGAAAAATGAAGTGTGAGGGGAAAAAAAGACATTCTAGTCCTTTAAATCTTTTGGATGTTGCTTCAGCTGGAGGGGGAGGGGCTTGCAACAATGGGGTGAGGGTGTGGCAGGTTGTAACAATGATTGCCCACCTCAGTGTCTGACCTCTGTGATCAGAAGCAGCAATCAGTAATCAGAGCACAAGTTGCCAACATTTGGAGGACAGGATCCTCATTGTCTACCTGAGTTTCTGTGAACTGTGCAAGGTGCTCCTGGAACGTGTGCATGGATGCCTACCACAGTGCTTGGGGGTGGGTAATGGGTAGATACTGCCATGCTGATGTTTGAAATGCTTGTTCCCTGGTGCTGTAAAGAAATAGCACTTGAGGCTAGGCGCAGTGGCTCACGCCTCTAATCCCAGCACTTTGGGAGGCCAGGGCGGGTGGATCATGAATTTCAGGAGATCAAGACCATCCTGGCTAACACAGTGAAACCCCGTCTCTACTAAAAAATACAAAAAAATTAGCCAGGCATGGTGGCGGGCACCTGCAGTCCCAGCTACTCAGAAGGCTGAGGCAGGAGAATGCTGTGAACCTGGGAGGCGGAGCTTGCAGTGAGCTCAGATCGTGCCACTGTACTCCAGCCTGGGTGACAGAGTGAGACTGTCTCAAAAAAAGGAAGGAAGGAAGGAAGGAAGGAAGGAAGGAAAGAAAATAAAATAAAAAAAGAAAATAGCACTTGAACACAAATTTAATTTCCCCAGCAAGGCCATTTTCTTACAAAGGGTACACTCACCAGCAGTTTTGCCATGAGAGTCCACCGAACAAAGGAGACAGGGTCGTTTATAACCTGACACGTCTACCCTACTGCTGTGTCTGGTTTCCATTGGCTGGAACGGGACCTCACACTCTGTATTTGTCCCGATTGGCTAGCAACTTAGAACTTTTTAAAAGAGGCAAAGGCAGAGGAGAAGAAAGGAAAGAGGAAGTAACTTGTGGAATGCTAAGAAAGGTAAAAAACACCTTCAAATAAGGAAGAGGAACAGGCTATGACCTAATGCTTGCTTGGACCAGTATAAGCATGCCAAGGCAAATATTTAGGCTAAATTGTGGGAGCTAAGAATATAAAGTACATTGATTTCTTTATTATGTCTAGCAGATATTTAAGAATGTTAGCACAGGTCTTTGAATAAATTTTGCTTCTAAGAGAAGTTACTATTTATTCCTAATTAGACAGGGAGGAAAGTCTTTGAAGAGGAACCTCTACTTTACTTTTTATGCTAAGAACTGAAATGGATCAAAGTTAATGCCAATTTACAGTCCAAGCCTTACCTTGCAAGTTACAAGCCTTCTTCTAAACTCCAGAGTTCCAAAACAGCTACATCAGGTAGATTCTGCCAGCACAGCAGTTGTCTAGATGGAGAGATTGATCCCTGCCATCTGCCCGGAATCCTCTCTCCTTCACTTTTGAAGGATAATTTTGCTGGATATAGAATTCTAGGCTGGAGTTTAAAATTTTTCAATTCCTTAAGTATTTCACTCCATTCTCTTCTTACTTGCATGATTTCTGAGCAAAGTTCAATGTAATTTTTATCCTTGTCCCTCTATAGGTAATGCATTGTTTTTCCTCTGGCTTCTTTCAGAAGTTTCTATTTTTCTTTGATGTTCTGCAGTTTGACTATGATATGCCTAGGTGTGGATATTTTGATATTTATCCTGCCTGTTGTTCTCTGAATTTCCTGGATCTGCGTTTTGTTGTCTGTCATTAATTCTGGGAAATTCTCAGCCATTATTACTTTAAACATTTCTTCTGTTATTTTCTCTCTCTTTTCTTCTGGTATTCTCATTATGCATATGTTACAGCTTTTGTATTTATCTCATAGTTCTTAGATTTTGTGTTTTATTTTTTCATTCATTTTTCTTTCTGCATTTCAGTTTGGGAAGTTTGTATTGACATGTTCTCAAGGTCACTGATTTTTTTTCCTTGGCCATGTCCAGTCTACCCATAAGCCCATCAAACAAATTCTTCATTTCTGTTGGTGTTGTTTTTTATTTCTAGCATGTTGCTTCATTACTCATCTCTTCTTTCCTATTGTTCCCCTTTCCACTAGATTCCTTAGAATATTAATCATAGTTATATTACATTCTCAGTCTGATAATTCAAAATGTTGCATGCATCCATGTAAAGAGACCACCAAATGGATTTTGTGTGAGCAATAAAGCTTTTTTAATCTCCTGGGTGCAGGCAGACTGAGTCCAAAAAAGGAGTTAGCAAAGGGAATAGGGGTGGGGCAGATTTATAGGATTTGGGTAGGTAGTGGAAAATTACAGTTAAAGGGAGTTGTTCTCTTGCGGGCAGGGGCAGGGTCACAAGGTGCTTGGTGGGGAGTTCCTGAGATTCACTGTCCAGGAGAAGGAATGTTACAAGGTCAACTGATCAGTTAGGGTGGGGCAGGAACAAATCACAATGGTGGAATGTCATCAGTTAAGACAGGAACCGACTATTCTCACTTCTTTTGTGGTTCTTCAGTTGCTTCAGGACAGCTAGATGTATATGTGCAGGTCACAGGGGATCTGATGGCTTAGCTTGGGCTCAGATGCCTGACATTTTTGTCTTCTTATATTAGTAAGAAAAACAAAACAAAATAGTGGTGAAGTGTTGGGGTGGCAAAAATTTTGGGGGGTAATATGGAGAGATAATGGGCAATGTTTCTCAGGGCTGCTTTGAGCAGGATTAGGGGCAGTGTGGGAACCTAGAGCGGGAGAGATTAAACTGAAAAAAGATTTTGGAGTAAGGGGTGATATTGTGGGGTTGTTAGAAGGAGCATTTGTCATATAGAATGATTGGTGATGGCCTGGATGTGGTTTTGTATGAATTGAGAAACTAAACAGAAGACACAAGGTCCAAATAAGAGAAGGACAAAAACAGGTATTAAAGGACTAAGATTTGGGAGGACCCAGGACATCCAATTAGAGAGTGCCCAACAGGGTTCAGTGTAATTATTTGCTTGTGTTGCTGTAAAGGAATACCCAAGGTAATTTACAAAGAGAAGAGATTTATTTGGCTCATGGTTCCATAGGCTATACAAGAAGTGTGGCACCAGCATCTCCTTCTGAGGAACTCAGGAAGCTTCCAATTATGGCAGAAGGTGAGGGGAGAGCATGCACATCACATGGTGAGAGAGGAAGGGAGTGACAGAAGGTTGGTGCCAGACTCTTTTTAACAATCAGATCTTGTGTTAACTAATAGAGTAGAAGTCACCCATTACTACAAGGGCAGCACCACGCTGTTCATGAGGGAATCTGCCCCCATGTCCCAAACACTTCCCACCAGGCACCACCTCTAATATTGTAGATCAACTGTCAACATGATATTTGGAGGGGACAAATATCCAAACTATATCAGAAAGCTTTCAGGTTTTTCCCATTGATTACAATGTTAGTTGTGTGCTTTTCACATATGATCTTTACAGTGTTGGAATGTTTCTTGAATACTTCTTGAGAATTTTTATCATGAATGCATGCTGAATTTTGTCAAAATTTTTTTCTGTATCTATTGAGATAATCATGTGTTTTTAATCTTTCATTTTGTTAATGTGGTGTATCAAGTTTATTGATTTGTGTGTGTTGAACCATCCTTGCATCCAAGGGATAAATCTCACTTGATAATGGTGTATGATTTTCTTAATGTGTTATTTAATTCAGTTTGCTAGTATTTTATTGAGGACTTTTGCATCCATGTTCATCAAGAATGTTGTCCTATAACTTCCTTTTCTTGTGATGTCTTTGTCTAGCTTTGGTATCAGGGTGATGCTAGCCTCATGAAATAAGTTTCTTCCTTTTTTTTTGGAAAAGTTTAAGAAGAATTGATATTAATTATTCTCTGAATGTTTGGTACAATTTACCCATGAGGACTTCTGGTCCTGTGCTTTTCTTTTTTGGGAAGTTTTCGATTACTAGTTCAATCTCCTTATGCATTATTGATCTACTCAGGCTTTCTATTTCTTCTTGATTCAGATTTGATATGTTGTATGTTTTTAAGAATTCATCCATTTCTGATAGGTTATCCAATTTTTTGGAGTATAGTTGTTTATAATAGTCCCTTATGAAACTTATTTCTGAAGCATCCATTGTAGTGTCTCTGCTTTCATGTCCCATTTTATTTACTTGAGTTTTCTTTCCATTTTTCTTAGTCTAGTTAAGTCTTTGTTAATTTTATCTTTTCAAAAAACTAAGTCTTAGTTTTGTTGATTTTTAAATATTTTTCCCATTCTCCATTTGATTTATTTTTGTGCTAATTTTTTTTTATTTCTTTTCTTCTGGTAACTTTGGGCTTAGTTAGTTCTTTTTTTTTAGTTCTTTGAGGTATAAAGTTAGGTTATTTGAGATCTTTCTCCATATTAAGTGAAGGTATATGATACGGTTTTGCTGTGCCCCCACCCAAATCTCATCTTGAATTGTAGCTCCCACAATTCCCATGTGTTGTGGGAGGGACCGGGTGGGAGGTAATTGAATCATGGGGGCGGGTCTTTCCTATGCTATTCTCATGATAGTGAATATATATCACAAGATCTGATGGTTTTATGAAGGGGAGTTTCCCGCACAAGCTTTCTTCCCTTGTCGGCCACCACTTGAGACATGGCTTTCACCTCCTGCGATGATTGTGAGGTCTCCCCAGCCATGTGGAACTGAGTCTATTAAACCTTTCTTCTGTAAATTGTCCAGTCTCAGATAGATCTTTATCAGCAGCGTGAAAACGGACTAATACAGTATATAATACTATAAATTTCTCTCTTAGTATTGCTTTTGCTGAGTCTCATGAATTTTGATAGGTTGTGTTTTTGTTTGTTTGTCTGAAGATATGCTTTTAAAATCCCTTTTGATTTCCTGTTTGACACAATGATTGTTCAAGAGTCTGTTGTTTAGTTTTCATGTATTTGTAAATTTTCCTTTTTTTAACTATTATTGATTTCTAGTTTCATTCTGTTGTGGTCAGAAAAAAATGCATGAAACAATTTTTATCTTAAATTTGTTAAGACTTGTTTTTTGACTTAACATGTGATCTATTCTGAAGGATGTTCTGTGTACACTTGAGAATGAATGTATATTCTTCTGCTGTTGGGTAGAATGTTTTCTATGTTTCTATTAGGTTCATTTGGCCTATATTGTTGTTCAAATCAGCTGTTTCTTTATTGGTTTTTCTGTCTGGATGTTTTATCCATTTATAAAATTAAGGGTATATTCAATATAATCCATAGGCTTTAAAAAATGTGGGGCATAGAAGTCCCCTGATATTACTGTATTGCTATTAATATCTCCCTTTAGATTTGTTGATATTTGCTCTGCATGTTCAGGTATTCTGATATTGAGTGCATCTACATTTAGAATTGTCATATCTTCCTGTTGTGTTGGCCCTTTTATCATTAGATAATGAATTTCTCTGTCTCTTGTGACAGTTTTTTTACTTAGGAGTCTATTTTGTCTAATATTAATATAGCTACCCCTGCTTTTTGTTGGTTACCATTTGCATGAAATATCTTTTTCCATTCCTTCACTTTAAGCCTATCTATGCTCTTAAATCTAGAGTCTTTTGTAGACAGCATATTGCTGGATGTTGCTATTGTTGTTTGATCCATTTGGCTACTCTATGCCTTTTGATTGAAGAGTTAAATCCACTTAAGTTTAAAGTGATTATTGATAGATGAAAACTTACTACAGCCATTTTGTTTTTTGCCTATTTTGCACTTATTGTATTCCTCTTTCTCTCTTCCTGGTTTCCTTTGTTGTTTGATGATTTTCTGTAATGTTTTGTTTAAATTCTTTTTTTTGTTTTTTTTTGAGACAGTCTCACTCTGTCTCCCAGGCTGGAATGCAGTGGCATTATCTAACCTCTGCCTCCCAGGCTCAAGCAATTCTTGTGCCTCAGCCACCTGAGTAGCTGGGATAACAGGCGTACACCACCACACCAAGCTGATTTTTTTTTCTGTATTTTGAGTAGAGATGGGGTTTTGCCATGTTGGCCAGGTTGGTCTTGAACTCCTGACCTCAAGTGATCTGCCTGTCTCAGCCTCCCAAAGTGCTGGGATTACAGGCATGAGCCACTGCACCCAGCCTAAATTCTTTTGTTTAAACTTATATATCTATTAAGAGGTTTTTTTTCTTTGTTGTTATCTCTAGGTTTGCATAAAATATCTTGTAGTTATAACCATTTATTTTAATTTGATAACAAGTTACCTTCAATTCTACATAAAAACTCTACACTTTTACTTCCTGCACCCACTTTATGTTCTTGTAGTCTGATTTTACTTTTTAAAATATTGTGTATATATTAACAAACTTTATTTTGACTTTCATATGACGGTTAAAATAGTTTATCCTCATAATGTTACATTATTTTGTATTTTTCTATGTATTTGCCAGTGAGATTTATGTTCTTATATGCTTTCACATTGCTGTTTAGCATGCTTTTATTTTTTATTTCAATTTGAGGAACTCCCTTAAGCATTTCCTGTAACACAGAGCTGGTGGTGATTAATTCACTCAGTTTTTTTTCTTTTCTGGAAAGAGTTTATCTTTCCTTCATTAAAGAAATTTTTTTTTAATTTTTATTTTCTTTGTTTATATTTTTTGGGGGGAGGGGGTGGAGTCTCACTTTGTTGCCCAGGCTGGTGTGCAGTGGTGTGATCCCAGCTTATTGCAACCTCCACCTCCCAGGTTCAAGTGATTCTTCTGCCTTAGCCTCCCGAGTAGCTTGGCTTACAGGCATTTAGTAGAGATGGGGTTTCACCATGTTGACCATGCTGGTCTCAAACTCCTGACCTCAAGTGATCCACCCGCCTCGGCCTCTCAAAGTGTTGGGACTACAGGCATGAACCACTGCAACTGGCTTTTTTTCTTCTTTTAGAGACAGGGTCCCACTATGTTGTCCAGGCTGGTATTGAATTCCTGGGCTCAAGTGATCTGCCCACCTTGGCCTCCCAAAGGGCTGGGATTATAGGTATGGACCACTGCGCCTGGCCTCTCTTTCACTTTTAAGGATTAATTTTGCTAGGTATAGTATTCTTGGTTGGCAGGTTTTTTTTTTTTCTTTCAGTACTTTGAGTATCTCATTCTACTCTCTTTCTGGGCTTTTAAGTGTTAACATGGTAAACTGAGACTCAACAAAATTTTAGAGTTTATTTGAGCAAACAGTGGTTCATGACTTGGGCATCTTCAAACCAGAAGTGGTTTGGGAGCTTGACTAAGAAAACAAAAGGAGGCCAGGCACAGTGGCTCATGCCTGTAATCCCATCACTTTGGGAGGCCGAGGCGGGTGGGTCACTAGGTCAGGAGATCGAGACCAGCCTGACTAACACAGTGAAACTCCGTCTCTACTAAAAAATACAAAAAATTATCCAGACGTGGTGGTGGGCACC
Source organism: Homo sapiens (assembly GCF_000001405.40). NCBI lineage: Eukaryota > Metazoa > Chordata > Mammalia > Primates > Hominidae > Homo > Homo sapiens. The sequence continues at coordinate 51,761,075 of NC_000003.12, forward strand.
TGTAGTCCCAACTACTCAGGAGGCTGAGGCAGAAGAATGGCGTGAACCTGGGAGGCAGAGCTTGCAGTGAGCTGAGATCATGCCACTCCACTCCAGCCTGGGTGACACAGCGAGACTCCATCAAAAAAAAAAAAAAAGAAAGAAAGAAAACAAAAGGAGGAGGCTTTTACAGGACAAACACAGAAGTAAAGCAAAGAAAATATTTGATTAGTTACAGTTATACAGTTGCCTTATTTGATCTATCCTACTGGAAGTTTCCTAATTATATATTTGTTGGCTGCTTCTGATTGATTGAACTTAAGTTTTTTTTTTCATATAGTCATGTACAAAAAATAGCTCAAGTTAAATTTTGCTTATGTTTGTAAATCAAGCAAAATTAAGGTCACTTATGAGGCCTAATTCACTTTGTTCTGCTCAGGAATTCTTTGGGCCTTGTCTACACATAATTTGCTTTAACACAAGGTCTGCTGAGAAATATACTGATAGTCTTATGGGGGTTTCCTCACATGTGATACGTTGCTTTTCTCTTGTTGAAAAAAATTCTATCTTTTGTTTCTGACTTGTGAAAATGTAATTATAATGTGCTTTGATATAGACCTCTTTATGTTCAACCTATTGAGGTATTTTGGATTTCTCGAATATGAATATCTATTTTCTTCACCAGATTTGGGAAGTTTTCTGTCATTATTTCTTTAGATTATCTTTCTGCTCTTTTCTCATTCCTTTCTCCTTCTGTGACTCTCATAATGTATTTATTGGTTGTCTTGACAGTGTCTCATATATCCTGTAGGCTTTCTCCACTTTTTTTCAGTCTTTTTTCTTTTTGTTTCTCTGACTGGATAATTTCAAGTGACCTGTCTTCTAGTTTGCTGATTTGTGCTTCTGCTTGATATAGTCTGTTGTTGAAGTTCTCTATTGTATTTTACATTTTATTAATCATAATTATTTAGCTCCAGAATTTGTTTGGTTTTTATGATTTTGATCTCTTTCTTGAACTTATTGTTTTGTTCATGCATTGTTTTCTTGATTTTGTTGAGTTACCTGTGTTCTTTTATAGCTTAGTGAGCTTTAAAAAAAAAAAACAAACAGTCATTTGAATTCTTTGTCAGGCAATTAACAGGTCTCTATTTCTTTTGGGTTTGTTACTGAAAATGTACGTGTTTCACTGGTGGTGAAACATTTTTCCTATTTTTTGTGTTTATTGTAGCCTTGCTTTGGTATCGGCACATTTAAAGAAGTGGTTACCTCTTTCAGAATTAATGGATTGGCTTCAGTTGGGAAAGCTGCGCTCACCTGTTGGTGAGCATGAGGACATCAACTGGATGAAGTATATGGCTGAACCAAGTCTGAGGACAGGTGAGGATGCCAATTCTGAGGACATATGGAATATTGTTTTGAGGGCATCTGGGATTGCTCATTCTGGGGGTGTATGATAGCACCAGTTTCAGATTTACATGGTAGTACCAATTTGGGGGAAGGGGCACGGCAGCACGGAGTCCAGGGGACACATCAGCACTGGATTTTGTGGGCATGAAGTAGCACTGGGTCTGGGATGCCCAGGGATGGTGGCACAATGGTTGATAAAGGAAGGAATAAAGTGGCTTCAGTTCCAGGGGGCATAGATTTGTGGGCTCTGCTCAGTACTGGTTACAGTGCATGGATGGGAGTGCTAGGTCCTGAGTGTGAGTGTATGCAAAGTGGCACCAGGTTCAGGACACAGGTGCACTCATGGTGGCATGGCATGGGCTCTGGATGGCTCTGTCAGCTGGAATCCATGTCTGTAAAGACTGGGGATCCTCAACAGTATGGAGTGTCACTGTGGTCTTCAGTGATGAAAGCTGCTGGGGTTTTCCTTCTCTCCTTTTCCTCCACAGGGCAAAATTGTGGCTAAAGAGTTTCCTCTTGGCTCTGAGCTATGCCAGCCTAGAAGATGGGGGATGGGGTGAAGGTAAAATGGTTTTTCACGTTTCCTCTGTTTTTGTGCTCCGCTGGCTTACTGCATTTTCTTAACTATACTCTAGAGCTCTCACAGAGCTATTTTCATCCCTGGATTGCCAAATTATTGTTTTTATGGGTATTATGGGAGTTCCCCCTAGTTAACCATCTTGCTAATTGTTTTATGGGTATTATGGGCGCTCCCCCTAGTTAACCATCTTGCTAATGTCGCTCCCTTACACTGAATTTTTTTAAAAGACAGGGTTGGCTGGGCGCACTGGCTCACGCCTGTAATCCCAGCACTTTGGGAGGCCAAGGCAGGCAGATCACCTGAGGTCAGGAGTTCGAGACCAGCCTGGCCTATATGGTGAAACCCCGTCTCTACTAAAAATACAAACATTAGCCGGGCATGGTGGCATGTGCCTGTATTCCAGCTACTCAGGAGGCTGAGGCAGAAGAATCGCTTGAACCCAGGAGGTGGAGGTTGCAGTGAACTGAGATCACGTCACTGCACTCCAGCCTGAGCGACAGAGCGAGACTCCATCTCAAAACAAAACAAAACAAAACAAAAAAACAAAAAAAACAGGGTCTTGCCCTCTTGCACAGGCTGGTGTTCAGAGGCATGATCATGGTTCACTGTAGCCTTGACCTCTTGGGCTCAAGTGATCAGCCTCCCAAGTAACTAGGACTCCAGGTGTGTGCCACTACATTTGGCTATTAAAAAAAATAGAGATGGGTTCTTGTTATGTTGCCCAAGCTGATCTTGAACTCTTGGCCTCAAGCAATCCTCCCACCTTGGCCTCCCAAAGTTCTAGGATTACAGGCATGAGTCACTGTGCCTGGCCTGAATTGATTTTAAATATTAAATGGAACTGCCATGCTACATCATTTTACCGTCAACTGGGTTTTACAGGGAACCATGTTTCCCAGAATCCTGTTCCATGTATACTTCTGAGTGACAATCAGTCCAAAGTGAAATTGCATAAGATTCAAGAGGTGAAAGTGAAGCAGCACATATTACTCTTTAAAGGCTGACATTGGTTAGCAATTAAGATTTATGCGCAGGCCGGGCATGGTGGCTCACGTCTGTGATCCCAGCACTTTGGGAGGCCGAGGTGGGAGGATAATGAGGTCAGGAGTTTGAGACCAGCCTGACCAACATGGTGAAACCTCATCTCTACTAAAAACACAAAAATTAGCCGGGCCTGGTGGCACGCACCTGTAATCCCAGCTACTCAGGAGGCTGAGGCAGGAGACTAGCTTGAACCTGGGAGGCAGAGTTTGCAGTGAGCTGAGGTCACACCACTGCACTCCAGCCTGGGCGAGAGAGCGAGACTCGTCTCAAAAAAAAAAAAAAAAAAAAATTCAAGTTCAGACCTGTTGAGGGGATTCCAATTTGTCATTTTCCTACTCTGCATCCAGCTCTCCTTCCTGACAGTCAGTCATGCCGACCAACACTGGCCTTAGGCCCAACACCAGATGCTTTGCTGCAAATCACAAAGGTAGAAATCACAAAAATTAGCTACCTTCCATGGAATTCTGTGTTAGTCTCCACTCCCTCCCCATCAGTTCCCATCCAGCAGCTGGACATGCTTACTTTCTAGAGTTTTCTGTAAGCTCTGACTTATTCACTCTTACCAGTACTGATTAGTGACTTTTCTCTGATCTTCAGCTCTATTTTTTAGATTTTTTTACTTCTTCAATTCCTCCCACAATTGTGTAAGATCTATTTCTTGTATTACATTTTAAAATGGAATATTATTAAGAGCAGTCTTAGATTTACAGAAAAACTGTATAGAAAGCACAAGTTGTCATATACCCTCTCTTCTCTTCCCCACTTGCAGTTTCTTCTATTATTAATACCTTGCTTTAGTGTGGTACATTTGTTACAACTGATGAACCAAAAATAATACATCATTATTAATTAAAGTCCATAGTTAACATTTGGTTTCATGTTTTGTTTTGTACAGCTGTATGGTCTTTGACAAATGCATAATGTCATGTATCCACCATGACCTATATAATACATTTTTTATTGCATAGTACTCATGGTGGTTCTTTTATTTCATGCCTTTGGTGTTATATTTAAAAAGTCATCACCATATACAAGGTCATCTGGCTTTCTTCCTATGTTATCTTCTAGGAGTCTTACAGTTCTGCATTTAGATTTTGGTCTATAACCCATTTTGTTTAATTTATTGCCAAGTATTTTATTCTATTCGATATTTTAAAATTTATTTATACAAATGTATGGGGTACAAGTGTAATTTTGTTACACACAAGTCAGAGATTTAGGTTTTCCATCACCCGAATAACATATATTGTACCCATTAGGTAATCTCTCATATTTGATGCTATTTGATGGAATAAATTTTCTTGATTTTATTTTTGGATGTTCATTGCTGATATATGGAAATACAATTAATTGATTTTTGTATATTGATCTTATATATGCAACCCTGATAAACTTGTTTATTACTTCTAATCATGGTTTTTGAAGATTCTTAAGGATTGCTACACTGGCAAACATGTCATCTATGAGTAAAGATAGTTTTATTTCTTACTTTATAATCTGAGTTTGATGCATTTAATCCTTTCTTCCCTCTTTCCACTCTCTTTGTCCTTCCTTCTCTCCATTATTTCCTCTCTTCCTTCTTTTCTTTCCCTGATTGTACTGGCTAGAATATTTATTATATGTTGAATACAAGCAGCAAAAGCAAACATCCTTGCCTTTTTAGTGATTTTAGGGGAAAATCATGCAGTCTTTCATAATTAAGTATGGTGTCAGCTGTACATTTTTCATATCTGCCCTTTATCAAGTTAATATTCTCTTCTATTCTTAGTTTTCTGAGAAATTTATGAATGGGTATTCGATTTTGTCAAGTGCTGTTTCTTGTTTTGTTTTGTTTGTTTGTTTTTTGAGACAGAGTCTTGCTCTGTCATCCATACTGGAGTGCAGTGGCACCATCTTGGTTCACTGCAACCTCTGCCTCCTGGATTCAAGTGATTCTCTTGCATCAGCCTCCCAAGTAGCTGGGAATACAGGTGCATACCACCATGCCTGGCTAATTTTTGTATTTTTAGTAGAGACGGGGTTTCACCATGTTGTCCAGGCTGGTCTTGAACTCCTAACCTCAGGTGATCTGCCCACCTTGGCCTTCCAAAGTGCTGAAAAACAGCAAAGGGCTGCGCCCAGCCCAAATGCTGTTTTTGTGTCTATTGAGATGATCATAGTTTTTAGCCTTTATTCTATTTCATATCATATTGAATTAATTGATATTTGGATGTTAAACCAACTTTGAATTCCTTGGATAAATTCTACTTGGTCATGGTGTAAAATCCTTTTATATATTGCTGAATTTGTTTTGCTAATATTTTTAAGTCTTTTTGTGTATATATCATGAGGCATATTGTTTGTGGTTTTCTTTTACTGTAATATCTTTGTCTAGATTGTGTATTATTTCTTCTTTAAATGTTTTGTAGAATTCACCAGTGAAGCCATCTAAGCATGGACTTTTCTTTATTGGAAAATTTCAAATTAATAATTAAATCTCCTAACCTGGGCAATAGAGTGAGACCGCATCTGTACAAAAAATATTTTTTAAAAAGCTGGGCATGGTGGCACATGCCTGTAGTCCCAGCCACTCAGAGGCTGATGTGGGAGGATCATTTGATAGAGCCACTGTGCTCTGGCTTGGGCAAAAGAGGGAGACCCTGTCTCAAAGAAATTAATAATAATTAAGTGTCTTTACTTGTTATTAATCTTTTCAGATGTTTTGTTTCTTCTTGAGTGAGTTTTGGTAATTTGTGTCTTTCCAGGAATTTGTCTATGTAACATAAAGTGTCCAATTTGTTGATATTGAGTAAGGTCAGTAATGATGACCCATCTTTTATTTCTGATTTTGGTAATTTGTTCTTTTTTTTTTTCTTGGTAACTGTAGCTAAGGATTTGCTAATTTTGTTGATCTTTTCAAAGAACAAACTTTTGGCTCCCTTGTTTTTCTGTATTACTTTCCTGTTTTCTATTTCATTGACTCTTTATGATTTCCTTCTCTCTGCTTGATCTGGGTTTAGTTTAGTATCCTTTTTCTAATTTCTTAAGGTGAAAACTTAGATTATTTATTTGAGACTTTTCTTCTTTTATGAGTGTTTAGCACTCCTCCTAAACACTGCTTTAGCTGCATCCCATAATTTTTCATCAATTTTGTTTATTTTAAATTCAGTTTTAAAAATTTTTTTTGATACAGGGTCTCACTTTGTTGCCCAGGCTGAAGTGCAGTGGCGTGATCATGGCTCACTGTAGTCTCAACCTCCTGTGCTCAAGCAATCCTCAGACCTCAGCCTCTTGAGTAGCCGGGACCACAGGCATGTGCCGCCATGCCCAGCTAATTTTTTGACTTTTTATATAGGAGAGGTATCACTATGTTGCCTAGGCTGTTCTCAAACTCCTGGGCTCAAGCAATTCTTCTGCCTTGGCCTCCCAAAGTTTTGGGATTACAAATGTGAGCCACCATGCCTGACTAGTTCAAAATATTTTAAAACTTACCTTGTAATTTCTTCTTTGAACCATGGGTCATTTGGAAATCTATTCTTTAATTTCCAAATCTTTGTGCTTTTTCAAGGTTTTTTTTGTTGTATATCTTTAGTTTAATATCTTTTCATTTAACTTTAAATTAAATTAATTAAACAAATATCTTTAATTTAATTCTGCTGTGGTCAGAAAACATATCTGTTTTGGTTTCAATCTTTTAAGATTTATTTAGATCAATTTTGTGGCCCAGCATATGGTCTATCCTGAACACTGTTCCATGTGTATTTGAAAAGACTATGTATTCTGCAGTTGTGGGGTGATTTTCTATAAATGTCAATTAGGTTGACTAGTCCATGGAATTGTTTAAATCTTCTACAATCATGATTTTCTGTCTAGTTGTTCTATCAATTATTGAAAGAGGAGTATTAAAACCTTTGTATTAGTTTGTTCTTGCACTGCTATAAGGAAATACCTGAGACTAGGTCATTTATAAAGAAAAGAGGTTTAATTGGCTCACAGTTCTGCAGGCTGTACAGGAAGCATAGCAGCTTCTGCTTCTGGAGAGGCCTCAGGAAGCTTCCAATCATGATGGAAGGCAAAGTGAGAACAAGGCATCTCACAGAGTGGGAGCAAGAATAAGAGAGTGAGCAACATGGGAGGTATTACACACTTTTAAACAACCAGATTTCATGAGAACTCATTACTATCACAAGAACAGCACCAAGGGGATGATGCTAAACCATTCATGAGAAACTCACTCTCATGATCCCACCAGGCCCCACCTCCAACACTGCGGAATACAATTGAACATGAGATTTGGTGAGGACACAGATCCAAACCACAAACCATATCAACCTCCAACTATTATTGTTGCGTTTTCTTTTTCTTCTTTCTTTCCCTTTCTTTTCTTTTCCTTTCCTTTCTTTTTTCTTTCTTTCTTTCTTTCTTTCTTTCTTTCTTTCTTTCTTTCTTTCTTTCTTTCTACTTTCTTTCTTTCTTTCTGAGGCAGGGTCTGGCTCTGTCACTCAGGCAGGAGTGCAGTGGTATGATCTTGGCTCATTGCAACCTCTGCCTCCCAGGCTCAAACCATCTTCTCACCTCAGCCTCCCAAGTAGCTAGGACTACAGGAACATGCCACTATGCCCAGCTAATTTTTATATATTTTGTAAAGATAGGGTTTTGCCATGTTGCCCAGGCTGACCTCAAACTCCTGAGCTCAAGCGATCCTCCTGCCTTGGCCTCCCAGAGTGCTGGGATTCCAGGCATGAGCTACCTTACCTGGCCTGGGGAATTTTAAGGAGTTAGATGTGGGGCTGGAAGGTATGCAAATATATGCAGGGAGAAACTCTAGATGCACCAGCATTCTCAACTGATTTTGTATTTTTTGTAGACTCAGAGTTTCGCCAGGCTGGTCTTGAACTCCTGAGCTCAAGTTATCTGCCTGCCTCGGTCTCCCAAAGTGCTGGAATTACAGGCGTGAGCCACTGCACCTGGCCTACTGTTGCATTTTCTCCCTCTCCTTTCAGTTCTGCCAGTTTTTGCTTCATGTGTTTTGGGGCCCTTTTGTTATATTTATAATTGTTACATCTTCCTGATGCGTTGATCATTTTATCATTATGAAATATCCCTTTTTGTCTCAAGTATTATTTCATCTCTTAAAGTCTATTTTGTCTGATAAGGCCATTCAGCCCTCTTTTCCCATCCTTTTACATCCAACCTATTGTGTGTAAGATGCGTCACTTGTGGGTTTTTTGTTTTGTTTGTTTGTTTAATCCAGTCCAACAACCTGTGTTCTTTGAATGTGATGTTTAGCCTACTTATATTTAATATAATTATTGATATGGCAGGATTTATGTCTGTCATTTTGCTATTTTCTTTCTGTATTTTGTTCTATTTCTATTTTTGTTGTTGTTTGTTCCTCCATTACTGCCTTCTTTTGTGTTAAATATTTTACGTGTATTATGTTAATTTCTCTGTTGATTTTTTACTATATCTTTGAGGTTTTTTTTAGTTGTTGTTCAAGTGCTTACAATGTGTATCTCAACTTCTCACAATACGTATTTGAGTGATGCTAATTTAATTCTGGGAGTCATACAGTACCTGGCATTTTCAGATTGCTTCTTTTACTTAGCAGCATGTTTTCAAGGTTTTTTCCATGTCTTCTTTGGTGGCTTGATATCTCATTTCTTTTTATCACTGAATAGTAAGAACATCTTGGTTGCTTTCCACTTTTGGCAGCTATTAATAAAGCTGTTATAAAAATTTGAGTGCAGATTTTGTGTGGACACAAGTCCAATTCATTTGGGTAAATACCAAGAGGCACAACTGCTGTATCATATGGCAAAACTTTACTTAGTTTTTTGTTGTTGTTGTTTTTCATTTGTTTTTTAAATCAAACTGACAAACTGTCCTCTGGAGGGGCTATACCATTTTGCATTCCCATTAGCAGTGAATGAGAGTTCCTGTTGCACCATATCCTCATCAGCATTTGGTGTTGTCAGTGTTTGGATTTTGGCCGTTTTAGTAGCTATGCAGTGATATCTTATTATTTATAATTTTGACTTACAATTCCCCAATGGCATATCATGTTCAACAAGTTTTATATGTTTACTTGTCATCTGTATGTCTTCTTTAGTGAACTGTTTGTTTAGATTTTTTTTTGTTCATTTTAAAATTGATTGTTTTCTTATTGTTGATTTGTAATAGTTTTTTTTGTATGTTTTGGACAACAGTCTTCTATCAGATATGTCTTTTGTAAATATTTTCTCCCAGTCTGTGGCTTCTTTTTACTCTCTTAACAGTGCCAAGAAGTTTTTAATTCTACTTTATCATTTTTTAAATTTGTTAATTTTTTCCATCATGGATCATGCTTTTGGTGTTGTATCTAAAAAGTCATTGCTGAGAGCAAGGCCACGTAGATTTTTTTCTATGTTATCTTCCAGGAGTTTTACAGTCTTATACTTTACATTTAGGTCAATGATCTCTTTTGAGTTGATTTTTGTGAAAGGTGTAAGGTCTGTGTCTAGATTCATTTTTTTTTGGCATGTGGATCTGCAGTGTTCCAGCACCATTTGTTGAAAAGACTATCATTTCTCCATTGAATAGCATTTGCCCCTTTCTCTATGACCAGTTGACTGTATTTTTGTGTTTTTTATGGGTCTATTTTGGGGCTTTCATTTTTGTTCCATTAATTTATTTGTCTATTCTTTCACCAGGACCACACTGTCTTGATTACTGTAGCTTTATAGTAACTCTTGAGGTTGAGTAGTGTTAGTTCGTTCTTTCTTCTTCATCTTCTCCTTCTTCTTCTCTTCTTCTTCTCCTCCTCCTCCTCCTCCTTCTCCTTATCCTTCTCCTTCTCCTTCCTCTTCTCCTTCTTCTCCTTCCTCTTCTCCTTCTTCTCCTTCTTCCTCTTCTTCTTCTGTATTACGTTGGTTATTCTGGGTCTTTTGCCTTTTCATGTAAACTTTAGAATCAGTTTGTTGCTATCCACAAAATAACATCCGTGATTTTGATCAGGATTGTGGTAAATCTCTAGATTGAATTGGAAATAACTGAAATCTTAACAATATTGAAGTTTCTATCCATGAATATGTAATATCTCTCTACCTAGATATTCTTTGATTTCTTTTACCAGGGTTCTGTAGTGTTCCTCATATAGATCTTGCATATATTTTGCTAGATTCATACCTAAATCTACCTTTCTTTCTCTGTTTTTTGGGAGTTGTCCTCATGTAAATGGTATATGTATTTTTATTTAAAAACTTATCCATCTTGGATAACTGAAACTATATCCATTGAGGGATTGTGTTTTAAATTTCAAATTGCAATTGTTCATTGCTGTATACAGGAAAACAATTTTTGCATGTTAACCTGTATCCTGCAACTTGATGTACCAATTTATTAGTTCTAGAAAAACTTCATTTTTTTATTTTAATTGTCTGTAATTCTACTTCAATTCTATATTCTATCTCTTGGCTAAAATAGTAATCTAATGAATTTCTACAAACTCAATCACTTCTGTTTGTTTCTCAGTCATTTAGGGGCTTCTTGCCCTCCCCTGTTTCTCCCTAGGTTGGCATGCACATATTAGGTGTTAGTGCACTGTTGTGGCAGATCTGTAAGGTGCCTAGTTGGTAGCTCCTTCACTATATTGGCATTGGCTGCTGAGATCTGCACATTCACATGTGTAGCTAAGTCCCAACCTTTGGAGACTGGAGGGGGTGAGTCCTGGGCCCTCTCTGCTGAGGCCACCATGTTGCCAATTCTACACTGTTGCTGCCACCACTTGCTGGCTGAGTTTGGTGGACGGGTACTGTGATCTTGCTTTCTTTTCTGGGCCCCACCCAGGAAAAGAACACTGGTATCCTTGCTCTCAGGTTCTCCAAATTGTATGGAGATTGTTAGCCACCTTCAACGGTTATTGTGGGGGAATGGATCTGGACAAAGGCCACTTTCTCAGGGACACATGGCAAGCTAAGCTCTCTAGTTTCCCGTCCAACTTGCTCTATATTTAGTATTTTTAGTATAAGTTTAGGCCTAGATTCCTTGAAATTTTTGAAACTCTAAATCCTGTTTTTTCCTCAAAAAGCATGGTTCTTGCCAATCAAAAGATTTTTGCCTCTGCCATTAGTTTTAAGAGTCTATTCCAAGATTTTGAGTCTATTTTAGAAAGTCAGAAGCCAGTATTTGATTTTAATTCCTTGGATTGCTAGTATAAAGTTTCTTTTCTTTACATTTTGCTAGTAATTTTTAAAAATGGGAATGAGTGTTTAATTATAATCATGATTTTTCTTCTTTAAAATAGTTACAGTGATGGATTTTTCACTGTTGAGCCATCAGTATTTTCCTGGAGAAACCCCTATATATATAGAAAGAATTTTGATTGCAATTTGCTTATAGTTTATTTAGAGTTTTTACATCTACATTTATTATTAACAGTAGTCTAAATTTTCCTTTCTCATAGTATACTTGTCTGGTTTTGACATCAGTGCTTTGCCAGCATGATAGATAGTTGGGTGGCTTTCTATTCTTTCTATACTCTAGAATAGTTTGGAGTACTTGGAATGATCTGCTGTTTTACATTTTGCAGAACTATTCTTGGTGGCAAAAAGTGCCCATTGCTCACAATACCCATTTTATCCTTTAAATGTATATGTGTGTAGTATTTTAATTAGAGAGACAGAGGGCAAGACAGAGACAGAGAGAGAGAGCAAGAGAGAGAGTATGTGTGTGTGTGTGTGTTCTTTTTCAAAAACTTCATTATATCAGGGCTTTCTTACAGCTGGAGTCACAAGTCCACTTGAAGAGGCAGTTTGTAGAGTGGTTAAGAGCCCAGGTACTGGCATCAGATGCTTGCAGTTGAATCCTAGTAACCTCATCCCTTCGCTCCTCTGAGCATTTTTTTCTTCAGCATCCTCCCTCCTGCTTACCCTTCTCTTCTAGCTTTCTCCTTTCCAGAACTGTGGTCCTCTCTTGTCCACTGAAAGCATTTCTCCCACTCTCTTCATGATGTGAGCTTTCCTGGGTGAAGTTAATTTCTTTATCTTCATTTTACTTGGGCTCAGGAGAGAGGATTAAGTGTGTTTTAAACAGCTAAATTTTCTCTCCTGCTTTACCTTTTCTAATTTTTAGTTTCATCCTCCAGCTTCCTTTCATTTGAGGTATGTCCATGATAAACAACATATGGTTGGGTATTTTTAAAACCCAATGTGAGATTCTGTTAATAGACACATTTTACCCATTTCCGTTTAACACAGACTTATCCATCTTTGAGTTTTCTATCTATCGTGCTTTCTTATTATTTTCTTCCATTTCATGCTGCTGTTGAATTGATTGAGTTTTCCCCTTCATGTTTTTCTTCTGTTTTAGGAGTTGTGGCAGAGGCTGCTGATTGCCTCCCCAAAATCCACGTTCACTTCTACCTTAGAAATGGAACCTAGATGTAGAGGACATTGTTCTGTTCATCAACATTCTTGTTCTCTTTTCCTTTTTGGCAGGTGGGAAGATTGTATTTCCCTTCTCCTTGAGGTTAGACACAGTTACATGGCTAGTTGAGCCAACAGAAGAGGAGCCGAAGTGAAATATGACACTTCCAAGTGAAAGACTATAACTGCTGATGCTTTTCTCTCATCCCTGCCAAGAGCACAATCACAGAGGTTCATATCCATATGAAGGCAGTATCAGAGTGGAGGAGCTTGGAATGCTGAGCAAACACACGGAGGAACGCTGCTGTGGTGCATTACATGGACTCCAGCAGGCTTCGCATGAGTGACAAATACACTTCAGTCAAGCCACTGAGATTAGGCAGTTTGTCCTGCAGCACAGTCTAGCCTATTTGGATGTATCTGAGTTTAGTCATGGTAGCATTATGCATCCTTGTAGCTGGGAGGGTCAAGTAACAGTTCTAGCAAACAAAATATAAATTGAGGTGACTGGGCAAGTGAGCCTTCTAGGAAAAGCCTTTTAAAGAAACAAATTCAGCTGGCATGAGCAGTTTCTATTTTTGTCCTTCATTTTCTTGCCTGGAATGTAGACATGATGGCTGGAACTGTAGGAGTTATCTTGACAGCATGAGGACTAGGGTCCCATCCAATGGTGCAGTGTGGACAGAGGAAAGGAGATGGGACCCTGCTGACATCATGGAGCTGCCATACTTTGGACTTCCCACATCTGGGATTCATTTACGGGAGAGGAAAACAAACTTTTGTGTTGTTTAACCCACTGTTTTTCAAGTTTCTATTCCTAACAGCCCAGTGCAATTTTTAACTGTTATGGAAGGTACAGAAGTAATTTTAATTCTTCCAGTATTTATACTATTAGTTTTTCATATTTTTATTGTGGAAACTTTCAAACATATCCAAAAATACAGACAGTAGTCATCATCCAGCTTCAGCAATGATCAACTCATAGCCAATCATGCTCCACTCACATCCCCCACTTTCTCCTCCTGGGTTGATATCTATATATATATTACATATTTTATATATACATATATGTGTGTGTGTGTGTGTGTGTGTGTGTATATATATATATATATATATATATATATATAGAGAGAGAGAGAGAGAGAGAGAGAGAGAGAGAGAGAGAGAGATACTAGAGACAGGGTCTCACAATGCTGCCCAGGCTGGTCTTGAACCCCTGGCCTCAAGCAATCCTCCCACCTTGGCCTCCCAAAGTCCTGGGATTACAGGCGTGAGCCACTGCTCCCAACCCTGGGTTGATTCTTGCAACCGGTTCTGCTGCTGTTATGGGTGACATGTTGTTTATCCTCAATCCACCTCTGAGAAATGGACCTCTCTGTGCTCCACCCCTTGACCTAAACTCACCTTCTGCAATGCCCATGGTCCCTGCCTTGGCCTCAGGTGGCAAGGTCTTTATAGTCTGTGGCTTCTTGTCTCTATCTCAGGCCTCTTTGGGACCACCAGTCCTCTTGGCACTTCTTGCCTCCCCCATCTGGGGATCCCAGGGATCTTGGCTACTTACGTGCTCCATAGGGAAGTGTACAGGACTCAGTGGGAGCTGTCCCCAGACCCATCACTTAGGCATCTCCCTTGGCTTCTGCTTCCTTTCATCTCTGAGCTATGCAGTCTCCCCAGGTTATATTCTCAGATCTCCCTTTGCCTATTGGGGTGACACAAGGGAAAGAGGTGGAGGGCAGGGGCAGGCAGCAGGCTGCAGCAGTACCTCAGCCTCCTCACACTCTTTCTCAGGGTCATGCATGGGCTTTTCTTTTGTCTCTTCTTGTGTAGCTGGAAATTTCTCTGCCCTCTACCCCAACCCCCACCTCCTGCCACCCTCTGCACACGGAGGCTTACCAATAGGCTGCTAACACCTCCCGGTTTTCCCAGGACAGTCATGGTTTGCACTTGGTATTTCCAATGTATTTATCAAGATTGCACCTTTCACTCTCAAAATCTATGGTCACCTTTTTAAAGGTAAAACTCTATGCAAAGCTATTTGTTGACACTTGATATGAAAGCACAGCTTTGAGAGTGCCCAGGAAACATTTTTTCTTTCAACCCACTGTAGCTCTTCTACATAAGTGCCTGCTTCCACTAACTTGTGGACTTGAGCAAACTCAATTTTTTGAAACAAAGCTGATCGACTTTTTCACACTAAGCATTTCCACCCTGGCAGGGTGGGGATGGAGTAGGGTGGTGCCCTCCTGTAACATGGGTGTATGTGTGGTCAGCGGGATGCTGGTCAGTCCACTCAAACTGCCTGGCATGGCATGGCGGTGGCTGTGGTCATCTCATTTTGGATTTAGCACGTGGGACACAAAGAAGCAAAAGACAAGGCTCTGGAGACCCTGGGGCTGTGTGGTCAGAGCTGAGGTTGGTGATGTATCAGGTGGGAGGCTTGAAAGCATAGGGTGGGCACCCTGGGGACAAAGAGATGAGATGCCATCTGGGAATCCTTTCCCATTGGTGGAAGAGAACTGCAGGGGATGGGCCCTCACTTACTGAGCTACCTTCTTAGGGCCTCAGCAGGCTGGGCCAGTGTGAGGGCCAATGCAATTCTTTATTTATGGGAGGGCTGTGGGCACATATCTCTTGGGGACACCATGTCATCTGAGGGAGGAGCAAGATTGAGGATACTCGGTCCCCCTAGAGTGCTCTGAGATCTACTCCCATCCCAAAGCCACAAGCACAGCCTCCCCTTCTACACTTCAGTGTTTCAGCATATGATACGTGTTCTCAGAAAGAGTTCCTCCTGCAGCTCAATCCTCAGCAATAGTAAGGAGTGACAGGAAGGGCCTCTGAGGTCTGCCTCTGAGAGTCCCACCAGCAGCCTTACCCCTACTGAGGAGGGGAGAGTGGCTCCAGTGATCTAGGCCAACACTGGCCACAGACCTCACTGTTAAAGAGGAGTCTTTCTCCTGACTCCCATCCCATGCCTCACTCACCTCCTCTTCCTTGGGGCTCTCCAATGCCCACTGCCCACAGGTCCCGACCATCCCTAGCTTCTTAAGGCCCCTGACCACCAGCAGGACACCCAAAGTGGAGTGGTGGTGAAGGCTTTGGATGAAGCTTGGCTTTCTTGGGCTAGCCCTTGAGTCTCATTGCTCACAGTTGGGTGGTGCCATCTTCTTGAGATCCTGTCTATCTGGGACAAGAGGTCTCACTCATGTTCCCCTCAAAAGCCCCTCCCATTCAGCCCCCAGCTACCAAGCTGTGTCTTCCTGTTTCCAAAAGTTTTTGACCCAAAGTGGTGCTCCCACTGGATTCCTATTTCACTTGGCATTGTTAGCATATCAGAGAGCAGGAAGCCTTGATGACCTGTCTCCTGTGTTCAGCATGAAATTCTGTAGAGCATCCTCAAGTGGGACTACATGGGCCAGCTGAGAAGGGCTTAACTCAGCAGTTCCCAAACCAAGACTGCACTTTGGAATCCTGATGCCAGGCCTCATACCCGTCCAGTTAAAGCAGAATCCCTGGGTGGATCCAGGTATCATTATTTTTTTTAGTGTCCTAGGGGATTGCAATGTCCTATGTTGAAAATATATAACTCAGAGACTTAAACCATTGCCAATCCAGGTTTTAAACACCTCTCACTCTTGGGGTAGCACCTAAGGGGTTAGTCATGCAGAGTTCCTATTATGCCCAGCTGCAGACCTATCTAGTTTCATACCACTTGCTGCTGTGAGTAGGAGGTGGGCAGAGCTGTATCCAGCACCACTGAATGGGTTCCCTTGGAAGAGCGGGATTCAGTCAGAAAGTCCAGGTACCCAGTTGCTTCACTGCCACCTGCAGCTACTGCAGATGATGGGTGTCAGGCTGAACCCTGAGCCCTCACATCTGCTACAGCTGTTCTGGAGACTCACCCCCAACACACACACACACACACACACACACACACACACACACACGGATTAGGGAAAGTGTCACCCAGCTGCAAGGCATGAAGACCCCTGCACACCTCCCTTCCCACCGCTCCTGCAGGGCCCACCATGGAAAAACCCTGCGGAGGGTTGCAGACCTCAGACTTCTGGGATGGAGGTTCACACAAACATCTGAGGGACACAAGCTGAGAGTGAGGGGCCTTGGGCATGGATGACAAACCAGAGACAGTGAGAGACCACATGAGAGATGGTTGCGCCATAGGTGCCCAGAGACAGAGAGAGACTTAGCAAAGCAGTAGCCCAGCAGCACCCACCCAAGGCAGGCCCAGCAGACGGTGAGGCATCCTGGGGGGAGGCCAGAGAGGGGACATGGGGGTGGAGGAGGAGCACAGCTGCTTCTGAGGACATTATAGGATTTAGAGGCTGTGTGCCCAATGACCTCCAGTGGCAGAGGGACAACCCTTTCCCCTGCCTATCCCTAGTCCTCTGTTTGTTTACCTGCCCCCATGCCACCCCCACAACCATCCCCCCACAGCCCCCAAGTCTCTCTCCCCTCCCTGATCCCATGCCTGGTTCTCCAAGGAAGTGCCCAGCAGAGGGGAGGGAAGCCTTGTTGTTCAGCCCCAGGGTGGGCAGGCGGCAGGCACAGCTGCTGCCCTCAGCTCCTGCTCTGGCTTCCCCAGGGGCTGGCTCTGGCTGGCTGCTCCCTGACTCCCTTCCCCACCATAAGGCACAGCGTCTGTCCTGCTGTTGCCCAGCTGAAGTGCCATGTCCTCCTGGCTCCCTGCCAAGCACTCTGCCGGCCCTGAGGGCCTTGCCAAGCACAGGCCTGTGGAATCCTGGCCTTCCCAGCTGGCCCTGGCTGCAGCCAGATTCTCTGATCTTCTGATCTGAATGGAGATGCCTGGACAGGGGCTGCAGGAAACTAAAGCCCAATGCCTACTCCCACTGTGGAAGGGGCCAAAATCAGGCTGACTGAGGCATCATTGCTTGACCTGGGCCCTGGGGTCTCTCTTGGATGCAAGACTGTCCCGGTATGCTGTTAGGAACAGGGGCCTAGGTTGGTGACCTGAGGACAGGGGCTCTAGACCACACCAGGGAATCTTTCTGGGGGGAAGGCAGAAAACTTAGAGGCTGAACCCTCCTCCATGAGTCTAATCTCCAAAGGGCAAGTGTATGGTCAGTAAGGGTCTTTATTGGAAGAGAGATCCAGCCTCCTTGGCTCTGTCAGCGCCCTAGGTCATGAGGATTTCGATGTCAAGCTCCAGCCGGCTGGCTCTGACCTCATAGTGGCCCCGGATCAGGCCTCGGGTTTGGCTGGCATGCCAGCGCCAGTGAGACTGGATGATGCAGGCCGCTTGGCGTGCCTGGAGGAACCGCCTGCGGGCCTGCCACATTCGAACCTGTGCCTGCACCTTCACCACCGCCCACTCCTGGCAGGTATAGAGTCTTAGTGCCAGGCGCCGTCTTTGCTCCAACATCTTGGCCTGCATTGACCTCCACCAGCACTGGATGACCCAGGCTCTGAGTGCTGCCTGCAGTAACGTCCGGCGCACCATGTTTCCACGCCACCATGACTGAATCTTTATGGCTGTCTTCTCTAACTGATTGGGGGAAAGGAAAAACAGGGAGATGCTCAATGGGGGACCCTCCCCTCCTGTTCCTATCCCCATCTCTGATCTTGGGAGGAAAGAAGGCCTGGCCCAGGTGCCCCTGACTTCTTGTTTCTAGGGCCCATCCATCTTGTTTCCAATCCCCCACTCACATTTAGACACGGTTCATTACCTGTCAGGTAAGTCCCTACTGCAAGGGCCTTACTCACATTTTGCGTGTCCATGGCCTTGATCCTTAGGGTCCACTTATCTGTCACTTAGGCCACCCTTGTCTTTAGCCCCACCCTCAACTGTTAGTCACACCTCCATCATTGGACTCCGCCCACTTGCACACAAGACTCTACCTCATCAGGTCCCGTCTGCACGCATTTTAACCACATTTCTCTCTCCTCTTCTCTTGCTTTCATCTCTTTTGCTTTATTGATTCCCACCACTTTGGGAGCCTACCATTATCTCTTGCCTTCAGTTTATTTCTCAGCCCCAGTGGCATTCCTGATCCTCCTGATGGCAGTGAAGAGAGAGTCATGCAGCTTACCTACAAGGAAGGAGTTTTACTTTAAGCCTCTACTCATAGCCAATTTGGATTTCCTGAAGCTTAAGTGTCAGGGCGCCTGTCAGGGCCCGAGGAACGTGTTTACAGAGCTGTATATTTTTGGGTAAAATTTGTGAAAGCAAGATATTTCAGCTGCAATTGGAGAGGACCTCTGTCTCTCTTCCCTCTTACTCCCTCTGTCACTCACCTCCTGTTGAGTGGGGTGGAATGGCAACCTCTTTTGCCACGAGACTAAGGGAAGGCTGAGTTGGGATAGACTCAGTTTTTTTTTTTCTTTTTTTTTTTGAGACAGAGTCTCGCTCTGTCGCCCAGGCTGGAGTGTAGTGGCACAATCTCGGCTCACTGCAAGCTCCGCCTCCCAGGTTCAGGCCATTCTCCTGCCTCAGCCTCCTGAGTAGCTGGGACTACAGGTGCCCGCCACCACGCCCGGCTAATTTTTTGTCTTTTTAGTAGAGACGGGGTTTCACTGTGTTAGCCAGGATGGTCTCGATCTCCTGACCTCGTGATCCGCCCTCCTCTGCCTCCCAAAGTGCTGGGATTACAGGCGTGAGCCACCGCGCCCGGCCTAGACTCAGTTTAACAGCATAGATTTGTGTGGTTCACAGTCACCCTTGGGAACACATAAATCCTTGCTAGCCATTCTGCTGTTGCTGTGTTCATTCACCTTGCTCATGGCGTGAAGATGCAGGAACAGAAGGGCTGCTATCCAATAAGAACGTGTCTTCCAGTGCTGGCACCAAAAGTATTTGGGCAGGGGAGGAAAAGTAAATGTGAAAAGTATGGAACCAGAAGCCAGTCTGTAGAAAATTCTTCCTGTTATTAGATGTGTAAAACTATAAGTGGAAGATTCAAGTCTCATTGATGCCTGATTAAAATTGAAGCTCTCTCTTTTCAGGAATATACTTGACAATGCAATGATACAATTTTAAACATTTCCATACTTTTTTCTTTTCTTGGTGGGAATTTTGTGAAATAGAATTTATCTGAATTCCTGTGATTGTAGGGCACAACCAGCAGAGCTACTGTAAACAACGTGGAAGTCAGTGTGAAAAATCACATGCTTTATGCATACCAAATGTCAATCATAAGAATATTTCTGTAGACAATGCAGTTGTAAAATCATCCTATGAAGAAACATTAAAAGGTTATGCAGCTGAAATGTAGGAAAATATAGAGGTGGGTCAGTTAATTCATATAAATATTATGTTTGATGTATTTATCAACTTAAAAAATGTATAACTGTTGTAATTTCTTTTCTCATCTTTAATAAATACTCACTAATTTGACATCTCTAATTTTGTGTGCTTTTCTTAAAGTAGGCTTTCTAAATGATATGTTTTAGGTCCCACAAAACCTGGCTCTGTCCTGCCTCACTGTAAGAATGCAGTTGTGCAAGCAGATCTCCTGGGAGCTCACAAAAAGCTGTGCTTCTAGGATTCAGAATTAGCACAGGCCATTTTGGCTCTGGCTTTAGCACACATTTCATTATCCATTTTTCTGCAGGAAGGTTTGCTGGGTGCCCACGGCTTGTAGGGCCACACACTGTCCATGGCTTCTGTTTATATGTTTTTGAGGATCCTGCTGCCTCATATCATTGCTATGGCACTGCTCATCTGGGCATCTTACAGGTTCTGGCCCCACTGTCAAACAAGCAACCTTGGTAAACCAAGCATGTTTAAAGTCCTCAAAATAGTGGATCCTATTACTTCCCTTAATGACTGCCAATCTGGGTGAGCAAATGCTGGAACCAGCCATCTCAAGGGCCTTCACTTAGTCCCGGTGTCAGGCATCCACCCCTACAGGAGGGATCACTTAGTGGCCAGTGTTCTGGGAGCTCAGCCCTTCCAGGCCAGGTTGCCATGGTCAAGATGACACACTCCACCATTTCTCCCCCATTTTGGCCTGGTTGGGAGTTGCCATAATACCGTAACTTTGCTATCTTCTTGGCTGTCCCTGGAAAATCCTGCCAGAGTTCACAGTTTTGCAGTTGAAAGTGGCAGCAGATGGGGGTGGGGGTTAGACAAACTCCCTGAGTCTTACTAAGTTTTCACAGAGCATGGTCCTCGGTCTCTATTTCCTCACTACTTCTTCTCCAGCTTCCTGTTCTTTTCTTCTTGCTTGATATATATTTTTTTCTGATTATAAATATAGTACATGTCTGTTGCCAAAATTTCAATATGCAGACACATATAAGGCGGAAAGGGAATTTCCCATGAATTTTTTCCCCAGAGCTATTCTTTCAGATCTTATACCATGTATAACTGATGTAAATTTTCTAATAAAATAACTTACTTTTAATTAAACATGTAAAATATATTCTTGTAAAAATTTATGCATTTCAAAATTTACCTTGGCGATCAATATTTCCTCCTCTGCATTATTACTGGTTCCAGCTTGGAGGGTATCCTGGACAACTAGCTATGCATTTATCTATCTTGTTTTTAACTGTGCATTTATAAACACACTACATCCATGTACCTAAAAAATACATAATACTGTTTTTAGTGTGTTTCTGTGTATCTTTTTTAATTAATTGAAGTAATCATGTAACTTAAAATTGATTGTTTTAACCACTTTAAAATTCTAGCTTCTAATTTTATCTAATTTCGAAAAGAAACCCTGTACCCATTAAGTAATCATTCCCCATTACTTTTTCCCACCCTAGCCCCTGACAGTCACTAATCTGCTATTAGCCTCCATGGATTTGCCTATAAAAGACATTTCATATAAATGGAATCATACAATATGGGCCTTTTGTGTCTGGCTTCTTTCACTAGGCATAACGTTTTCAAGGATCTTCCATGTTGTAGCACGTATCAGTACTTCATTCCTTTTTATGGCTGAATAATATTCTACTGTATAGATGTACTACATTTTGTTTATATATTCATCAGTTGATGGGCATTTGAGGTGTTTCTAGTGTTTGGTGATTGTGAACAGTGTTGCTATGAACATTCTTGTATAAGTATTTGTTTGAACACCTGTTTTCAATTCTTTTGGGTATATACTTAGGAGTGAAATTGCTTGGTTGTGTGGTAATTGTGTGTTTAACTTTCTGAGGAAGCACAAAACTGTTTTTCATGCAGCTGAAACATTTTTCATTCTCACCAATCTCTGCATCCTCACCAACACTTATTACTTTCCTTTGAAAAATTATAGCCATCTTGAGTGTGAAGTAGTATCTCATTGTGATTACAATTTTCATTTCCCTAAGACCAATGACATTGAGTATCTTTTCATGCACGTGTTGGCCATTTGTGTACCTTCTTTGGAGAAATGTCTGTTAAAGTCCTTTGCCTGCTTTAATTGGCTTATTTGTCTTTTTGTGGTTGAGTTGTGGGAATTCTTTATATATGATGGGAAGGAGACCCTTATCAGATATATGATTTGAAAATATTTTCTCCATTCTGTAGGTTGTCTTTTCATTTTTTTCATAATGTTCTTTGTTTTAATTTTGTTGAGTCCAATTTATCTATTTTTTTCTTCGTTACTTGTGCTTTGGCATCCTAGCTAATAACTCATTGCCAAATCCAAGATCATGAGAATTTACCTGTGTGTTTTATTGTAAGGGTTTTGTAGTTTTATTGGTTCCATTTAGATATTAGATCAATATTGAATTCACGTTTGCATATGTTGAGGAAAGAATCCAACTTCATTCTTTGCATGGGGTTATCCAGTTGTCCTAGCACCTGTGTTGGAGACTATTCTTTCCCCTGGGTCTTGGCACCCTTGTTGAAAATCAATTGAACATAGGTGTACAATTGATTTTTATTTCTGGTCTCTCAATTCTAGTCTGTCAATCTATATATCTATCCTAATGCCAGGATAGATATCACACTGTCTTGATTATGGTAGTTTTGTAGTAAGTTTTGAAATGGAAAGTGTCAGTCCTCCAACTTTGTTTTTCGTTTTCAAGATCATTTTGTCTATTCTTAGACCCTTGCAATTCCATATGAACTTTAAGATTAGCTAGTCCATTTCTGCAAAGAAAGACAGTGGGAATTTTGACAGGGATTACAGTAAATCTGTAGATTAATTTGGGGAGTAGTCTTCCAACACACGAAGACGGAGTATCTTTCCATTCCATTTACATCTTTAATTTCTTTCTATGGTGTTTTGTAGTTTTCATTGTATATGTCTTTCACCTGCTTTGGTTAAATTTATTCCTAAGTATTTTATTCTTTTTGATGCTATTACAAATGGAATTGTTTTCTTAATTTCATTTTTGAATTGTTCACTCCTAGTGTGTAGAAATACACATGATTTTTGTATGTTGATCTTATATCCTGCAACTTTGAAGAATTAGTTTTTTAGCCCTAATAGATTTTGTTGTGGATTCTTTAGGATTTTCTTTATGTTTTTATGTATGTAAGGTCATGTTATCTGCAAACAGATAGTTTTCTTTTCTTTCTTTTTTTTTTTTTTTTGTTTTTGAGACAGAGTCTCACTGTGTTGCCCAGGCTGGAGTGCAGTTGTGCAATCTCAGCTCACTGTACCCTCCGCCTCCTGGAAGCAATCCTCCCACCTCAGCCTCCTGAGTAGTTGGGACGTGCCACTATGCTTGGCTAATTTTTTATGATTTTTGTAGAGATGAGGTCTCATTATATTGCCCAGACTGGTCTCAAACTCCGGGACTCAGGTGATCCTCCTGCCTCAGCCTCCCAAAGTGCTGATATTACAGGTGTGAGCCACTGTGCCCGGCTAGTTTTACATCTTCCTTTCCAATTTGTGGGCATTTTAGTTTTCTTTCTTGCTTAATTTCCCTGGCTAGAACTTCCAGTACAATGTTGAATAACAGTGATGAAAACAGACATCCTTATCTTGCTCCTGATCTGAGAGAAAAATCTTTCAATCTTTCACCATTAATTATGATGCTCATTGTGGATTTTTCATAGATGATCTTTAGCAGGTTGGAAAAGTTCCCTTCTATTCCTAGTTTATTTAGTGTTTTTATCATGAGAGAGTGTTGGATTTTGTCAAATTCCTTTTTTGCATCAATTGAGGTAACTGTGTGTTTTCCCCCCTTTAGTCTGTTAATATGATGTATGACATTGATTTTTGTATGTTGAACCTTCTTTGCATTGCTGGGATAAATCCCAGTAGGTCATAGTGTATAATCCTTTTAATATGCTATTAGATTTGAGTTGCTACTATTTTCTGAGGATTTTTGAGTCTATATTCATAAGGGATATCACTCTTTAGTTTCTTATAGTGTCTTTGTCTGGCTTTGGTAACAGGGTAATGCTGGCCTCAAGGAATTAGTTAAGAAGTGCCCCTATTCCTCTATTTTTTGGAAGAATTTTAGAAGAATTGGTGTTGGTTTCTCTTTAATGTCTGATAAAATCCACCAGTGAAGACAATCGGTCCTGGATTTTTCTTTATTGGAAATGATTTGATTACTGATTCAATCTCTTTACTTGATATAGAGCTATTCAGATTTTCTAATACTTCTTCAGTTGGTTTTGGTAGTTTGTGTGTTTCTAGGAATTTGCCCATTTCATAGGTTATCTAATTTGTTTATATACAATTGTTCATAGTATTATTTTATAATCTTTTTTATTTCTATAAAGTTGGTAGTAGTGTTCCCACTTTCATTTCTGATGTTAGTACTTTAAGTCTTATGTCTCTTTGCTTGTTTAGTGTAGCTAAAGGTTTGCCAATTTTTGTTGATATTTTTAAAGAATCAACTTTTGGTTTTGCTGATCTATAGTTTTTCTTAATTTTCTATTTAGTTTATCTCTGCTATAATCTTACTATTTCTCTCCTGTTGGCTTTGTGTTTAGTTTGCTCTTCTTCTAGTTTCTCAAGGTAGAATGCTATACTTTTTCTAGTTTCTTTAGGTAGAAGGCTATGTTATTGAGATCTTTCTTTTTTTTTAATGAATGTAGCCATTTGCAGCTATAAATTTCCTTCTGAGCACTGCTTTTGATGCATTCCACAGGTTTTTGCACATTGTGCTTTTATTTTCATTCATATCAAAGTAAATTCTATTTTTTTGTGATTTATTCTTTGACCCATCAGTTGTTTAGAAGTGTGTTGCTGATTTCCTCAAATTGGTGAATTTTCCATATTTCCTTTGATTGTTGATTTCTATGATCATTCCACTGTGATCAGAGAAGATATTTTTATGATTTCAATCATTTTCAATTTATTGAGACTTGTTTTGTGGCTTAACATATGGTCTATCCTGGAGAATGTTTTGTGTGTACTTAAAAAGAATGGGTATTCTGCTGTTGGATGAGTACTCTATATAGGTTCGATAAGTCTAGTTGCTGTGTAGTGATGTACAAATATTCTATTTCCTTGTTTATCGTTTGTCTAGGTGATCATCTATTCATTATTGAAAGTGGGATGTTGAAGTCTCCAACCATTGTTGTTGAACTGTTTATTTCCCCCTTTATCTGGGTCAGTTTTTGCTTCTTATACTTTGGGGCTCTTATTAGGTACATATATGCTTATAATTATTATGTATTAATGGATTGACTCATCATTATACAATGCTTTTGTCTATTGGAAGAATTTTTTGTCTTACATTCTATTTTGTCTAATATTAGTTATTCTCTAGTGTCCTTTCATTTCCACCAGAGGGACTTCCTTTACCCATTCTTAAAGGGCAGGTTGTGTAAGATCAAGCCAAGTGAACGGGTCAAACATTTTACCCAGAGCCAGAGAGGAAATGTTATAAAACTGGGTAAGCTCACAAAATACCTGTACTTGTTGGGCCATGGCCTTTAGATTGGTTTATACGTGGTCAGAGTTATTTATATACATGCAATAGGTTGCTCCTTAGATGGCGCAGACTCCCTCCCCTCTGCTCTGACCAGGAACTAATCTAGGGTGAGGTGATTATCTAATACCACCTGGGCTAGAGAGTCATGTGATTGTTGCACCAGGGTGAGACTGTGCTATATCAGATTTATGTGTTGGGACAGCATAGCTGACAAGTTTGTATTGACCTAAATGATTTGTTGCTGTGTTACAGTGGCAGTACTCATTACAGTTCCTGCTAGTGAATAAGCCTGCTCCTAAGAGTATGGAAATAAAAATAGCTCACATTTGTCAGAATGAATATGGTCTGGCTGGGAACCAAGGGGTCTTGGCTACTTGAATATAAGGGAGGGCCCAAAGACATTAGGTAGTGATATGGTTTGGCTATGTCTTCACCCAAATGTCAATTTGAATTGTATCTCCCAGAATTCCCACATGTTGTGGGAGGGACCCAGGGGGAGGTAATTGAATCATGGGGGCCAATCATTCCTGTGCTATTCTCATGATAGTGAATAAGTCTCAAGAGATCTGATGGGTTTATCAGGGGATAGTGAATAAGTCTCAAGAGATCTGGTGGGTTTCTGTTTTTGCTTCTCTCTCATTTTTCTCTTGCTGCCACCATGTAAGAAGTGCCTTTCATCTCCTGCTGTGATTGTGAGGCCTCCCCAGCCATGTGGAACTGTAAGTCCAATTAAATCTCTTTTTCTTCCCAGTTTCAGGTATGTCTTTATCAGCAGCATGAAAATGAACTAATATAGTAAATTGGTACCAGTAGAGTGGGGTGTTACTGAAAAGATACCTGAAAATGTGGAAGTGACTTTGGAACTGGGTAACAGGCAGAGATTGGAACAATTTGGAGGACTCAGAAGAAGACAGTAAAATGTGGGAAAGTTTGGGACCTCCTAGAGGCTTGTTGAATGTCTTTGACAAAAATGCTGATAGTGATATGAACAATAAGGTCCAGACTGAAGTGGTCTCAGATGGAGATGAGGAACTTGTTGGGAACTGGAGCAAAAGTGACTTTTGCTATGTTTTGGTGAGACTGGCAGCATTTTGCCCCTGCCCTAGAGATTTGTGGAACTTTGAACTTGAGAGAGATGATTTAGGGTACCTGGTGGAGGAGATTTCTAAGCAGCAAAGCATTCGAAAGGTGATTTGGGTGCTGTTAAAAGCATTCCATTTTAAAAGGAAAACAGATCATAAAAGTTCAGAAAATTTGCAGCCTGATGATGCAGTGGAAAAAAAAAACATTTATGGAGAAGAAATTCAAGCTGGCCACAGAAATTTGCATAAGTAGCAAGGAGCCTAATGTTAACCCCCAAGACTATGGGGAAAATGTCTCCAGGCCATGACAGAGAACTTCATGACAGCCCCTTCCATCACAGGCCTGGAGGCCCAGGGGGAAAAAGTGGTTTTGTGGGCTGGGTCCAGGGTCCCCATGCTGTGTGCACCCTAGGGACTTGGTGCCCTGTGTCCCAGGTGCTCCAGCCATGGCTGAAAGGGGACAATGTACAGCTCAGGCTGTGGCTTCAGAGGGTGGAAGCCCCAAACCTTGGCAGCTTCCACCCTCTGAAGCTGTTGAGACTGTGGGTGCACAGAAGTCAAGAATTGAGGTTTGGGAGCCTCTGCCTAGATTTCAGAAGATGTATGGAAATGCCTGGAGGCCAAGGCAAAAGTTTGCTGCAGGGCTGGGTCCCTCATGGAGAACCTCTGCTAAGGCAGTGCAGAAGGGAAATGTGGGGTTGGACCCCCCACACAGAGCCCCTACTGGGGCACTGCCTGGTGGAGCTGTGAAAAGAGGGACACTATCCTCTAGATCCCAGAAAGTTAGATCCTCTGGCAACTTGCACTGTTTGCTTGGAAAAGCCGCAGACACGCAACACCAGCCTGTGAAAACAGCCAGGAGGGAGGCTGTACTCTGCAAAGCCACAGGGGCGGAGCTGCCCAAGACCATGGGACCCCACCTCTTGCATCAGTGTGATCTGGATGTGCGATCTGGACTCAAAGGAGATCATTTTGGAGCTTTAAAGTTTGACTGCCCTGCTGGATTTTGGACTTGCATGTGCCCTATAACCCCTTTGTTTTGGCCAATTTCTCCCATCTGGAACAGCTGTATTTACCGAATACCTGTATCCTCATTATATCTAGGAAGTAACTAGCTTGCTTTTGATTTTACAGGCTCATAGGTGGAAGGGACTTGCCTTGTCTCAGATGAGACTTTGGACTGTGGACTTTTGGGTTGATGCTGAAATGAGTTAAGACTTTCAGGGACTGTTGGGAAGGCATAATTGGTTTTGAAATGTGAAGACATGAGATCTGGAGGGTCCAGGGGTGGGACAATATGGTTTGGCTGTGTTCCCACCCAAATTTCAACTTGAATTGTATCTCCCAGAATTCCCACATGTTGTGGGAGGAACCCAGGGGGAGGTTATTGAATCATGGGGGCTGGTCTTTCTTGTGTTATTCTTGTGATAGTGAATACGTTTCACAAGATCTGATGGGTTCATCAGGGGTTTCTGTTTTTCCTTCTCTCTCATTTTTCTCTTGCCACTGCCATGTAAAAAGTGACTTTCACCCTCTGCCAGGATTGTGAGGCCTCCCCAGCCATGTGGAACTGTAAGTCCAATTAAACCTCTTTTTGTTCCTAGTTTCGGGTATGTCTTTATCAGCAGTGTGAAAATGAGCTAATACAGGTAGGACACATTTGAAGTTACAGATTTGGGTCTGGACCCTGTTGTTCCCCTTGCATAAAGGGAGGCAGAAGTGGGCTGTGGGAATCAGGAGTGCATGTAATGAGTCCCAAGTTTCACAGGACCATGGTATACCCCATGGATGAATTAGAGAACCTGAAAATGGGCTATGTTACCCTAGGCCCCAAGAGGTGAAGTGACACTGAGCTCCCAAGTGTCTCCAAGTCATGTTAAATCTGGGTCAGATATGTAAACACAATCCCTGCTTGGGGTTCTGGAGGGGCAAATAACAACATGTATGCCTTGGATGCCAAGCAGTTGGGCTGTAATTTTGGGTTTTATGTTAGCAAGAGAGAGTGATATCTGTAGTGCTGGTAATTGTGCCAGACCAGGGGGAATTAGAGTAGCTCAGGGAACAGCTTTGGTGTGGTATATTAACAGGCCCAACAATTACATCTCCTGAGAAGCTTGGCTCTGATTTCATCCCACTGTGTTAAAATATTAGGACTATTAGGCTCATAAGGGGAGGTAGTAGTAGAGGGGCAGTCTGATCTCTGATGGTGTGGATGATCCTGCATTTGGGGAGACCTCAAAGGATGTGTCTAAGGTGTTGGGGGAGGAAGTGGTGAAGTGGTAGGTGGGGCAGCGGTGGTAGAAAAATAACTATCCCAACAGATGTCAAAATGTCTCCAATCCTGGAGGACCCAGAACTCAGTCCATCTCCATGTAGGAGGTGTGGCCAGACAGGGGATGGTTAGGTTAATTGGAACTCCAGTGAGGTGTGGGTAAGCACACATGACTTAGCCTGCCACAATTGGTGACAGCAGTCAAGAGTGGTCTGGCCAGTATCATGGGCCAATTGGTAGAATCACAGGCAATAATGTAAGCCAGGAGACTTCGTGACAGGGAATGCACTAGCTTGGTAAAACGCCCTTCCAAAGGTTCCTCCTCATCAGGGAACTTAGAAAGACAAATTTGAGTTCTGTAACCAAGTCCTAGATGGGGGGTGCAGGAGTTGTCAGTCATCAGTTGTCTTACCTTCCTGGACACTGTCATGGCCAAGGGTCCAGGTCAGGTAAAGGTGGTGTTGTCCCCTGTTGTCTTGGGCTGAGGCACTGTCGTCTTCTGTGTAGCAAGGTGCCACATTGTCTTGGGCTGGGTGCTATCATTGGAGCCATTTCCATCTCCAAGACTAGGTTGTCATCTCCTGACATTGATGATATCTACCAATTTTAGCACCTCCTCTTCTACAAGACAAGTATACGTCCCAGGTAGCAACTCAAAACAGGAAGATGGGGCACTGGGGGCCTACAGTGGTCCAATACATTTGGGAGGCGCTGAGCAGGCTATGTTTACATTGTTGAGACGGACTACTGAAATCACAGATTATAAGTAATCACTGAGGGTCCTTGAGGGTGCATTGTGCAAAGGCTTTGGAGGTGCTTTTTTTCTGAAGAGGAGGATATTTCCATCCATAGATAGTACACACTGCATGCATGGCCTTTGGCCAAAGAGAACACAATATATTGTGGAAATATCACCAAATCAGCTGGTATAGATCTAACCATTCTTCTTATTGACAATTAATACTCCTAATACTCCAAGGAATGGAAGTACCACTGTTTATGCATCCATTTCCTTAGCTATGGGTATTCTTTTGTTCATTGTTTTTATTTGCCACTACATATTGTGTGGCATAAATGTCTTTCATGTGTGTCATCACACACATGAAATGCTATCACTCAGGGCTTCTCATAGGACAGTGTGGCTTCTGGGCCAAAGGGTATGAAGGGTATGGGCCTATTAAATTTTAACAGATGATGCCAAACTGCCCCTTTAGAAAGCCATAATTCCACCAACCATAGTGTATGAGAACACCATGCATCTCTGCCAACAGTAGGCATTATCACACTTACAGATTCTTTTTAGTCTAAAGGGTATAAAGTAACATCTCATAGTAACTTTATTTTACATTTCTATTGCTACTGGGAGGATTGGGTATACTTTCATATGTTCATTGATAATATTAGGTTGGTGCAAAAGTAATTGCAGTTTTTGCCATTACTTTTTTTTGTTGAGACGGAGGCTCACTCTGTCACCCAGGCTAGAGGGTAGTGGCACGATCTTGGCTCACTGCAACCTCTGCCTCCCAGGTTCAAGTGATTCTCATGCCTTAGCCTCCTGAGTAGCTGGGATTACAGGCATCCGTCACCATGCCTGGCTAATTTTTGTATTTTTAGTAGAGACGGGGTTTCATCATGTTAGCCAGACTGGTCTCGAACCCCTGACCTCAGGTGATCTGCCCACCTCGGCCTCCCAAAGTGCTAGGATTACAGACATGAGCCACCGCACCTGGCCTATTTTTGCCATTACTTTCAGTGGCAAACCGCAATTACTTGTGCACCAACCTAATATATATTTGCTCTTCTATTTATATTCTTTTGGCCATTTTTCTATTGGGTTGTAGTTTTGTCATCCGGGACAACTCTACAGTCATTCAAACTGTTTATCTGTCATTTGTTTTGCAATTCTCCTTTCTGTTTTTTTTAACCTTTGCTTATGAAAGTATCTTTTGCCAGTGAAGCATTTCAGTCAAACATATCTCTTTTTTTTTCTTTTTCTTTTTCTTTTTCTTTTTTTTTTTTAAGATGGAATCTTGCTCTGTGGCCCAGGCTGGAGTGCAGTGGCGTGATCTCAGCTCACTGCAACCTCCACCTCCTGGGTTCAAGTGATTCTCCTACCTCAGCCTCCCGAGTAGCTGGGACTACAGGTGCATGCCAGCACACCTGGCTAATTTTTTGTATTTTTAGTAGAGATGGAGTTTCACCGTGTTAGCCAGATTGGTTTTGATCTCCTGACCTCATGGTCTGCCCACCTCGGCCTCCCAAAGTGTTGGGATTACAGGTGTGAGCCACCGAACCCGGCCAAACATATATCTTTTCTTTCCTAGCTTTTGTGTTTCCTTTCTGGTCTAGAAAGTTCTCCCACACCTACAGGTCATACAGTATTGTCTCAAACTTTGTGGAGAGGGAAATATTGATTACAGATAAAATCTAGTAAAAGGGAGGAAAGGAAAACATCAAGAAAGTTAATTAGGACATCCAGGAGAAACTATGCCCATCAGCTAGAGCGTTGAGGTGAAAGAGAAAACAGGCAGGGGGCAGGCAGCAGGTAGAATGGTTTGTCTCCTGTTAACCGCAACAGCGAGGGATCCAAGGCCCAGAGGAAGGTTGCACCTGGAGCTGCCCTCTCTCGCAAATTCCTCTCCCGGTTACTCTGGCACTAGTATCCCAACCTCCATGGTCATACAATTATAGTGAAAGAAACTTTGTGGAAATGAGCTAACGTCAGCAAGAGGAGGGCTCCTGTGTCTGCTGAGCTCTGCACCATGGGAGGCCTGCCAGGTGATGTGTGGTGGTGTCAGGAAGGTGCAGACTAGAGGTCCCCAACCTTTTTGACACTACAGACTGGTTTCACAGAAGACAATTTTTCCATGGACGGGGGTTGGAGGGGATGAAACTGAAACTATTCCACCTCAGAGCATCAGGCATAAGATTCTCATAAGGGTGTGCAACCTAGATCCCTATGCGCAGTTCACAACAGGGCTCACGCTCCTATGAGAATCGAACGCAGCTGATCTGACAAGAGGCAGAGCTCGGCCGTAATGCTCACCTGCTGCTCACCCGCTGCTGTGTGGCCCCATTCCTTACAGGCCATGGACTGCTACGGTCCCTGGCCTGGGGTTTGGGGAGCCCTGGTGTAGACTAAACCTCGGGTGTGGAAGGGTTTGCTCGAGTCCACCAGCTGGCAGGCAACTCCTAGCTGTTGCTGGCCAGAGATCTCCTGCTGCTGCTACACATCCAAGTTGGACACCCCAGGAACTGGGAACAAGGGCTTTAAAAAGTGGGTGCCCCTCTCTCTTAGGGCCCTTGGAAGGGTCTGAGCTATCCTGGCCCACATCTCATTGCCTGATCATCCTGTCAAGAGTGGGCCATCCAGAGTGTGCTGGAACCGGTTGACTGGGAATTGGGAGTCAGCCACCTCAGGGGTTGATTTTCCAGTTAGAGTTTGTCTACCAGGAATTAATGTTGACATGTGTTGAGAGATGAGGGGTCCAACTTTATTTTTCTAGATAGACCCACTATTTATTAAAGAAGCTGTGATTTTCCCATAAAAATGAAATACCACCTTTATCATTTATTAAATTTTCATATTAGTTGGGGTCTATTTCTTTTTGTTTGTCCACTCTGTTCTGATCATTTGTATGTCTATTCCTATTGTTTGGGGTACAGTTACTTTAGAGTGCTGAGTCTGGGCTCCCTGTCTATTCTCTTTTTTTTTTTTTTTTTTTTTTGAGATGGAGTCTCACTCTGTCACCCAGGCTGGAGTGCAGTGGCACAACAGCTCACTGCAACCTCTACCTCCTGGGTTCAAGCGATTCTCCTGCCTCAGCCTCCTGAGTAACTGGGATTATAGGCGTGTGCCTCCACACCCCACTAATTTTTGTATTTTTAGAGGAGTCGGGGTTTCACCATGTTGGCCAGGCTGGTTTCAAACTACTGACCTCAGGTGATCTGCCCACCTCGGCCTCCCAAAGTGCTGGGATCACAGGTGTGAGCTACGGTGATGGACCCCTGGCTGTTCTTTATTAATGATTTCTTGGTAACTGGATATTTATTTTGAGAGAGATGCCTTTGTATCATTGCGTATAATTAAAAATCCATTGGTATTTTATTTGGGATTGTATTCATTATATATTTGCTATCATAATCTATTCTCTCTCTTGCAAAATACGTTAATAATCTTACCATCTAAGGACATTTTTCCGATCCTGTTCTGTGTCTTTTAATTTGACCTACAGGTTACTTCATACAGGTTCCGTATTTAATTGATTGCCAAGTATTTAACAGATGTGGGGTTTTTTTTTTTACTATTATGGATGGATATTTTATCCAATTCATTTTTCATTTGGCTCTTGTTAATACAGAGAAACACTATAGATTTTTGTGTATTTATTTTTTATTAGACCACATACCAAATTCTCTATTAATTTCTCTATTTTGTCCTCATTAGATTCTCTTGGAATTTCTAGGTACCTTATTATTATTTTTTATTTTTATGGGTACATAGTAGGTGTATATTCTAGGTGTATTATATCAGCAGCAGAAAGAAATAATTTTTATCTTCTTTTCAAAATGTATTCTAATGTTTCCATTTTGCCATCCTGTTGCATTTGCTGGAACCACAACAATGTGTATAGTGATAGTAGAAGGCATCCTTGTCAGGGTCCTAATTTTAATTCAAATGGCTTTTTAATGGAAATGGTGCTCTGTCATCCAGGCTGGAATGCAGTGGCAAGATCCTTGAGCTCCTGGCCTCAAGCACTCTTCCCTCCTGGGCCTTCCATAGCTCTGGGATTACAGGCAAGAGCTACTGTGCCTGCCACCACCACCCCTCCCCCGCCACCACTCCCCCACCCCACCGCTGCACCTTTTTTTTTAAACAATTTAGAATGCTCCTTGCCTAAAAAAACCAAAAAACCAACAAACTAGTCTCCAGTTTGTAGCAGTTTCTTTCTATTCTAGTTTTTCTCAGAGTTTTATTAAGATTGGCTGCTGAACTTTATAACCAGCATTTTCAGCATATATTAAGTTGATCAGGGGGCTTTTTGTTTTCCCTTTAAATTGTTCATGTAAAGACATATGACTACCTTTTCCTGATGTTGAATATTTCTGGAATAACCCTTATTTACTCTTACTGTCTTGTTCTTTGGACACACTGCTGGATTCTATTTGGTAATGTTCAATTTTTTTACATTTACATCTGTATTGATTACTGAGATTGGGCCATAGCAGAGGTCAGCAAATTACTGCCCCTGGGCCAAATTCAGCCCACGACTCGTTTTTGTACATCTCACGACCTGAGAATGGTTTTTACATTTTTTAATGGTTGCGAAAAAATTAAAAGAAGAGTAGTATTTTGTGACAATGGAAAATTATATCAAATACAAATTTCAGTGTTCATAAATAAAGATTTATTTGGAACACTACTGCACTCATTCATTTACATATTGTTCGGAGTGCTTTTGTGAGTGGTAGAGTTGAGTACTTGCAAAAGAGACTGTATGGCCCCAAACCTAAAATATTTACTATTTGGCTCTTTACAGAAATGTTTGCCAACCTCTCTGGTCTATCTTTTTGTTGGGGGAGGAGCTATCTTTATCAGATTTGGTATGAAGTGTAATCTGGCTTCGTAAAATGAATTGGAGAATTTCTTTTCTTTTTTCTATTATGTGGAATAGTTTAAATATCTTTGGAATGATCTTCTCTCTAAAGGTTAGATAAAGCTCAGCTATGAAACTATTTCTTCCAGGGCAATATTTAATATATAAAAATATAATCTTCCTTGGTAATTGTTCTATTCAAGTTTTCTATTTTTTCTTGGATTGATTTTGGTAATTTAGATTTTGTTAGAAAACCATCCATTCCCTCAATAGTTTCAAATTTGGTTTGCCATAAACTTGCATAGTGTTGTTCTCCTTAATATAATTTTAATTTCACCACATCTGTAGTTGAGTCTCAGTTCTCATTTTCTGTCTTGTATATTTTTACCCTCTTTTTTTTCTTTAATCTGGT
The DNA here is from genome assembly GCF_000001405.40 of Homo sapiens. NCBI lineage: Eukaryota > Metazoa > Chordata > Mammalia > Primates > Hominidae > Homo > Homo sapiens. Next base: position 51,795,647 of record NC_000003.12, read on the forward strand.
TTATAAGAGAACTGGAGAGTCTATCTGTTTGTTTGTTTGTCTGTTTTTCAAAGAAACAGCTTTTGAGTTTATCTTTCCTTTAACTTTTTTTCTTGGTTTTCCATTTCACTAATTCAAACTTTTATTATCTCCTAGTCTTCATTTATGTTAGATTGTTTTGTCTTTTTTCTCACTGTTAGGATGAGTTCCCACATTTTTGGGATGTATTTTGGGGGTCTATCTTCCATAATAAGGCATTTGAGGCTGTTGGGGTCCATCCTCCATAATAAGGCATTGAGGCTGTGAAATTCCCTCTAAGCCCAGGCTTTATTAGGAAGTGGTCTATTTTTTCATTGCTTTATGGGTAGTTTGCAATTTTATCTTGATTTCACCTTCCTTTAAGAGTTTTTCTTAATTTCCAATGAGGTAAGACTTTTATTAATTTTTAAATTATTTGTTTCTGATTTTATTGGATATGATCACTGAAAATATGTATACAATTTCTATTTTTTTGTTGTTTTTAAGCTTCTTTTAGTGGCCAAGTACATGGCAGTTCTTTGTTAATATTCTCTGGACATATGAAATAAATGATTATTCTCTGTTTGAAAGATATAAAGTTCTGTATGTATCTGCTGATGACTGCTTGATGATTACTGTTTATTCAATTCCCCCATGTCCCTGCTTTTTGGCTACTGATGTTGAAATTTCTTACAATAATAATCGCATTCTCCTTGCATTTCGTAGTTCTAATAATTTGTTAGTTGATTCTTTGGGGTTTTTAAAGTAGGTGACCATATCAGTTATAAATACTGACAACTTTGTAGTTTTTTTCCTCCAGCATGATACCTCTTTCTTTCCCTCCCTCCTTCCTTCCTTCCTTCTTTCCTTCCTTCTGCTGTTGCACAAAGACTCAAGAACAGCGTTGAAAAGCATTGTGGGGAGTGGCACCACGTTTCCCTCTGACTTTAATGGGGTTGTTTCTTATGCTTTCCCACCAGTGAGGACATTTGCAGGAGTTTCATTTTATCTAGCCTTAGCAAATTAAGTACATTTCCTTCCATTCTTGTGTGCTAATTGTTTTTTGCAATCAAGATGTTTATTAAATGCTTTTCTTTTTAATAACAGCATGTAACCACCCGGTGGGTTCTCTTTGCCTGCTGTCTAGACAGAGCCAATATCAAGACAGGGGAATTGCAATAGAGAAAGAGTTTAATTCACACAGAGCTGGCTGTATGGGAGACCTGAGTTTTATTATTACTCAAATCAGTCTCCCTGAAAGCTTGGGGATAGGGGGTTTTAAGCATAACTTGGCAGGTAGGGGGTCAGAAAGTGGGAAGCGCTGATTGGTCAGGTTGGAGATGAAATCATAGGGAGTCAAAGCTGTTCTCTTGTGCTGAGTCAGTTCCTGGGTGGGGAGGCCACAAGACCAAATGAACCAGTTTACTGGTTTGGGTGGTGTCTACTGATCCATCAAGTACAGGGTCTGAAAATATCTCAAGTACTGATCTTAGGTTTTACAACAGTAATGTTATCCCCAGGGACAATTTGGGGAGGTCCATAATCTTGCAGCTTCTAACTGCATGACTCCTAAACCATAATTTCTAATCTTGTGGCTAATTTGTTAGTTCTGCAAAGGCAGTCTAACCCCCAGGCAGGAAGGAGGTTTGTTTTGGAAAGGGCTGTTACCATCTTTGTTTCAAAGTTGGGCTACAAACTAAATTCCTCCCAAAGTTAGTTCAGCCTATGCCCAGGAATGAACAAGAACAGCTTGGAGGTTCGAAGCAAGATGGAGTTAGTTGGGTCAGATCTCTTTCACTGTCAGAATTCTCTCAGTTATAATTTTTGCAAAGGCAGCTTCAAGCAGGAAGGATTTCACTGTTTTCCTCTTTGATCTGTTAATATGGTAAATTACATCGATATATTTTTCCCACGGAAACCTCCTCACAGTGGTGGGCTTTAGCCAGATTTTAGGCTACCTGACACCTCCAGGGAAGTTTAAATTTTCCCTCTGAAGTTTTGATAATTGAATCTGCTGAAATAGACTGACGATAGACAGACAAGAGAAAAGGCATACAAATGTATTAGCATGCAAGCACATGGGAATCATACAAGCATGAAACTCAAAGAAAAGTCAGATAATTGAAGCTTAAATACCTTCTTCACATGGGAGAGGAAAGTGGAAGATGTAGACAATTCTAGAGGAAGAGTAAATGATTTTTAAGAAGGATGAATGAGACTGAAGCACAAACAATAGCTGAAGGCAAAGTTCTTCTAGGCTCTAGTAGGGGTGGTGATAAGTTGTAGGAAGGTGAAGGGTGGAACTGCATTGCAAACAAAGGTTGTTTTTGTTTGTTTGTTTGTTTGTTTGTTTGTTTTTGAGACAGAGTCTCGCTCTGTTGCCCAGGCTGAAGTGCAGTGGCGCTATCTCAGCTCACTGCAACCTCTGCCTCCCAGGTTCAAGCGATTCTCCTGCCTCAGCTTCCTGAGTAGCTGGGATTACAGGCACGTGCCACCATGCCTAGCTAATTTTTGTATTTTTAGTAGAGATGGGGTTTCACCACGTTGGTCAGGCTGATCTTGAACTCCTGACCTCGTGATCCACCTGCCTTGGCCTCCCAAAGTGCTGGGATTACAGGCGTGAGCCACCACGCCCAGCCAAAGGTTGTCTTATTATGCAGATAAAGCCTCTTGGTGACAGCCCTCAGAACAGATGAAAAGTCTGCTCATGCAGATGATCTTTAATTTCTTCTTCAGTGAGTAACTATCCCTTTTTAATTTGATTTCAAACAGTGGATTGAAGGCAATTGTGTTTCTTTAAAAGAACTTCCCTCAGTCAGATAAAGGAACTCAGAGAGAGCCCCTTCCCGCACTTGGGGGGAGAAACAACGGAAGATCAAAGACCTTGATTCTGAGGCAGCTTGGGAGGCCTTTCATTCAAGGTGCTTAGTACGGCAAAGAGCTATACTTTGGGGGTGTTGTTTTCTGAGCCCAAACACACCTGATTCCCTTCCCCATGTCTGGGGACTCTCCTTCTTATCTGTCTGGGTGGGAAACAGCCTGCCTCTAATTATAGAGCTGAAAATACCAGTTTCTCACTTTCTCAGCTCCCCTGGCTGCTGGGACAGACATGTGACCAGGATTGGCCAATCAAATTTGTGTGCTGAGAATTTTCAGTCTGCAGCTTGGGATCCAGAGAACCAGGATAGCAACCCCTGTGTTGGTGCTGGAATCCTCAGCAGGCTGGTTCTGTGGTATGATGTTTTCTGTGGTTCTGGGTGCATAACTTCTCTTTGATCTGCCTGTTTTCTGAGCCTGGTCCCTGGGCTTTCTGATAATTTGGTGAGCTACTAAATATTGTTTCAATACACTTCTATTTTGCTTAAGTAAATATGGATCTGTTTATGTTTGTAGTTAAGATGAATGACTAACATATTTGCATTTGTGGAATAAATCCTACTCATTCAAGCATTATTTGAAATCACCATTGGATTCAGTTTGTTAATATTTATACCTGTGTTCATAAATCAGATTGGCTGATAGTTTTCTCTTCTTGCACTGTTCTCATCTTATTTTAGTATTAAAAGGGTGCCAACTTTTGGGGATTTTTTGGTTAGAAAAATTCCTACAGTAGAATTGCTGGATCAAGGGGTCTGTACATTTTCAGTTTTGATGGCTATTGTCAAATTGCTATCCAAAGAAATTTTGCCAGTTTACATTTTGACCAACAACATATAATACTGCCTGTTTCTCTCTATCCTTGCCAACACAAAGGACCTGTTATCAATCTGTTTTTTTTTTATGGGTAAGTTGAGCATCCTTGCATATGTTCAGAGTCTTTCTTTCCCCAGCTGTTTTGTTTTCTATGAACTGTCTGTTGATGTCAAAGAACATCAACAGAGAGTTGGTGTTTAGTTTTTCCTCTTATGTTTTTTGTTGGGGAGGGAGGAGGCATGGGAGAGTGAGGATTTAACTTTTTGTCCTACAGTGACCTGTTGGTCTGAAGTTTAAACTCGGTTCCTGGATGTTGGTTGTAATGGCTGTTGAAACTGGAAAAGACCCTCACAAAGACCTGCAATGCAGAGGGAAGATGGCGTGATTGGCTCTGTCTTCCAACTCAAGACATTCACTTCCAGTTGCATCCACCAATTATGCAAAGGTTTTTATTGAAGTCTGGTGAAAAAAATTTCATATTCCCTAATGATAATCAGTTGTTCTATAAACCAGTCAGAAGTTGTTGCATTTTTATATTTTTAACAACTGGGTCCAAAACCAATACAATGATTTTGTAAGTAATAAGTAGGTGAGGAAATTCTATTTCCAAAGTTTTAGGTGTTCGACTGAGAGAGTTGTTATGAGTGAGTCACATTCCTTTTGGCAACAGAATCACATAAAGAAGGAAACATTTCAAACATCTGTTTTCTAAAAGCATTTCCACAGTATCTTAATTTGACTGATGAGGAGCTCCCTCTAGGGGAGAGAAAAATATCAGCACCAGGGTTTCTTGTTTGTGCATTTCAGCCTAGGGGTTTTTGTGGAAATCTTTTTAATCCCCTTGCCTGTGCTGGTAAGGCTTAGCATTGTTAGAACTAGACAATGCGATCCATACATGCTTTGTCAGTGCAGCACAGTCACAAATGATCATCTCTCCCAGTTCATGGAAAGCACATATATTGGCCTGTCTCTCTTACCAGAATGTGACCTTTATGTGGAGAGGGCTTTGCCTGTTTTATTCTTTTATTTAATAAATACCAGTGACAGTACCTGACACATAGCATGGTTCAATAATTTTTGAATCAATGAACAAATCTTTGAACAAAAGTTTTGAGCTTAGTGTAGCCTGAAATCCATGACTAGGCTCTGTGGCCAAGGGCAGGCATTTGTCTGTGGCCTAAGGCTGAGTAGTCTGTGCTGTGGGTGTGGGTGAGGTTTATTTAACTGGCTTAGGCCAAATGTATTCACTCAATGCTTGTTTATTGAGCACCGACTATGTGCCAGACACTGTTATAGGGGCTGGGCTCCCAACAGTGAAAAGGGCAGGCAAGATTCCTGAACTTAAGTAGCAGTGATATAGAGAATGTTGAGATGGTAATACTTGTTATAGAGAAAAATCAAACAGGGAAGGGAGATAGAGTATTCTGGCATGGAGAGGAGGTCTTGATTTTATCTGTGGTGAGAGAAGACTTCACTGAGAGGTGAAGGAGGGAGGGAGGAGGTTGAGCAGCCACCTGGGAGACAGTCATCAAGGCACTGAAGCAGGAACGTGCCCAGCATGTTTGAAGAACACGGAGGAGGCCGGTACGGCAGAGCAGAGTAAGGGAGGGGGAGAGGGATAGGGGCTGGAGTCAGAAAGATGTGGCCTACAGATGTGAAATTCCTAGAGAGAACGGTTGAAGATTTTCCAGCAGTGAGGGAGGACCCTGTGAGTCAAGGGCAAAAGCAGGCCTGGAACTTTCCTGCATCCTTTCCTGCTTCTAAAGGTGATTTTCAGGTTTTCTCTGAGACCATTTTCTTCGAAAGAGTCAGATCATCAATATGAGGTAACAGTGCCTACGGTGGTTCTGCTGCAGCCCACCTGTCAGGAGGTGGGAGATGTTCTAGGATAGTATGGGGTACAGAGGGGAGAACCTGCTGAACTGGATTCTGGCTGAACTAAGCTAAACAAGAGACAGCACTTTAGACCCTGAACGTCAGAGGTGGAGGAAGGGACCATCTATCTCTCTCAGCTCCTGTCTGTAGGTCATCGGGCCCCACTTAATTGCGGCCACCACTCTCATTGAAGAATCTTAATCTAAAAACTCTGGAAACCTCCCAAGAGCCAGAAAGAAACAGCCTCCACTGGAGATGACAAAACAAGATTAACCTTTTTGGACATTGATATGATTCCCTTTAGCCTCATTTTGTTATTGTTAGATTCTTTTTTTTTTTTTTAACAGTCTACAAATTGTTCTAAACTTTGTAGTGTAAGTGGTGATGGGCAATGGCGCTGTCCTGGGCTTCCTGCTAGCCAGTTGAGGTGGGGGTGTGTGCCAACACCTCTTGCTGCATCTGGTTTCATGACATATTTAGCTAGCCTGGCTCCAGATGGAAAGCCTGGCTGCAGTCAGTACTCTAAGTCAGCCTGATCACAGTATTAAGAGTCATTGTTATGGTCACACACCTCATTGTCTATGACAAACAAAACGCACTTATTCAAGCCCTAATCTGTATAATGAATTAGGGTATCTGATGGGGTGACCCACACTCCTGAGAATTCTTAGTAGGACACATGAATGTCAAGGGATGGAGTTGCAGGGGAATGACTTTGCCATGGCAACCTTGCATATATCTACACCCCCTGCAAAGGCGAAGGCTTGAACCACAGCTAATCTGAGTCTTGGCAGAACACTTCTTGATCCCCCTTGGAACAGAAGAGGATGGGAGGCTTGTAAGGCATGCTCTGAGGCCCTTATCTCCCTTGGGAGGCTGTCATGAGACAGCTTTCTCTCTCCTCTCCAGTCCTGATGAGGTGTGGGGCTTTCTGCCTCGTGCCCCTCAGAATAGAGCTACAGAATATAAAACCACATAGCTGCAGTCTAGACCCCCTTGGCTCAACAGCAACAGGGTATCCCACGACTTGCCTTGTAGTCATCGAATCCCTTTTGTGTTGTTCCTTTTGTTGTGTGAGACAAGAACCACAGGGAGCTGGCACTTTTGACTAATCTTCCTTTTTCTATCTATGTGAGTAATTGAAACAATCAGTCTGAAGTGGCTCGATTGGATCGGTTAGACCTTGGCCTTCGTTTTCTCTTGTGTGCCTTGTGTGTGCTTGACAGAAGGCCACGTACTGGGGGTCAGTTATCTGTCACGGTTACCGTGAAGCCTCTGAACTGGGAGAGCTGTAAGTTGTAATGCTGATGGTGTGCGTGTGTGACTGGCATGATAAAAAAGACCAGTGGAAAAATGAGGCAGTGGCTCCCTGTGGCAAGAGGAACTGCACACACCTGGACCTCGTTCCTGGCAGATGTTTACACACCTCCTTGCCCCTTGTGGGTGGGGTTAGGGAGGAATCAGAATCTGCATTCTAAGTAGTTGCTGGGACTCCTGAGGAGAGTGAAGCTCATTTCCTGACCTGTATCTTTTACAGGGCTAAGGAAACATAGTGCTAGATTAAAGTCTGTCGTGTCTTGAATTTGAAGTCTAGCCTACCCTCCCAGTGGTGGGACAGACCTGAATCTTCAGACTAAGGATGAAAATAAGTCCAAATAGATCAGTAATCACAATAAGTTCAATGAGTTAAACTTGATAATTAAAAAGCAGTTTGATAGATTACATTTAATAGATCTATATAATGTTCATAAGGGATATATCTAAAACAAAGTAACACAGAAAGTTTGAAAACAAAAGGATAGAAAAAAGATATATCCGGCAAATTTCCAACCAAAGAAAACTACCACAACAAAATATAATTTAAATCTTAAAAGGAATCAAGGAATCAGCGAACTATGGCCTGCAGGCCAGCTGAACCCACCACCTGTTTTTAGAAATAACATCTTATTGGAACACAATCACTCCCCTTTGTTTACATATAGTCTGTGGTTGTTTTTGAGCTACAATGGCAGGGTTGAGTAGTTGTGACAGATACTGAATGGTTGTCAAAGCCTAAACTTTTTACCACCTGGTTCTTTATAGAAAAACTTTACCAATTCTAGTTGTAAACCAATGAAAGGAACACTACTCTAAGATGCTATAATACTTGGGAATTTTTATGTACGCAACATAACTTCAAAATATGAAAATAAAAAGGCTGATAGAATTACAAAGTAAAGGGCCAGGCACAGTGGCTCATGCCTGTAATGCCAGCACTTAGGGAGGCTGAGGTGGGCGGATCACGAGGTCAGGAGATCAAGACCATCTTGGCTAACACGGTGAAACCCCGTCTCTACTAAAAATACAAAAAAAATTAGCCGGGCATGGTGGCGGGTGCCTGTAGTCCCAGCTACTCGGGAAGCTGAGGCAGGAGAATGGCGTGAACCTAGGAGGTGGAGCTTGCAGTGAGCTGAGATCGCACCACTGCACTCCAGCCTGAGCAACAGAGTGAGACTCCATCTCAAAAAAAAAAAAAAAAAAAAATTACAAAGTTACAAAGTAGATAATTCTACATTTATACCTATTTCAGACACTCATGGATCAAGGAGACAGAAAAATGGTAATAGGATATTTGAAAAATCTTGTCCACATACACACACACACGTATGAATTGTAAATGGAGACAATTGGGCAGAGAGTGGCAGAGCTGAGGATCATATGCATAGATGCATGAGGGGTCATAGTGGTCATGACCAGCCAAAATTATGAAGCCATCAATGTTACAAGGCAGAGAAAACAAAGACAATGGAGATCATGAAAAAATGGTAGTAACAAGAACAATTAGAGCATAAAAAAGTTAGCCAAACTGGAGAGACCAGCCCAGAGTGAATGCCACTAAAGTCCTGAGGAGTCCCAGAGCTACCTTGCATTCCATTCAAGTCTTTCAGATGCTCCATTTTATGACTTGTTTGTTTGTTTGAGACAGAGTATTGCTCTGTTGCCCAGGCTGAAGTGCAGTGGTGCAATCTCTCAATCTCAGCTCACTGCAGCCTCTGCCTCCCGGTTCAAGCAATTCTCCTGCCTCAGCCTCCCGAGTAGCTGGGATTATAGGTGCGTGCCACCATGCCGGCTAATTTTTGTATTTTTAGTTTCGCCATGTTGGCCAGGCTAGTCTCAAACTCCTGACCTCAAATGATCCACCTGTCTTGGCCTCCCAAAGTGCCGGGATTACAGGTGCGAGCCACTGCACCCGGCCCATTTTATGACTTTTTAAACCTGCATCTCCAGAACGCCCTCTTCCTTGTGTTGATCTTGTATTGGCCGTCCATCATGTGAGCTAGCCCAAGAAAAGCCATCCTTCTTGTAATAAAGGGAAATAAAGTAAAATCTCCTTTTGAATGTCTTGCCACAGCTATGACACAGTGCCATGGTGGACACATAGATGGGTGGGTGAAGTCCAGGAGAACCTGGTCTGCCAGGAAGTCCTAGTGGGACTTGTCCCTCCCCCTGGTGCTGGTTGTCACAGCTAATCTTGAGGTTTCTGGCTTCCTCTGGAAGGAAACAGATGCATCAGCCCTGACATATTAAAACAAGCATGTGAATACCTGGGTTTCCTATACTGTCTCATGTGCAGTAAGGAGCAAGGGTTTGGGAATCAGTACTATATGAATGCTGTAAACTTCGTTACAATGCCCACTTTTTTTTTTTGTTCCCCATGTATGAAACCTTGAAAATAAAGAGGAATAGTTTGCTTCCCTGGGAAGCATTGAGGAGAGCTGGAGAGCTAGGCAGCATCTAGATTTGATGTGAGATAAATCCTCAAGTGCCACAAAAGGACAGAAAGGAAAACAGACCCAAGGACAAAGGATCAGGGCCAAGGGACGCATGTCCAGGGCCAGTCAGGGCCTGAGAAGAGGGTACAGAGAGGGCCCTCAAGAGCAATGTGGCCTTGGTCCTTTCTTTTTTGTTCTTTTCTTTTCTTTTCTTTTTGAGACGATCTCACTCTGTCGCCCAGGCTGGAGTGCAGTGGTGCAATCTTGGTTCACTGCAACCTCTGCCTCTTGGGCTCAAGCAATCCTCCCACCTCAGCCTCCTGAGTAGCTGGAACTACAGGTGTGTGCCACCATGCCCTGGCTAATTTTTAAATTTTTTGTGGAGATGAGATTTTGCCATGTTGCCCAGGCTGGTCTTGAATACCTGGGCTCAAATGATCCACCTGCCTTGGCCTCCCAAAGTGCTGGGATTATAAGCATGAGCTACCAAGCCCGACCTTTCTGTTTTCATAAAAGACTGTATCAGGAAAGAACTGTGCACGGACCACACAGAGGAGAACTTGGTAAGTGATGGGATTCAGGTTTCACGTATTTTTACTTACACCCCTATCCTATCTTTGACAGGAGGGAAACAGACAACTGTTGCATTCCTGTCCACAGAGCCTCTCCCTGAAGAAGACTCAATTATGCGGCCAGCATCCTAACCCTGGGCTGTAGTCACTTTCGATCTCATGATTTTTCATCACTTTTACCCATGCCTGGTGACTGAACCATCTAGAAACAAGCTTTGGGCATTTGCCATTGTATAGGAAACATAGCCATATCTACCCAGTTGGCAGAAGTATCCCATGACTATCCCAGGATGAGAGGGACCCTGGAAATTCATAGACTCTGAGACTGATTAGGAAGCTAGGGTTGTGGATGTCATTGTTATAAGCCAAAAGGAGAAATAACCGTATCTTATGCAAATCTATCTCTTCTCTATAAAATCAACTCTACAGAAATGCATAGGCAACTATAATTGAGACCCAGAAAGTTGAAGAAATATTTTAACGGAAGCAGAAGGTAAGTAGGTGTTCCATATAAAAAAGAGAAACCCAGATTATTACTATCAGATACTTAAGTGTCCTGAGGATGCTGAGCTGTGCCTCCTGTGTGGAGGCACACAGGATTCCTCCCAAAAATAAAAAGGGTCACCCTGATCAGTAAACATTGGTAACTGGTTCCTCATCTTCCTGGGTAGTGGTAGAGGGAGTGGGAGAGGTGGTGAGAAGGCAGCTAGAAAGCCAAGGAGCTGAAATTTTGGGCAGAATTTTTGACAGTTTCTGTGTAAGGAGGCTTCAAAGTTGGAGACCAGGCCTGCTAAGGATAGGGGCACACTAGTAAATCCCCAATATTTAACAGTGGAAGCCAAGAGGGCTATACCATACCAAGAGAAAGGTGGATTTAAAATAGGCCATTAACATTTCCCATGGTGGAAGCCCTGTTTCACATCTTAATCTCTGAAATTGGGTTAAAGTGATCCAGGATTGCTAATGCTCCAGTCACCTACCAGAAGCAAATGTAAATCGCCTCTGAAGGAAGGCAGCATAATCTCAGACCTCAACTTATTTTAAAATTTTTTCTTATACAACCATCCAGCACTCCATTAAAAAAAACCCAAACTTAAACACAGAACAAAAAAAAACCCCACCCAAAACACGAGAAATAATTGACACCAAAAACAGACTCACAGAGGATCCAGGTCATGAAGTTATACACATTTTAAAATTTGTAAGCACACTATGCCTTAATGTGTTAAAGAAAATAGAAGGCAAAATGAGAATTCAGCAGGAAATTGAAATCTTTCAGAAAGTATCATATGGGAATTTTAGAACAGAAAAGCACAATAACTCAATTAAAAACTCAGTGGGTAAGTTTCAGCAGATTAGACAGAGAGAATTACTGAACTGGAAGATAGGTTAGGAGAAAATATATAGAATAATTAGACTAATAGCTGACTTTTTAACAGAAGCAATGGAAGCAAGAAGACAGTGAAATTACATGGTTCAAGTACTGAAAGCAATAAATAATAACTAATGACCTACCTGTTGAAACCATTCTTCAATAATTAGGGTGAAATACAGAACTTTTTTGACAAAAGTTGAGAAAATTAATCACACTTAAAGAAATACGAAAGGGTATTCTTCAGGTGCAAAGAAAATAAGCCTAAATGGCAGACAGATTCAGAATCAATGAAAATAGTAAATATTTGGAAAAATTCAAACGAATATGCTACATTAAGCAATAATTATATAATTTGGGAAGAGAATTAAATAAAATAAAAATGTTCTGAGCTCCTTGAATGTCTGAGAAGAGGTAAGGTAAAAGTACTACATTTATATTAGACTTTCATAAGTTAAGGATACATATCGTATTACAAGGCTGCTTTGTTAACTGTGGTAGCCCCTAGGCACATGTGGCTATTGGCACTTAGAAATGTGACCAGTCCTACTTCAGGTATACTGTAAATGTAAAATATACACCAGATTTCAAAGACTTAGGGTAAGAAAAGAAAGGAGAATAAAAGAAAGGAAAATGATACCATTACTAATGTTATATGGATTACATGTTGAAATGATAATATTTTGATATATTAAATTAAATTGAATGTATTATTAAAATTAAGTTCACCTGTTTCTTTTTTCTTTTCTTTTTTTACTGTGGATATTAGAAAATTTAAAGTTACATATATATGGCTCACAGATTATATTATTATATTTGCAACATGCATTATATTTCTATTGGATAGTGCTAGTCTAAGGTAATCACTAAGTAAATCGTAAAAAAAAAAAAAAAAGTGTTAACTTCCAAGTTAATGAAGTTGAGAGTAGTGGGAGAAATGGAATAATAAAAAAAACAAGCCAAAAGAAGGAAAGAAAGGACAGAGAGAGAGAAAGAGAAAAAAATATATAACAGATGAAGCAAATAGTAAGACAGTAGATTGAAACATACACCAATAATTACATTAAACGTAAATGGACAAAGGGCTCTAACTGGAAGATAAAGATTGTCAGACTGGATTTTAAACAAAAGAGCATGCTGCTTATAAGAGGTGTATCTAAAATACAAAGATTTAGAAAGATTGAAAGTAAAAAGATGGAAAATTATAAACCAGGCAAATACACTAACCAAAGAAACTTGGTCTAATTAATGATATCATACAAAGCATATTTTAATGCAGAAAGCATCTAGAAATAAAGATGCTCACCTCATAGTGATAAATTTTCACCCACAGGATGATATACTAATTATAAATCTGTGTGCACCTAATAATATAGGTATAAAATATATAAATCAAGAATTGACAGAATCACAATGAGAAATATGCACACTTACAATGTAGTGGGCCTTTCAATGTCTGATAGAATAAGAAGAAAAGTAATTAGTAAGTAAGGATATGGAATATTTAAACAACACAATTAACAACATTGACTTGATCAGCATATGTAGAATACTGCACCCAACTGCTGTGCTTGAATCATTATTTTCAAGTACATATTGAATGTTTACCAAAATTGACCACATGCTGAGCCTTGAAGAAAGCCTCAACAAGTGTCAAAGAATGTAAATCATAGAGATTATGTTCTATGAGCATAGTTGAATTAAGCCAGAAATCAATAATAATAAAAACAACTAGAAAATTTCCAAATTTTTAGAAATTAAGCAACATAACTTCTTTACAACTCAGAAGTCAAAGAAGACATCAAAATAGTAATTAGAAGATATTTTAAACTGAAGATATTTTAAACTGAATGATGACAAAATACTTCATATTCAAAGTTGTAGGATGCAGCTAAAACTTGCTTAGAGGGAAACATTATTTCAAATGTATGCATTAGGAAAGGTAGAAAACCAATGAGCTAATTATCCATCTTAAAATTTAAAAAGCAATTTAAACCCAGTAAAAGTAGAAGGAGAAAAATAATAGAGATAAGGACAGAAAATAATGAAAAGGGAATAAAAGATCAAGGAAAAAAATAATAAAGTCCAAGAAATATAAAAGGTCTTGGTATCATGAACACGGTTCTTCATATGAACATGGTACACTCCCGTTCATCATATGCTTTCTCCTAGATGCCGCACCTCTGAGGAGAATAGGACAGATGTGTCTCTCTCTCAGATGAGAATGTAGGTCATCACGTGTGAGAAGCTCTCAGATGAGAATGTAGGTCATCATGTGTGAGAAGCAGGACATAAACTCAAAACTTCCAGATTTATATTGGCACCTGCCCGTTTCTCTGGAACTACCCAAGGAAGGGTTGATTGTTAAGAGTGAGCCAGTACCCCTTCTTGGCAGACACTGGGGGTGAAGTGTGGGTAGTTTTATTTCTCTAAGTACCTATGCTTCCTAAAACTAAAGAACACACAGCAGAACAAAGCAACCATGAAGATTTTGCTTGGGTATGATACACGGTTGTATGCTGTGCTCATAACTTTGATCATTTAGTGCTGGTTGAGGCCAAGACTGGCAAGGCTGCTGGAACAGAAATGGCTGGCAGCTTAGAGGTGGAGGCAGGGATTCTATATAAACTGGGTGGTCAGGCTGCAGTTTTGCTTTGCATGTGGTATATCCACCCACACCTCTGCCAAGTGCTGTGGTGAATGATCCAGGCCCACTGTTGATAGTACATCTTCCAGACCCACAGCCTTTTCCAGGAACAATATGAAATCACTTCCAACCAGCTGGGTTCCACATTGAAATCTTGGTGTGAAGAGTCCCTGTGAGGAAAACTGGCTCCCTTTTTTGGTAAAGATCTGGCCTGTGTTTTTGTGTCTCACAAATTCCTCAAGTCTTCAGACTCCAAGGACTTCCAATCCATGCTGACGATGACCATATTCCACTGACACACTCTGTAAATTAGAAACAGAGGCCAAGGAGGACATGATGTATGTCAGAGCCAAAGTCCAAGTGTCTAGCCTTGGTACAATGTTTAGATATTTCTATTCAAGGATGGACATTCTCTCACATTATTGGGCAAATCTTCATACATGTTTAGACATTCCCTCTGCTGGGAGGATCATCCCCAAGCATGGTTGTTTATCTCCTTGAATAGACATCTCTACACATAATTAGACATATTCACATGTTTGGTTATCCTGATGTAATGGTGGAAATCTACATGCATGCATGACTGGTCATGCTCCCCCTTGGGTGGATATCCCCATTCAAGGCTGGACATTCCCATTCATAGCTGGACATCCTTCCTCATGCATGGACATTGAAGAGTCCAGCTCCTGTGACTTTTCTGGCCTAAACACAGGCAACAACAAAAGCATTATTTGGCAGGCCTCAGGGAAGAAGGCTGCCCTCCCTGCATCAGACTTGGTGTGCAACCAATGCATTGCAATCTCTGAAAGGAGTTACAGTTAAGGAATAAGGCCCCTCTGGCCTGCTATGCTCTTACTCATATCTCATTGTAGTCCAGGCAGCTTCATTTGGAGGCCTCATTCTTGTGGACCTTCAGCTGAGACTTTCTCTAGGTGCTTCTGCCAATATATCCTTAAGTGGGTGGGTTGCGGTGGGCTTAAAGATATTTTTCACTGCTTTGACTTCGTACTCAGTATGTTTCCACTCCTAGCCCTTCTTTCTTTCCTTTTTCCCAGCCTCTGGGTTCATAAAACTGCAGAAGCCTTTTATTCGGGGCTCCTTTGGCGGTGAGACTGCCCACCCCTGCATCTATGCTGATCCACCTGACCCTCAACCGGTATGCGGTACCATGAGGGAAAAGGGATATGGGAGAGTGGGCACTGGCTCTAGTTTAGCCTCTTACTTGTATTGCAGCAGGTAACTAACAACTTCACTGTTACTTTCATTTTGGCTTGTTGTCTTAATTACCTCCTCTGATGCCTCTCAGTTCAGCTCTCTTTAGCTCAGCTGAGCTCTTGACAGACTTTTTTACTCATGGACAGACAACCTAATCATGGCTGAGTATTGCCCCAATGGCTGGACCTCCTCCCATTACAGCACATCCACCCATAGCTCATCCTCACCATGGCTGGGAGTGCCTCCTCCATGGATGGACATTCTGCCAATGTGTGGACATTCCTCCATGGCTGGACATGGTACCAATGGCTAGACATCTCCACCTATGGCTATACATCCTCCCATGTCTGGACATTGACAATCATGGCTAGACATCCCCTTCCTGACTGAACATAATCACCAATGACTAGACATCCCCACCCATGGCTGGACATCCCCCCTCATGACTGAACATCCCCTATAGCTGGACACTTGCCCTTCCGCGCACTGATAAAGGGTTTGTCTGCACATTCAGCACTTCATGGATTTGAGAGGAAACCACTTATTTCTTCTCCTTTTACTTTCTCCTTCCTTGCTTGGGCAAATTCTACCTTTTCTAACCCTCTGCCTCCAACTCTGTTGTTACCTTGTCTCCTCTTAGTATACAGCCAGGATCTCTATGTCTTTGCATAAATGAGTAGGTTCTATTTTTGCTCTATAAGTTATTGGCATTTGACTTATCATCATTTGTGTTCTTCTTTCCTCTCAAAAAGCTGATGCCCCATCATTTAGGTTTTCAGGCAACCTTAGGTGGACAATTCCTAGGTCACATCTCAGATTAGCTTAATCTCTCTCTGTCTGTGTTTCTCTGTCTCTCTCTGACTCCCCCACACCTCACACATGCACACACTCACACACACAGTTGAAAATATCATGATGTTCCTACTCCCTAATTTATTATTATAATGGCTCTTGTCTTAGGCTATTCATGCTGTGCTATAAAAATACCCTAGACTGGGTAATTTTATAGCACAGCATATAGTCCCTCACTCTCAGCCTGTGTCCCTGGCCACTTCCTGGGAGATCCAGGCACGGGGATGTAGAAATTTATTTCTCACAGTTCTGGACACCAGGAAGTCCAAGAGCAATGTGTTCGCAGATGAAGGTGAAGGCTTGCTCTGTTTTATGGACGGTACTATGTTGCTGTGTCCTCACAGGGGTAAATGTGTGTCCTCGCATGAGAGAAGGGCAAAATGGCTCCCTCAAGGTGCTATTATAAGGATACAAATCCCATTCATGAGGATACAGCCTCCCAAAGCCCCACCTCTTAATACTATTACATTAGAGATTAGGTTTCAGCATATGAATTTTGAAAGGACACAAACATTCTGACCACAGCAGCTCTGTCGATTATTATTGTCACGACTGTGGCCTGGATAAAATTTCCATTGGTACCTCCATCAGTCTTTCCGTTCCCACAATAGTGTCCACATCATCACACTGGCAGACACTCACCGTCCTCCTTTCCTCTACCCTTAGTGTCCTTTTCTCATCCACCGATCCCTATATAACAATCCATTCTTTTCTTTTGCCTGTCTCCCTTCTTTTAAGCTATTTTCTAAATTAAGACTCTTTTGGTTGCAAATGACAGAAAATAGACTTGGAAACCAAAAAAGGGAATTTATTGGTTTACTTAAAATTTAAGAGGTCTAGGCCGGGCACGGTGGCTCACGCCTGTAATCCCAGCACTTTGGGAGGCCAATGCACATGGATCACCTGAGGTCAGGAGTTTGAGACCACCAGCCTGGCCAACATGGAGAAACCCCGTCTCTACTAAAAACACAGAAATTAGCTGGGCGTGGTGGCAGGTGCCTGTAATCCCAGCTACTCTGGAGGCTGAGGCTGGAGAATTGCTTGAACCCAGGAGGTGGAGGTTGCAGTGAGCCAAGATTGTGCCAGTGCACTCCAGCCTGGGCAACAAGAGCAAAACTCCATCTCAAAAAATAAAAATAAAAAAATAAGAGGTCTATTAGTTTATGTGGCTGCTGTAACAATTACCACATACCTGGTGGCTTAAAAGAAAAGAAATACATTCTCTTATGGTTCTGGAGGCTAGAGGCTGAAATCCAGGTGTCAGGAGGGCCAAGCTCCTTCCAGAAGCTCTAGGGGAGATTTCCTTCCTTGCCACTTCCAGCTTCTGGTAGTTCCCAGCATTCCTTGGCTTGAGGTCACATCCCTCCTGTCCCTGCCTTCCTCTTCACATCGCCTTGTCTAAAGTGTGTCTCTCTTAAAAGTTCCTCTGCCATTCTCTTTTAGGGGTACCTATGACTGTATTTAGCTCCCATACAGGTAATCCAGGATAAACCCTTCCTCACAAGACCCTTAAGTTAATCACATCTTTTGTCACACATAGTAGTCACAGATTCCAGGGATTTCATGTGCATACCTTTCAGAGGCCCATTTGTCAGCATACCAGAAGGCCCATTTTTTGTAGTTGGATTCAGAACCCCAGACAATATTGACAGGCCCTTCCTCACTTCCTATCACACTTGCCCAGTCTGCAAAATCACAGCAAGCCAGATGGAACTTGAAATAGAGAATGCCATGACATAGGCCTGGCTGTAGGAAAACCTAGCTAACCCCAGATTTGCCAAGCTGATGGCCACTTGTGGGAGATCTGTTGCATAGAATAAGGCCTGGCACAAGCTGACCCTTGGCTGCTGCCCCTGACGGCAGATCTGGTGAAACTTTTCTCTAAAAGAGGCCCTAGTGCTCAGGCTGACTGGGATGCCAACAGAGGTAGGAGGGCTATTTCAACCCCTTTCACCAGGGAGTGTAGAAACTGGGCTTTATTTTTCACAGCCCCTGTCCAGGCATCTCCATTCAGAGCAGGACATCAGAGAGTCTGGCTGCAGCCAGGGCCAGCTGGGAAGGCCAGGATTCCGCAGGCCTGTGCTTGGCAGGGCCCTCAGGGCCGGCAGAGTGCTTGGCAGGGAGCCAGGAGGACAGGGCACTTTAGCTGGGCAACCGCAGGACAGACGCTGTGCCTTATGGTGGGGAAGGGAGTCGGGGAGCAGCCAGCCAGAGCCAGCCCCTGGGAAAGCCAGAGCAGGAGCTGAGGGCAGCAGCTGTGCCTGCCGCCTGCCCACCCTGGGGCTGAACAACAAGGTTTCCCTCCCCTCTGCTGGGCACTTCCTGGGAGAACCAGGCATGGGATCGGGGAGGGGAGAGAGACTCGGGGGCTGTGGGGGGATGGTGGTGGGGGTGGCATGGGGGCAGGTAAACAAACAGAGGACTAGGGGTAGGCAAGGGAAAGGGCTGTCCCTCTGCCACTGGAGGTCATTGGGCACATAGCCTCTAAATCCTATCATGTCCTCAGAAGCAGCTGTGCTCCTCCTCCACCCCCATGTCCCCTCTCTGGCCTCCCCCCAGGCTGTCTCACCCTCTGCTGGGCCTGCCTTAGGTGGGTGCTGCTGGGCCACTGCTTTGCTGAGTCTCCCTCTGTCTCTGGGCACCTATGGCGCAACCATCTCTCACGTGGTCTCTCACTGTCTCTGCTTTGTCATCCATGCCCAAGGCCCCTCACTCTCAGACTGTGTCCCTCAGATGTTTGTGTGAACCTCCATCCCATAAGTCTGAGGTCTGCAACCCTCCGCAGGCTCTTTCCATGGTGGGCCCTGCATGAGTGATGGGAGGGCCAGTGGAGAGGTGTGCAGGGGTCTTCATGCCTTGCAGCTGGGTGACGCTTTCCTCAGCCCCAAGCCCCTTCTGTGTGTTGGAAGGTGTGGGAGTGGGGATCTGCAGAGCAGCCATAGTATATTTTCAGGTCCAGGGTTCAGCCTGGTGCCCAACGCCGCTGGCAAAGGCAGGTTGCAAAGATTCTGCTCAGGACCTATTGCCTTTGGCCTGCACCTCACTCCTCCAAGGGGCTCTTTTCTTCAGAAGCTTTAGCAGTAGCCCCCTCCTCCTCCTCCTAAAGCAGTGAGAGAACAACTTTCTGCCATCACTGGTGGGAGCCATGCCTACTCTTGCATGTCTTGCTTTGTAAGGTGGCTGTGCCTGGAATTCTGCATGGCAAATCCCCGGAGGTGCTACCAGGCTGGAGATATTGCTACTCCAAATATTCATGGGTCCATTAGTTAGGAAAATGAGGAAAATGGATACTGGCTAGGCAAGTGCAGTCTGCCTCAACTTCTATAGTGAAAAAAGAATAAAAATCCAAACAATTCCCTACCAATTCAACAAAAGACAACAAAAGTGAAAATGAAAAAAAAAATAGCTGGAAATTATGAAGCAATATGGCAATAAGTCAAAGCATATTAGAAATGAAAATAACTGTGAATGTGTAGTAGTGTCTATCAAAATACAGAGACTTTCTTGCTGGATCAAAAGAGAAACACATGTATTTTGTGCACAGAAGGAGATGGGAATTTGAAAATAAAGGAGTGGGTAAGGATACAGCATGGAGGGACTCCTGCTTCTAGTAATGATGTGCTAAGGAGCTGGAATGGTCCTTTTGCTGAAGGTAACTAGAAAAGCTGATCAATGTACATTTTAAGTTTCTGTTTGAAGAAATTCAAAACAAACAATACAGTAAAAAAAAAAAAATCACTGGGTCATGATCCAAAGAAAGACTCTCAGAGATGCAAATCTTGTCCTGTGGATATTCTCCAATTGCTTCATCAAAAAATGCTTTCTGCACCTTCCCGGTCCCACAAGTTCTTCTCACCACTTACCCTGCCCTCCACCTAGCACCTGTCTTTTCCACACCCCTCGTCCTACTATCTTCACCCTGATATCCACCCCCAGCCTTAACTGCCCTCCTCCTCTTCCCTACATTCCCCCCAGGGCTCCACTGCAGCCTCCCCAGTACTCATCCTAAACATTTCAAATGTACTCTAGTGACCCCTGGGCAGAAACTCTGAGGGGGACCAGGGTCTGATGCTGACCCCTCAGGCCGTGGCCAGAGGACCTTCTGCTGAGCATTGACCTGCAGCACCAGGTGGCTTTTCAGTGGTCGGGATCAGGCAGAGATGGTGCCGGCTTCTGCAGTGGCTGTGCTGACTCATCTTCTGACTGCGACAGGAGAGCAGTCAAAGACATTTGTACCCCAGCTGGGGCCTCAGAGGTACCCTCAGTGTGTGTCCTGCTCTCCCAGGAGGCTGATAACTGGGTGCCCTGCAGACAGGACAGACACAGGGAGTTCAGCCACAGTGAGGGTGTGTGCCCTGTCCCTCCAATTCTACTAGCCTCATCAAAGATAATCATTGATAAATTTTAGTTGTGTATGTCGTCCTAATTCCCTTGTTTTCATAGTACTTTTATGATATGCTCATAATTATTTGTCCATCAACTCAATTTGTTTCACTTGTACTCCATATCAGTACAGAGAGAACAAAGTTCTTTTCTGTGGTTTCATTAAGTGCTTGGTTTGATGAATTTTCACAATTCCGTATTCCTTGGTAACCACCACCAAAACCAAGATATAGCACATTCCTCTTTGTTTCCATGTGCTGTTTGCAGGCAAAACCCCTATATCTAGGAATTCATCTGATTCATTTTCTATTGTTCTTCATTTTACCTGTTAGTTTTACCTGTTTTAGAATTTTATATAAATGGAAGAACCTGTAGGCCGGGCGCGGTGGCTCACACTTGTAATCCCAGCACTTTGGGAGGCCGAGGCGGGCGGATCACGAGGTCAGGAGATCGAGGCCAACCTGGCTAACGTGGTGAAACCCCGTCTCTACTAAAAAATACAAAAAATTAGCCGGGCGTGGTGGCAGGCACCTGTAGTCCCAGCTACTCGGGCAGCTGAGGCAAGAGAATGGTGTGAACCCGGGAGGCGGAGCTTGCAGGGAGCTGAGATAGCGCCATTGCGCTCCTGCCTGGGTGACTGAGCGAGACTCCGTCTCAAAAAAAAAAAAAAAAAAAAAAGAACCTGTAGGTAGTCTAGCTTTTTTCATTTAGCATCAAGTTTCTGAGAGTCATCTATGTTATTCTGTGTATGAATATATTCATTTTTGTTACTATTACTCCATTATACTAATATGTCACGAATTTTTGTCTAGTCACCTGTTGGTGGACATTTGGGTTGTTTCCTGTTCTGACCTATTTGAATAAAGCTGCTATGAATATCCATGCACATGTCTTTGTAAAATGTGTTTTCATTTTTCATTTGCAAATTTTAGGACTGAAACTATTGAGTTACAGGGCGGGTGCATGTTGAACTTCATTAGGAAGTGCCAAACCATTTTCCAAAGTGATTCTGCTGTTTCACACCTTTTTATCAGCAGTGTATAAGAGATCTACCCATTCTGAATCCCTGCCAGGATTTAGTACTGTCAGATTTCTCATGTTAGCCATTCTCTTAGGGTGTCTAGGGGTATCTCATTTTGGTTCTCATTTTTATTTCCCTCATGACTATTGATATTGGGCATCTTTTCATGTGCTTCTTAGCTATTCCTAAATCTCCTTTTCTGAAGCATCTGTTTGAGAATTTTGCTGCTAATTCATTCTTTCTCATCCTTATATGGCTCAATTGTTTCATTGAACTGAAATCCATGTGACTGAATTTTGTATTTGATGGAGGTTTAGGTTGTCTCAATTTTTGTTTTTATCAACTAGATTGAAAGCATTAACTATATACCTCTTTGTGCTAATTAGCCAGTATTTCCAGTGGCTTGCTTTTGTAGTCAAATTGTGGCCATGTCTGCAAAAAAGAATGGACAAGAGTTCCACATATTCGCTGGAAAAGACTCAGCTGTTGGAAGCCATTCTGATGCCAGAGTCATAGGTGCCCTTATGACATCATCACACTCTCTCTTCCTTCACACTTCCTGCCACAGTGGTGGCTAGAGAAGTACAGACCTGAGTATAATGGAGACCTCTAGCCTCTAATCATGGGCACTAAAGGGGATTGCAGACTTGAAGGGATTGAACCAACTACTGCAAGTCATGGGCATTCAATGTTTTGTAAGAGACAACCAGTCAATTCAAAGATGCAGGCAGGCGGAGGTGAATTCCCACAGTTAATCAGGATGCAAGCCCTGTGTCTGGGTCTCTGGGAAAGCCAAGAGGTTAAGGATGTGGTGAACTTGGCTGAAAACTGGGTATCCTGCAGGCAATACAGACACAGGGGATTCAGTCACAGTGAGGGAGAGTGCCTTGAGTTCTACAAATAACTACCTATCCATACCTCACCTCTTTAAAATCTGATTACAGAAGGATGGCCATGTTCGCCAAAGCATAATGGAAGATGTTGATGAAACCGCACTGTTGAAACAAATGGAGCGGGAGAAAATGCCTCCTCCTCCAAAGCCAAAGGTAAGTCAGAACAGGCCCTCAAGGTTGGAAGAGACCCCACACCTGCAACATCTCTGACCTGTGCCACCCAGTAGTGGTGGTTGTCTTCTCTGTGGCTCATAGAATTGGTTAATTATGGAATTTCTTGTCCAAACTAGGAAACGTTTGTGAGTGAAAGGTGTTGCTATTAATCCTTACTCAGGAACAACCACCATAAACCAAGAATATCCCAGGCCAACAAGGACATAGTCGTTGTATTCAAAGCTGCAATAAATAGAGATTGACTCATCCTGGGCTATCTTCTTCTCCCATTTCCTTATGAGTCTGGGAAAGGTGGGTGACTGAGGCATGGAGACTTGGATGTAGGAAAGAGAAACCCTGAAAAGTGGAAAGCAGACATGCAACATTGGAGCATGGCATGGTGAGGGCTCTGTTTGGGGAATGCATGGCCATAAAGGGAAACCCAAGTCTTGAATTGGGTGGGATGTGGGGGAGTGTGCACATGAGTCCACTTATGTGTAGGTAAGCTGAAGTTAAAAGAAGTTTTAACAAGAAAAAGTGTGTTAAAAGAAGTGAAAGTAAGAAGTAGGTGAAAAAGACTCCAAACTGTGTGGAGCAGGGAAACTTTGACTACTATGACGTGACAGCAGGAAAGAGCAGGCTGTGGATTTCACTTGGAGTTAGAAATAAGAGGGCATGGCCAGCAAAGGAGACACTTCTCTGGCAGGTGGGAGAGGTCTGAAGGGATGGGTCATGGGTCTCAGGAGATGGTCAGGCCTAGGTGAAATGTGTTAACACTTTGGCCCTACATCACAGTGTCCTTACTCTAGACTGGCCAACAAGGTTTGCAAAAACCTGGGCAAGGTAGCTAGGGCAGGTGTACCCCCATTTTGCAGATGGGAACATTGAGATTCAGAGGTGAAGGTGAGGTGGCCATGTCCATTGGCCTGTGGGTGGCAGAGGGGGTACAACCTGGTCTCCTGAGTTAGGTGTTGCCCTGCCCAGTGCTCCTGAACTTTACAGGAAAGGGCCATTGTAGAGTACCTGGCCACTTCCTCTCACCCACTGGGGCTGATGTTTGTGAGGAAAATGTCCTGACTTTTCTTTCTTTTCTTGCAACCTCTCCTCCTTTTCCAAATGAAGCCCCCCACTGACAAGGTACTGGCAGCAAAAAAGATCCAGTCCTGATGGTGGGGCACGCTGGTGCAATGCACACTACTGCACGTGACCCTCAGAGCTTTGATCATTCAGTGCTGGTGGAGGCAGGTGCTGGCAAGGCTGCAGGCGAAGAGGCAGCGGGCAGCACTGGAGCTCTGTGCACGGCAGCTATGGGCAGCAGTCAGGCTGCAGTCCTGGGTCCGCATGTGGCGTGTCCGCTGGCGTTACTGTCGTTTGCTCAACGCTGTCCGCATCATCCAGGTCTATTGGCGCTGGAGAAGTTGCCATACCCGTGGCTTTTTCCATGGCAGCTACGAGCTCACAACAAGCCAGCTGAGCCTTGAGCTTGACATCTTCCTGGGATCACATATTTGCCGAATTACAGACTGCATCCCCTTCCCAATAAAGAAGTGACAAGGTGCTCCAACTATGTGTCCCTAGTTCTCTATTAAGCAAACTCCGAGAGATCTTTGCCTCAGCAAAGGGTCAGGGAAATGAGGACAGGTACCTGGCATCTCACAGGTCAGCTCTGAGGAGTCAGCCGGCTTGTCTGGGGTCCTGTGGGGAGAAGGATGTGACAGCCCCATGCTGAAGGAGCAGGGCTTGTGAGAGATAGCAATGTCGGCCATGGGTGAGCGAGTTGGGGTTGCAGAGCCACCAAGAAGGCCAGCTCCGGGAAGACTGGTTCCCGCTGTGGTATGTGTAATGGCGCCCCCTGTGGCCATGCAGTATGGAGGCCTGTGCCATCCTTTGCTCTTAATCCTCCAGCGTCTTCCCTTAACACTTAGAGCAAGTTCAAAAGCTCTCCCTGGGTCTACATAACCCTGCATAGTCTGGTCCTGGCCATCTCATCCTCTTTATGTCCTCCCTGGCTGCTCTGCTATTTAGCAACTATCCCAAGCGTGTTCCATCTGAGAACTTTGCCCTGCTGCCTGCTCTCCTAGGGCCGTCGGCTTCTGGATGGAGCTCCCGCTCCATGCAGGTTTGTCTCTGTGCAAAGGCGCCCTCTCCAGCTCCTCAGTCTGCCTTCCTGTTTTCAAAGTCCTCATCACTACTTGAGCTTGTCTTACCTGATTGTCTATTTTCTTTTTCCTTCTAGAGGGTGGCCTCCAGGAGAGCAGGATTCTGGGGTCAGTGCTGGGTTCCCAGGACCTAGAATGGGGCTTGGAACATAGTGGTTCTCTCTCTATGTATCTACACATATGTACAGGTTCAGTATCCTTATCTGAAATGCTTAGGAGCAGAATAGCTTCAGAGTTCAGATTTTGGGGGATGTTGGAATATTTACTTTTTACTTACATATTCAGCATCCCTCATCTGAAAATCAAAATCCAAAATTCTCCAACAGCATTGTCTTTGAGCTTCATTTTGGCACACAAAAAAACTTCCTATTTAGTAGCATTTTGGGGTTTGAATATTTAGATTAGGAGTACTCAATCTGTATATATTTAGATATCCAAACTACCCAATCCAGAGCAGACCTCCTGCACCTGGCTCTTACACCCCAGGAGGCAATATTCCTCTCCCTTAATTATTCCTGGGCAGGTACCAGAACACTAGGGACCACCTCTACAGCTTAGAACTCGCCACATTATGCCAACCAGCCAACCCTAAATGCTTTACCCTGCCCTGCCTTGCCTTTCCCTCAGAAACTCAATTAAGACCATGACTTCAGATCTCCCCTTGCTTCTTCCTCTGCCACCTGAACAAAGCCTGGAGCTTCCCTTGTCACCCTGCATGGCATGTTGCCCACTGTAAGAACCAGGTCCTGTGAGTGTAATAAACTTAGTTTTCTTGAGTTTCTTTTTGTCTCTGCTTGTGGCCACACCTGACTCATTAAAAAAACAGGAAGTGGGGCCGGGCGCGGTGGCTCACGCCTGTAATCCCAGCATTTTGGGAGGCCGAGATGGGTGGATCATGAGGTCAGGAGTTCGAGACCAGCCTGACCAACATGGAGAAACCCCGTCTCTACTAAAAATGCAAAAATTAGCTAGGCGTGGTGGCACGTGCCTGTAATCCCAGCTACTCAGGAGCCTGAGGCAGGAGAATCGCCTGAACCTGGGAGGTGGAGGTTGCATTGACCCAAGAGCACACCACTGCACTCCAGTCTGGGGGACAGAGTGAGACCCTGTCTCAAAAAAAAAAAAAAAAAAAAAAGAAGTGTGTGTGTGTGTGTGTGTGTGTGTGTGTGTGTGGTCTGTAAGTTTGAAGTGATCTTCATGTAACATAAGACTAATCATTTTTAGATTAACCATGTAAGATTAACCACTAAACTAAAATTAACAATTCGATGGTATTTAGCAGATTCACAATGTTAAGCAACCACCATCTCTATAAAGTTCTCAGACATTTTGATCACAGTAAAAGAAAATCCCATTGATATGGTTTGACTCTGTGTCCCCACCCAAATCTCATCTTGTAGCTCCCATAATTCCCACGTGTTGTGGGAGGAACCTGGTGGGAGATGATTGAATCATGGGGGTGGGTCTTTTCTATGCTGTTCTCGTGACAGTAAATGGGTCTCATGGATCTGATGGTTTTAAAAACGGGAGTTTCTCTGCACAAGCTCTCTCTTTGCCTGCTGCCATCCATGTAAGGTGTGACTTGCTCCTCCTTACCTTCTGCTATGATTGTGAGGCCTCCCCAGCCATGTGGAACTGTAAGTCCAACAAACCTCCTTCTTTTATAAATTGCCCAATCTCAAGTATGTGTTTATCAGCAGCGTGAAAAAGGACTAATACACCCATATTCATTAAACTACCATTTTCCATTATCCCCAGCCCCTGGCAACCCCCAGTCTGCATCTGTCTTCATGAATTTACCTACTCTAGATTTTCCACATAAATGGAATTGTACAATATTTTGTGTCTGGCTTCTTTCACTGAACATAATGTTTCCAAGTTTCATCCATGTTGTAGCATATATTATTACTTTTTATCCTGAGTAATATTCCATTGTATGGATATGCCACACTTTGCTTATCCATTCATCATTGATGGACATTTGGATGTTTGCACCTTTGGCTCTTGTGAATAAACCTGTTGTGAATATCTAGCAGCTACATCATTTTACATTCCCTCCAGCAATGTACAAGGGTTCTGATTTTTGTACATCCTTGCCAACATTCACTATTTTCTCTTTTTAAAAAAATTATAACCATTCTAGTTGGTGTGATGTGATATTTAATTGTGGGCTTGATTTGCATTTCCCTAATAACTAATGATGCTGACTTAGGTGCATGGTCTCCATTTGAATACCATCTTTGGACAAATGTATATTCAAGTCCCTTGCAATAATTTTAATTAGTTGGTGATTGTCTTTTTGTTGCTTTAATAAACATTTATCTGATGAACGAATACACGATTCACAATTCCATCCAGATCTTAGATCTGTGGCTTCAGCACAGTTGAAATCCTACTGCCTAGAAACAACTATCCCACCATCCCTGAATGATTCTGTCAGCCAACCACCCTAGATCCCTCATACCCAATAGGCATGTTGTTCTCAGCCTCAGTCTCTCTGCGTTATCGTTTCTCTCTGGCAGTGTTCCCAAGTGTGTGAGTGAGTGTGTCTGTGTGCACAGCGTGGTGGGGCAAGGTCTATTGTTGCCCCTCCACTTCATGGGTGCATGCTGCTCTCTTTCTCTGTGGGGTTTTGCCTGTCTCTGTCTCTGTCTCTGCCTACCTCTCATAATGTTGTCTTTCACTCTGTCTCTTCCACTCCTCAGTATCTTTCCCCATTGGCTTCTGCTTCCCTCTGTCTACTCTCTGCTAATGTCATGTCTCCTTCCACCTCTTGGACTCACTGCATTTTCTGGATCTGTAAATGGCCGGTAAAGATTATTATTTCAGCAGCCAGTTCTCAGACAATCAATTTGCTTTTCTAAATCATGATTACCCTTTGTCTCCAATAGCCCCACAACCATGGGATGGAGAAGCCTTAGAGAAGGTACCAACGTAGTTGCTCCTGCATGATGGAGGCATGACTCACTCAGGCTTATCAATCCAGGATGTGCAAGTGCTGAGAGGAATATCAGAACACTTGATGCATATGGTCACTTAATGCATATGATTGGTTCAGGGCTGAGCATGAGACCCAAACCAGGTCAATAATCCTCAGCTTTTGTGCTATCTTGGAACTACTGGGTTTGCTAACTATAGGGATTATGTAAGCAGAGCTGCTGGGGACACCACACAGAAAAAGCTTGCTGAGAATGAAGCCAACCGAGGAAAGTACAGTCAAGGGATGGAAAGGGAGGAACTAAGCGTAGCCATGCCTGAAGCTTGCCTAGCTGTCCTACGGGAAATTTTAATTTTGTGAGTCAAGACATCCCCATTTTCACTCCAGTCAGTTTGCCAGGCCAGATATCTAAAGAGTAAGACATTTCACTGGATTAATAAACAAAGAGGTTTAATATTATGTGAGCAACGTTTCAGGAAGTGGTTTTCAAACACTGGTTTTTGAATCAGAAACTTGACAGAAGGTGTGCCTAGGGAGTTCTTGACAGTAAACATGGAATTGTCTCTCAATTAATACACGCAGAAGACCAGAACATTCCTGTAATGCAGAAAACTACAATGAAAGGGAATCTGCTGTGGATAAATCAGCTCACACCTAGAATCAGAATGGCCAGAGGGTACATCAAACGTGGATTGGTCACAGCTTTGACCTATAGGTCACAGCCCAGATTACTGGGCCTTACCTAGCACTTCTGATTCACTGTATCAGGATCGCAGGATATGTGTTTCTAACAAGATTCCAGGTGATGCTGTGGCTGCTGCTCTGGGGCCGCCCACCCTAAAAACCACTGGGGCGGAGCCTAGATATATCAGGATGAAGGTGGCTGTGAGTGACAGCACAACCAAAGAAACAGTGGTTTCAATAAATGAGAAGATTTTTTTCTCTTTCCCATGTAAGTCCAGTACAGGTGATCCAGACCTGATATGGCGCTCCACAGGGTGAGGAATCCTGGCCCCTCAAATGTGTTACTCTGCTATGTATTGCCTCCATTTCCAAGGTCATTATTGATTCAAAAATGGTTGCTTCAAACTCAGTAATTACATTCACAATCCAGCCAGCAACAAGGAAGAAAGAGCAAAAACAAGGCGTACTCCTTATCCTTGACATTGCACGTGCCACTTTGCCCACAGCTCAGAAGAACATAAAAGAAGACCTGAACAAAGGAGAGATATAGTATATTTATTGATAGAATTTCTTAGCATTGTAAAATTGTCACTTGTCTCCAACATAATCTAGTAAACTCACATTCCAATAAAATAAAATTAAGGTCAATTCTAATCGAAATCTCATCATGACTTACGGGAACTTGACAAACTAATGCAAAAAAAACATATTGCAGAATTAATTTCCACAGTTCATTAAATCAATTTTGAAAACAGAATAGAAAAGTGTTCACAGACACTAAAATGTGTTACAAAATGATTAGTGTGAAATTGAGGTACTGGCTACTAAGAATCTAAATAGGAAATAAACATTTATTTATGAAATTGTTGTGTTCACCCCATCCTCCTCCTTAACGCACAGAGCCAGGCAAGAGTTCTCTCCCCACCTTGGCAGAAGACAGGTTTATTTACTAGATAAGTTGAACCAGAGAGCATCTGAATGCAGGGAATGCAGGCATAGCTGGCGACAGTGGTGAAGCACCATACCAAAAACCAAGGGAGTATGTGAAAGTGTACAGGCTAAATAGAGAAGCCTCCAGCCCTCTCTGCCAAATCAGCTCCCCAAAGGCTTGCAGACAGGTTTCATTATCCTACTCTCTTACCCAAGGTTCTGGGATTTCTATCTGAGAAAACTGAGACAAAAACAAAAACAGAAGAGAAGGGCTTAAAAGAAATATTAGAGACAAGAGAAAAGGTTAAAAACCGCACACAAGCCAGGCACAGTGGCTCTTGCCTATAATCCCAGCACTTTGGGAGGCCGAGGTAGGCAAATCACTAAAGGTCAGGAGTTCAAGACCAGCCTGGCCAACATGGCGAAAACCCATCTCAACTAAAAATACAACAAATTAGCTGGGTGTGGTGGCAGGTGCCTGTAATCCCAGCTACTCGGGAGGCTGAGGCAGGAGGATCACTTGAGCCCAGGAGGAGGAAGTTGCAGTGAGCCGAGATCACACCACTGCACTCCAGCCTGGGTGACAGAGCAAGACTCTGTCTCAAACACACACACACACACACACACACACACACACACACACACACACCACTAACAGCTATCATTAGTATTCTTAGACCCATAAGAGATAATAACAAATCAATAAAACAAGCATAGTGTGCTATAAAAAAAGAATATTCAGAGGATGGGAATGACTCTTTAAAAGATATAGAAAATCTACCAGAAAGTAGATCAAAAAGTTTAAGATGGCAAACATAAATGGACAAGCCTCTTAAAGCCCAGCCCAGAACTTGCATACTGTCATTCTACACTATTCTATTGGCCAAAACAGGTCGTATAGTCAAACTCAACGCCAGGAAGACATATTCCATCACCTTACAGGGAGAAACTGACACAAAAAGATGGAATATAGTGTAGAAAATATTAGAAACTTCGAGGATCAATCTATGATTTGATTAATAGGATTTCTAAACATAGAAAGCTAAAAAAATTGAGGGGTAGAAATTATCAAAATAAAAAAAAGCAAATACAACAAAGTTTCCCAGTAAATGACATGAATTTTTAAATTAAAAGGCTAAACCACTGCCCAACACAATGAATGGTTAGAAAAACCAAAACACATCTCTAGGTATATCATCTTGTAGTTTCAGAACATCAGGGAAAGAGGAGATCCTAAAAGCTTCCAGAAAGAAAAAAAAAAATAGGTCACATTCCAGAGTGATAAAAGACATTGTATTTGTCGGTTCTTGCACTGCTATAAAGAAGTACCTTTAAAAAAAAAAAGAAATAACTGAGACTGGGTAATTTATAAAGAAAAGAGGTTTAATTGTCTCACAGTTCTGCAGGCTGTCCAGGAAGCATAGGGGCTTCTGAGGAGGCATTGGGAAACTTACAAACATTGCAGACGGTGAAGGGGAAGCAGGAACATCTTACATGAGCAGGAGGAAGAGAGAGGGAGAGGTGCCACACTTAAACGACCAGATCTCACAATAACTCACTCACTCACTACTGCCATGACAACACTAAAGGTGATGGTGTTATACCTTGAGAAACCACCCCCATGATCCAGTCACCTCCCACAAGGCCCCACCTCCAACACTGGGAATTACAATTCAACATGAGATTTGGGCAAGGACCCAGATCCAAACCTCTAACAGAAAGTAGAACAAATTCTGAGAGAAAAATAATTTTCGAGCCTGGGCAACATGGTGAAACTCCATCTCTGCAAAAAATTAGCCAGGTACAGTGCCATGTGCCTGTAGTCCCAGCTACTCCAGAGGCCAAGGTGGGAAAATTGGTTGAGTTCACTAAGCCTGGGAGGTCGAGGCTCCAGTGAGCTGTGCTTGTGTTCCTACACTCCAGCCTGGGTGACAGAGAGAGATCCTCTCTCAAAAAAGCAAAAGAAAAGGAAAAAAAAAAAGGAAAGGAACAAAAAGTAATTTTCTATCTAGAATGTAGTACCCTCTTTTCCCCAGATGCTTGCACAATCGCATATGTTCTAATTCCTATTATGAATTCCTTATCCCATAGCATCCAGAGTGGCTCTGCATCCCCAGTAAAACTGTGCCTGCAACACGTGGGATCCAGTAAGTAGGAGAGTCCTCACAGGGAAGAAGGGAAAGAAATTCCTAGGATGCTGGGGTGAGGGTACCCCAGAAGAATGACCAGGCAGCAGGCTTGAAGAGCAGCTACCCAGATTACACAGTGGTGCAGCGGTCCATGAAAAAAGCAGAGTTGACGGATTATCCAAGTTTTGGTGGAAAGTTTGGGATAAATTAGTACAAACCATGGCAATCAAGAGCTCCAGGAAAAACAGACAGGAAATGCATGAAAGGCTATGTCACAGCAATATGCCATGTTGCTAAGCCATGGACAGGATATAATCACAATGATGGAAGCCCTGAATGCTTATTGAACCAAAAACTGTGATGCTATAATCATATAGAGAGGAGAGCAGAAGGATGGGAACAGGTAAATCTTCACTTCATGAAAAGAAGTCAAGAGGTAATATCTAAAAGAGAAAATAATTTTCAATATAGCATGTTATAGAGGTAAATCATAGGAGAAATATACAGAAGAGTTAAAAATAGTTGTCTCAGTGATGGGAGATTCTTTTGGGAGAGAATAAGACAGGAAATGCATACTGTCCTTTTTTATTAATTACAATTTTTATAATTAATTTATAATTATGTTTATAATTTTTATAAATGCTAGATTATAATTATTCATAATTTTTATAATTAATTTATCATTGTAAGTTTTTTTAAACAAGGTACATGAAGTTCTTTTTTGTTGGTGGTTTTTAGTTTTGGTTTTGGTTTTTAACTTTTATTTTAGGTTCAGGGGTATATGTGTAGGTTTGTTATATAGATAAACTCGTGTCATAGGGGTTTGTTGTACAGATTATTTCATCACCCAGGTACTAAACCTAGTACTCAATAGTTACTTTTCTGCTCCTCTCCCTCCTCCCACCCTCCACCCTCAAATGGTCCCCAGTGTCTGTTGTTTCCCTTTGTGTCCATAATAATTCTCATTATTCAGTTCCCGCTTCTAAGTGAGAATATGTGGTACTTGGTTTCCTGTTCCTATGTTGGTTTACTAAGCCACTATGAGTCCTGGACAGCCTGCAGAACTGTGAGACAATTAAACCTCTTTTCTTTATAAATTACCCAGTCTCAGGTATTTTTTTTTCTTTTTTTAAAGGTATTTCTTTATAGCAGTGCAAGAACCGACTAATATAATGTCTTTTATCACTCTGATTCCTTTGTTTGTGGGATGTGACCTATTTTTTTTTCTTTCTGGAAACTTTTAGGATCTTCTTTTTCCTTGATGTTCTGA